>NC_000009.12:41238504-41569114 GCF_000001405.40 Homo sapiens | reverse complement strand
ACATTGATGCAAAAATCCTCAATAAAATACTGGCAAAACGAATCCAGCAGCACATCAAAAAGCTTATTCACCATGATCAAGTGGGCTTCATCCCTGGGATGCAAGGCTGGTTCAATATATGCAAATCAATAAATGTAATCCACCATATAAACAGAGCCAAAGACAAAAACCACATGATTATCTCAATAGATGCAGAAAAAGCCTTTGACAAAATTCAACAACCCTTCATGCTAAAAACTCTCAATAAATTGGGTATTGATGGGACGTATTTCAAAATAATAAGAGGAAACACTTTTCAACATGTTTTATGAGTCTACCATTACCCCCATACCAAAACCATAAAAACGACATTACAAGAAAATGTCCTGTAGACAAATATGTATTTAGATGATGAATTTAGATTTCAAAAACTTCAGCAAAATATTATCCAATTAAATCCTCTCATGTATGTGTGTGTATGTGTGTGCATGCACGTGTGTTTGTAAAATATATCATTACTAATTGGCATTTATCTTGGGAGTTCAAGATGGTTTCCATATTCAATCAACCCATCAATGTGGACTATGGTCACTTGCAAAGACCAGCAAATCCTCTACACAAAAGGCCACTAGAAATTCATTAAAACAGCCTTCCATCACTCTCGAAATTGACCAAAGCATTCAACTACCTGAGAAATATTTATGTTTGGAAAGCTATTGAAATGCAATTAAAAATATCAGGAAACCTGTTTTTACCTTTTGTCCTAATCTTGCTAAATCCTTCTTAATTTTAGGAGACACTGCTTCTCCTTCCACTGTTCTTTTACTTTCTCCTTCCCCTTTGTTTTTGCCTCCCTCTTCCTCTCCCTTTTCTACATTCCTTCTCTCTCCTAAATGCTGTATAAATTTCTACATATATAATCATATTATTTACAAATAGGAACAGTTTTACTTATTTCTTTCCAGTCTGCATTTATTTTATTCTTCCTTTTTTTCCTTACACACTGGATAGAACTCTAAGTATTATGTTGAAAAAGAGTGATAAAAGCAAACATCTTTGCTTTATTCCTGAGCATACATGTGGAAAACATTCAGTGTTTCACAGCTAAATATGATGGATTTTTTGTATGCTCTTTATCAAGATGAAGGAATTTTCTGCTATTTCTGGTTTGCTGAATTTTTATCACAAGTAACTGTTGAATAGTGTCTTTTTCCCCTGCATTTATTGTACTGTTCATGCATTTTCCTATTTTAGAATATTAATATGATGAACTATATTATTAGATCTTTTAAAATATTGCAACTGTCTTGCATTTCTGGAATAAACATGGCTTGGTCATGTGTCACTTTTTTACATAGTGTCGTATTCAAGTTGTTGAGGATTTTGCATCTAGGGTATATTTGTAGATTTGCATCTAGGTTATGTTGGTCTAAAGTTTTGTTTGTTTGTTTTCCTTTTCTTTTTTTTATCATCTTTGTCTTCTTCTGTTTAAGTGTCATGCTTGCTTCATAAAATGAATTGAGAAGCATTTCTTCCTCTTCTGTTTCTCGAAAATTGTAGAGAACTCTTGTTTTTTTTTTTTGTTGTTTGTTTGTTGTTTTGTTTTTTCTTATTTTTATCCTCATACTGAGAACCAAACAGTCTGGAGTGTAAAACATGGTTCCTCATTCCAGTTAAATCTAGTACACAATGACAACAACCCTCTTGGGTTAAGCATTGGCCTACTAACAGAAAAAAACCTTCAGGGAGATAGATGCTGATCTAGGCATTGTGAGAAAAGCTGAATTCATTTTTAATCATGAATGGCTTTTAAGGAAAGAAGATTTATTAACTAAAATAAATAGATTAGAGGGAATTCTCATCTATGAGAGAGGAAGGGATGGGGATTCAACCTGGAAAAAATGATGAAGTTTTAGTGAACTTGGTAAGGTAGACTCAACAATTAATGATGGATAATGCTAGGACCCAACACTGGTAATGAGCTTGTATTATGACTCAATAGCATCACTTTATCACTTTAACACAGATGGAGGCCTAAATAACCATAAGGTAATGGTTCTTCTTAGATGCAGAAGGACACATTTATATAATCTTAGGGACCCCATCTCTGAGGTCACTCATAACTTATATTAATTCATTGTTATTGCCATTGCCCCAAGAATAGATAAGGATAAGACATCCTGTAGTACAGGTAGCAGAGATATAAACTATTCTTATTCTTGTGTCTTGTCTATAGGAAGGGAGTGTATCCTGGTGTATGACAGCATATAGTAGAGACCATTGTCAATTAGGGCCTGTGAACTAAGACAAGGTGACTGGCTAAGTCCACAACCCATTAGAAACCCAGAAATAATCAAATCATGCTGAGTAGTAATAACACTTATTTATAATACTATATGGTATAAAGACAAGAACCAATTATGTTGAGTAGCTGTAACAAATAGCTCTATCATTCATAATAACTTTTTCTGTAATAAAACTGAATTGTAACATGATCATACTGCAATATGACATTACACTAGCATTGTTGGTAAGATTCAACTATCTTATGTAGAGAAGTTATATAATGCTTATATTGATAATCAAATGTATTAACATATTGAGTTAAAGCCTCTTCAGAATGTAATCTGGGTGAATAATAAATGGCCTGAGAAAACAGAATTTAGCTAACCATTATCTAATTTCAATGCTAAATAGTTCTGGACAGATTTATCAAAAAGTAAAAATAAAAGCAGATTGAGAGGAGGAATGAGTAATTTCATTTGTACAAAATATTAAAGTGTATGTAATGGCCTTGTAGGATGCATTAGTAATTTTTAAAAATCAATCTTTACCCTACACTGTGACCATAAAATGCTAGGCATATTCATGTTAATATTACTGTTGTTACTGTCATATAAATGCCATATTCAATGTAGATGCTCAGAAAAATATGATTGTTTTGCTACAGAAGAGATTAGACCAGGGACAATAAATATGGATTAGGCAAGAATGTGTTAACTCAGCAGGCCAGGGTTTCTTCAACCCTGCACATTCAAAGGTAAGGTTTGTTTTTAGGACTAGCTAGCCTCTGAGTTCTGGAAATAGTCCTACCGTGAAGAGTGTTTTTGTATATCTGAGGCCTTGGGTTTATGGTGAATGACTGACTTTATATGCCTGAGGCCCTGAGCCATGCTGTATTTATTTGAACCATGTAGTATCAATTTAACCAGATACATTTATTCTAAGATATGATTTATGCTGAATGCCTGGTTTTGTTCTAGAGGGATCATGGAAAGGAAGCTGAATTTGCCAAGTTTTGCCACGTGGGCATTGCATGCCTATGTGATTAACCACCAATAAAAACCTGGGACATCAAAGAATAAATAAGCTGCTCTAATTGCCAAGAATTCACATGTGGTTGTATGCAGCATTACTGGGAAATTGAAGTGTATCTGCATGTGATTCTGCTGTGATGGACACTTGTAAGTTTGTTCCTGGAGTCTCCTGGAATTTGCCCTGAGAATCTTTTTCCTTTGTTGATATGACTCTGCATCCTTTTGTTTTAATAAACTGTAAACATGAGTATAATTGCTTCTCTGAGTTCTGAGAGTTTTTTAAATAATCAAAGCTGAAGAGCAATGGAGACCCCCACCAAAACATCTTTACACATTTCAATTTTGTATTGAAGTAAATTTTATTTTCTTTTTTATACCTCCCATATATATTCTATTTTTCTCATTATTATTTATTTTATCCCAAATCTTTTATCTGTGATCATTTTCCTTTGTTTGAAATTTGTCTTTTGAAATTTCTTTGGAAGGTGCTTTTGGATGATAAATTTTCTGTTATTCTTTGTCTAAAATGTCATTATTTTGACTCATTTATAAAAGGAGTTTTTGTGTTTTATAAACCTCTAATGTATAGAAGTGTGTCTAAACTCATTGAGGATATTTTCCAAATTTTTTCCTACTTTTTATTGCTGTTGATAAGAAGTCAGTGTTGGTATTTTGACTTTTAAGTTATGTGTCATTTTGTTGTGGTAGTTCTGAAGATCTTCCCTCTGTTTTATATTCTCCTTCACCTTTCATAAATGTACTTTATATTTATTTGGTAATAAATTTTGAACATATACTATGCTATAAAGATAATCTAGGCCCTTTGGTTACATCTTGTAAATAAAATCAACAAAATCTGTTTTGAGATTATATTGTAATATAAGATACCCAAAGTAAATAGGATGTGTACCATATGTTTGAAGGTGGTAAATACGATGAGAAAAATAGATCAGGTCAGGAAGAATGAAGATGATTGAAGGTACAGGTTATGATAAAAACTTAGGTGTGCCGAGGAATGAATTCATCTTATGTATCTTGAGTGTAATGTCTTATTTCTCCTGAATCTGAGAATTTGATGTCTTTCATTAGGGATGTCAGTAAATCTCACTAATGAATATATTAGACTCCAGTTTAATATATGATAGTCATTTTCATTCTGTCTTTCATATCACTGAATCCTTTCTCTTTATTGTTCATTTTTATACATCTCTTAATAGTCAAAGTGAATTTAACTATGTTTTACGTTATGTGGTTATTCTCACTTTAGCTATCTCTAATATATTATGAATGTGTCAGTTGTGTGTTTACTATTGTTTGAATTAAACTTTTAAATCATTCATTTTAATTCTTACTTAATTCAAACTTGTTTGTTATACATTCTTATAATTCCAGTATCTGGAGTCTTTCTTCATGTGATTCTTTTATCTCCCTGTTTTCCTCCTATATTCTTTTCATGCACCATCTTTCTCTGTGTGTTTTGTTTTGTTTTACTGTCAATTCCTAACTAATAGAAGTATATTTATGCAAATAATTTTAGGATAGAATTGAAATAGGTTTCCCAAAAGGATTATATAAATTTGTTTGTACCAAAGGCCCAGGGTTATCAACAGAATGAGATCACTTTAAATTTCTGTCCTGAGGATTTTCAAGTTACACAGGTCATATTAGTGAGAACCCCAGAAAAGGGCATTCTTTTTTTTTTTTATATTTCACTTTACGTCCTGGAATAATACATGTGCAGAACGTACAGGTTTGCTACATAGGTATACATGTGCCATGGTTGTTTGCTGCACCTATCAACCCATCATCTAGGTTTTAAGCCCCACATGCAGGTATTTGTCTTAATGCTCTCCCTCCCCTTGCCCTCCACCCCCAACAGGTCCCGGTGTGTAATGTTCCTCTCCCTGTGTCCATGTGCAGAACCTGCAGTTTTGTTACACAGGTAAACATGTGCCATGGTGGTTTGCTTCACCCTTCAACTCGTCACCTACATTAGGTATTTCTCCTAATGTTATCCTTCCCCTAGGCCCCCACCCCTTGCAGCCCCTCCCTGATGATCCCCTCCCTGTGACCATGTGTTCTCATTGTTCAACTCCCACTTATGAAAACATGTGGTGTTTGGTTTTCCTGTGTTAGTCTGCTGAGAGGGATGGCTTCCAGCTTCATCCATGTCCCTGCAAAGGACACAAACTCATCCTTTTTTATGGCTGCATAGTATTCCATGGTGTATATGTGCCACATTTTCTTTATCCAGTCTATCATTGATGGACATTTGGGTTGGTTCCAAGTCTTTGCTATTGTAAATAGTGCTGCAATAAACATACGTGTGCCTGTGTCTTTAGAGTAGAATAATTTATAATCCTTTGAGTATATACCCAGTAATAAGATTGCTGGCTCAAATGGTATTTCTAGTTCTAGATCCTTGAGGAATCACCATACTGTCTTCCACAATGGTTGAACTAATTTACACTCCCACCAATAGTGTAAGAGTGTTCTCTTACTACACTTCCAATTTGGCTGGACTTTGAACTTTGTCTCTGGTCCCCTGCTTTTTACAGTCCCAAGAAACATGGCCTCATCCTTATCAGGACCAGAGAATGCTCTCAAGGTAAAACCTTAATTTTCATAAAATTGTTGTCTTCTTGCCTGATAATTGTGACACTAAAGCAAGATTTTTTTAATGTTTCAACCAACTTTTAAGAATTATTTTAGTGGTAGGACTGAGCCAGGTTTCTAATCCACACTACTGCAGATAAAAAAATGACAAAAGGTAACTTTCAAAAATAGAGGCCGGGCGTGGTGGCTCACGCCTGTAATCCCAGCACTTTGGGAGGCCAAGGCGGGCAGATCACGAGGTCAGGAAATTGAGACTATCCTGGCTAACACGGTGAAACCCCGCCTCTACTAAAAATACAAAAAAAATTAGCTGGGCGTGGTGTCGGGTGCCTGTAGTCCCAGCTGCTCGGGAGGCTGAGGCAGGAGAATGGTGTGAACCCACAAGGTGGAGCTTGCAGTGAGCCGAGATCGCGCCACAGGACTCCAGCCTGGGTGACAGAGAGAGACTCCATCTCAAAAAAAAAAAAAAAAAAAAAAAGAAATTCATCTTTTTTCATGAAAGATTTATTATACATTCTAAATAAAATGGAGATAGAAAGTTAGCATTTGAACTTTAAAGTTGTTAGCATAAGGAGCAATGAAAACTAAATTTCTCCTGGGAGTTACTCATTTTTCTGGGTTGTAAATGAATGCCATATTATTTTTTGATGTTTAATGTAAAATATTATTGACTGTAATAATCCAATATGATCTAGGATATTCAGTCTTACACAACATAGGGATACAGTATAGGTTGATGTACATCCAAAATTATAACACACTTTGTTCAAACACAATGCACATTACATTTTCCTGTAGCTCAAATCTGTGTTATCTGTATTATTAAGAGATATAAAGAGAGGATTCAAAATAATAGCTGAAGAATTCTCACTAATTTTATGAATCTAGTAGATCAAAATGTTACTCTAACATTAATAATTTCATAATACAGACTGTGAGGCTTATATAAATCTGTTTCAAAAAATGTATAGCATTCTTTAGCTTTCATGTTGTAAAACATTCAGAATATAATCCAAAATAAAGTTGTAATAAATTATCGCATTTTAATGAGTATTTTAACATAAAACGTGAGTTTGGGATTATTATAAATCCAAAGACACATAAACTCAGTTTCTAAAAGATATGATTGAGGGGAAATCATGATTTATTATATCTTCATTTTATCAAAAAAAGACACAGTTATTATTTATAATAAAGATGATTACAATGCACACATACTCTTTTGTGAGTTGCCACAGAATTTTCTATTACCAAAACCTGTCAAGTTCAACACATGTCTAGAATATGTATAAATAAAGGTTGATCTGTGATATTAGATATTATCAAATAAAAAATATTCTTATTGAAAAAAATGTGATTCCTTATGACAACTTCAGGGCATCTTCTATTTGCCCCCTGTTATCAACAGGGGAAATTTTCTTTCCTACATTTCTCACTAATCATTTCTGACAAGTAGTTGGCAAGCTTAACTCTAAAGGGTCGTCCATAGGGTTCTAGGTCAACCTTACCCTTTGGGAAGAAAGTACACATGATGTCTATGAATAAATGCCCTCCAACAAAGGAAAAGGACAATGCTTTACATAGTGTGTGCATAATCATTTTTCAACATAATTAGCTTATCTATTTGTGACATGATTTTACTGTCATTGCAGGTGTTTGACATGACCCACGTTTTTTCTTTGTGCCAAGAAATACAATGGTTTTGTATTACATTAATACTTTAGATCATCTATAATATGAGTCAGGTTTGGTTAAAAAATATATAAAAATAAAAATCTCAGTTCTATTCGAAATACTAATGAAAGTATCTTACCAAAGTAAGACATTAGCAATGCATTGTCTGTCACTTGATATTTTGTGTGTTTGCTCATTTCAACAAGGGAAAGAGAATTAGAAAATTGGAAGAAAATTATTTAAGTAATTCTTGTAAAATTAATATACATATTAAATATCATGAAGGGTAGAAACAGAGTTAACATTTAAAACGTTTATAACTAATGTGTAAATTTAATTGAAAGCCAACTGATTGCTCTGAATTTTTATGAGGAATAATCACAATTGTACAGAAAATAACTGACACCGAAAGTATCTACCTTTTCACATTTAAATGCAAGTGACTTTTTGTTCATTCATTCAAAAATTATGGATTATTATACTTTAGCTTAAATGTTTGTCTCCCCTCTAAAAGCCATTTTGAAACTTAATCCTCAATGCAATAGTATTAAGAAGTCAGGCCTTTAGGAGTAATTAGGCCATGAGGACTCTGTACTCATAGATGGGATTAGTGCATTGCAAAAGGGCTGAAGGGAACTAGCTAATGTAAGGACACAGCATTCAAGTTACCATTTTAGAAGCAGAAACTGGGACCTCACTTGGTGCCAAACCTGCCAGAACCATGGTTTTGAACTTTTCAGCCTCCTGGACTGTGAGAAACAAGTTTCTGTTCTTATCAGTCTCAGCTATTTTGTTACAGAAGCACAAGCGAACTGAGACCTGAGATGGGAGTGTTTATGTGCTAGGTATGGAGCTAATTTCTGAATAAATAAAGATGAATACATTCTATGACCTCATCATCTAGTGCCTGTTACAGTGACGCAGCGGATATTTTTTCTTGCCTTATTACTCATTTTTGCTCTCCTCACTAAATATTGAGGAAAACATGAATGCATCATCAGTTTTTCCACTGATAGAACTGTTTAAGAAGTACATATGACATTATATTTTTTCTTTCTGTATTCTGTAGACTTACCTGTAAAGTCTAAGGCTAACATTGACTTTATGCTAATTAGTACTGTGTTCATTTCAGATGTGTAATATGCCTTGTACAAATATAAATAGATAAAACATTAAAGGTGCTACTACTCAAAACACACAGGGAATAAAATATTCTATTTGAAACATCAACATAGAGTTTACACTGAGGGAAATTTTTATTCATTAGTTTAAATGGGGAAAATACAATAAATATTATTGGGTTAAAATAGAGAAAGTTAAGTGGAAAGATGAAATGATGAAGAACCCAGAGAAAATTGTTCAGTTTGCATACAAATTGGGAAATTAACACCTAACCTGCCTAGGTAGAATTTCATAGCATTAACTAAAATAATTACTTAAACTTACAAGATTTATTAGAAAAATATGAATAGAAAAATAAAATGCATTGTTGCATTTTATGTAATTTTACTTGAACTTAGTTTATAACATGTACATAGATTAAGTTGATTTAAATATTTTATGTACAAAAAACTATATTGTTGAAGATTCTAAGAGCTTAAAACTAAAATACAAGATAAACATTTACTTAACAAAAAGAGTAAATAAGATGAAGAATTTGAAAGAATTTAAGAATTAATTTCAGTTTCTTTTCCAAAATGTATGTGGTTAGCCTACAATGCTTTTACAATCTGTTATTTCATGAGTATGAATATTGATTTTATTATTACCTAAACATGTATTATTTTTAAAATATGGCAAAAGAATTAAAGTTCTATAGTTTGACAAAGCTGTAAAGCAGATCAATCCTTTGACAGCTTAATGAATAAAGCATGCATGTAGTTGACACTAATTCATTTAATAAACATTTGTAGAACATATATGTGTAAGAAATTGTGCTAAGGAGATGAATGGCACATTAAAATAAGAAGACAAGTTTCCAGATACTAAGGAGTTTATGTAACTGTAAGGTACATAAAACAATACAAATGAAAAGGCTAAAATAAATCAGAAAATGAAGGGAAGAAAACAAATATCCATATTAAGTATACATAATATCTCAAATATTCTTTAAGATGTCTTAAATAGATTTTAATATTTAATCCTAATGACAGGATAATCTGATTTATTACAGACGATATAATTGAGGCTAATACAAATCTGTTGACTTTAAATTTTCAAAGTCTTCCTGAATTATTTGACTGTGTAATATTTTGGTAAACATAAATAAGTGGATACTAATGCATTGAAACAGAAACAGAATACTGTTCAAGAAATAGAAAAAAATGAAACAACACAAAAGATCGAATTTGTAGTATGACTACAATTTAAGATTTAATAAAGACAAAAATAGAAACCAATATGTAGTTAGGAGGATAGAAAAAAGTACAGTGGACCCTCCATATCCACAGGTTCTGCATGTGTGGATTCAACCACCCATGGATCAAAAATATTTGGAAAAACATTTATGAAAAAGTGAACACATATGGAATTCTGCCTTGTCATTATCCCCTAAAGAACACACTATAACTAACTACATAACATTTACATTGTACTTGGTATCATAAGAAATCTAGAGATGATTTAAAGTATGTGACAGTGTGGATGTAGGTGTATAAAATACTATTATACATCATTTTATGGAAGGGTCTTGAGCATCTGTAGATTTTTGTGTCTGAGGGTTCCTAGAACCAGTACCCCACAAATACAGAGGAACAACTGTAATGAGTTCCTAGTAAACTAGGCTGAAGTATTATAACTGTACACAAAATAATTTAAGGCAGAATGATTAAATAATATATAGCAGTATGTATAAGAAGTGAAGATAATTGAAAATTAAATTGATAGGAAAGACATGACAAATATAATGAAATCAATGGAAAAGTTAAAACTTTAGCAAGATGTACAAGCAAGGATTGGGTAGATTTCATCTGAAAGATATAATTTCTAATGACAAAGTACTTTAATAGTCTAGCCTAATATTTTATTGTATCTTAAAACTTCCCTCTGGCTCATTCTGGTCTTATCACACCAGCTTTCTTATGGCTTCTTTTATCTGCCAAGAATTATGCTCTGGTCTAATTGACCTCCCCAAATTTGTATATTAAAATTCTCACCACCAAGGTGATAATATTAAAAAATGGGCAATTTTGTAGGTGACTGGATCATGGGAGTGGAGCCCTTATGAAAGGTGCCAGAGAGACCCCTCCCTCTTCCACCATGTGAGGTTAGACTGAGAAATACATCTCTGTGGTTTATGAGCTGCTCAGTCTATGGCATTTTGTTATAGCAGCCCATGCTAATGAATACAGATGACCGTGTGTCTGCAGACCTTCCTAGGAAATTATTGAGTCCTTCATTGAATACTAAACTGTGAATACATGAGAGAAAATAACTGAAGCCTGGGGTAAAATGCCAACACAAAGGGTTTGAAGAACAATTCTCAAAGCTCAGAAAGCTCTGCAAATATTATTGTTGCCACAAACCAAAGTAGAAGACAGGGTAATGTATGAGCTATTAGGTAGAATCTTTGGAAGAATCCTGCTTTTGTGATGGAACTCACTCATTCCTAAACCTAAAGCAACTCTACATCTTCTCTAAGAAAATTTTATAGCAATCTCTAAAAGCATCAAACTGATTCCAAATAATTTAACTGTGTTTGAGAACAAAATACAAATATACAAAAGGAATTCAACAAAATCCATCACATAACAATATAGAATTCACAATATCTGGTTTTGGTGAACATAATAATTAGCGTTGAAACATGTTAATTCAGGTGTTAAAAATATGCTTTATTTTTTCAAATAAGATGGGAAAATATGTATATTACGAGAAGATAAAAATGGAAGAAATAAAAACAAGCAGACTCCTAAAACAGAAAAAATAACTATATTAGATTAAAAATGTATGAATAAATTTAACAGCACTTTAACCATTGTAGAAAAAATACCAGTGATTTTGATAACATAACAATATAAACTATCCAAAACAGAAAACATAGACACATTTGAAAAAACAACCACACTGTGTTTGACAATATCAAGCAGCATAATACAAGAAGAGATGGAGTCCCAGAAGAACACTGAGTGGATGTATGTGTGTGAGTATGTGGTAGGGAAGAACAAAACCAAAAATTTGAAGAAACGATTGCCAAAATGTTATTAGAATCACAAATAAAGACAAAATGGCAAGGTAAACTATTGTCTAATTTCTGAAAATCAGTGAGAAAGAGAAAAATCTTAAAAGGCATCAGAGATGAAAAAATAATCCACATCAAAAGAAATACACACACAAACACACAAATACGGGCAATTTTCTTCAGAAACTATGAAAGCTTGGAGACAATGGAGCAATCATAAATAATTAAATAATAAAAAACAGCTTTATCTACATTTTTATAACAAGTAGAAAATTTTAAGCACTAAAGCAAAATAGGGCTCATTTATTTTTAGAAAATTAAAAATAGGTTTGGAACTAGGGTAAAGAAAATGACACAACTAGGTCCCAAAACCTAAAGAGCTACTCACTTTCAGAGTTATATATTTGAGATTGAGAGTGCAAGACTTGTGCCTTGTGTGACCCGAGAGAGTGCCTCATTAAGTGTTTCACCAGAGGTAAAATTTGCTCATCTCAACGTTGTCTCAGCACTGAACAAAATCTAAAGAATTTCATTGTCAGTCATCCTCCATTGTCATTTATAAGAAAGATTCCTAAGGCAGAAGTAAAATTTTATGAGATGTATATGTGTGTCTGCAGAAAAAAACTGGCAATGTATTATACTGCATATCAAGTGATATACTGTTATTTGAAAGTAGGCTGTGGGCCGGGCGCGGTGGCTCACGCCTGTAATCCCAGCACTTTGGGAGGCCGAGGCGGGCGGATCACGAGGTCAGGAGATCGAGACCATCCCGGCTAAAATGGTGAAACCCCGTCTCTACTAAAAATACAAAAAATTAGCCGGGCGTAGTGGCGGGTGCCTGTAGTCCCAGCTACTTGGGAGGCTGAGGCAGGAGAATGGCGTGAACCCGGGAGGCGGAGCTTGCAGTGAGCCGAGATCCCGCCACTGCACTCCAGCCTGGGCAACAGAGCGAGACTCCGTCTCAAAAAAAAAAAAAAAAAAAAAAGAAAGTAGGCTGTGATGAGTTAAGTATTTATATTTTAAAACTTAAAGTAGAAGTATTTATATTTTAAACCTTAAAACAGAAGTATTTATATTTTAAACCTTAAAGCAGAACCTAAAAAAGAAGTACATTAGTAAACCAATAGTAGAAATAACACAAAATAATGAAGTACATATTTAACTAATCTACAAAATTTAAAAAAAGGATAAATAATTGAACAAGGAGCATATAAGATAAATAGAAAACATAGCAAGAAGGTATATTTAAACCTAAGCTTATTCATAATCACATTACATTACATGTAAATCATTCATACACATCAATGAAAAATCAGAAATCTAATTCTGTCTACTAAAATTCTACTGCAAATATAAATACATAGATATCTGTGTGTGTAGTACAAACAAAAATTTATAGAAAACTAGAGTTACTATATTAATGTCAAACTAAATATATTTCAGAATGAAATATATTACTAGTGATAGAAAATATACTCACTGATTATAAAGGGGTCAATTTATTAAGATAACTAAACAATATTAACACAAAGAAACTATACATGTTAAGGTGATGAATATCAGAATCCTGATTTGATAATTGTATGTCGTATGCTTGTATGCATATGTACCCCATACATATGTGCAACTATTATGTATCCATAATAATTAAAAATTTTTTAGAAATAAAGAATTAGATAAATGTAATAGTGCCATGTGTTTATGTTAGAAAAGAAAAAAGAATCTAATCAGTTCCTAAAGCAAATTAAACCCAAACAAAACAGAATGCTGTTGTCTGAATGTTTGTGTCTCCTCGAATTTCCTATGTAGAAATCCTAACTCCCAAACTTATGGTATTAGGAGATGGGGTCTTCTGGGAGGTGCTTAGATCATGAAAGTAGAGATCTGGGGCTCTTTTATAAGGGTACTAAATTAGTACTACATTAAGGATAGTAAATGAGTAGTTTTCTTACATAAGAGACCCCAGAGAGCTACCTTGCTCTTTCCATTATGTGAAGATGCAGAGAGAAGGAACCATCTATGAACCAGGAAATGGGCCCTCACCAGACATCAAATATTTGAGAGCCTTGATTTCAGACCTCTCAGCCTCCGGAACTATGAGAAGTAAATTTATAAGTTATAAGTTTATGTTATTATAAATTATAAAATTATGTTGTTTATAAGCCACAACAAAAAGGTATTTTTCTATTGCAGTCGAAATGTACTAAGGTACAAAGAAATAATAAAATACATATAAGAACAAAAATCAATAAAAATTGAAAGAACACCAAAATGGAATATCAATAAAATAAAAAGCTAATTTATTAAAAAATGAAAAAATTCTAGCTATACTTAACAAAAAAGAGAAAAAATGCTAAATACTAAAGCCAGTAATGAAAGGCTGTCACTAATTATACTATAGGTTATAAAATGATAGTAAGCATACAATGTTTAAACTTTATGCAAATACATTTTAAAAGTTTGGTAAACGGACACATTACTTGAGAGAAAAGAGGTTACAAAATTCACTTAAAAATAAAGAGACACCATGAATAATCCTGCATCTATTAAATACATTAAATCTATAATTTGAAACTCACACACAAAATAATTCCAGGTCAGGAAGGTTTCACTCTTGTATTCTCACAATGTTTAAAGAATAAATAGTAACAACTCTATGCAAAGTCTTCCAGAAATAAAAGAGGAAGCAACCCTAACAATACATTATATGAGGTACAGATTACCCTTAAAGGAAAAAAATAGGTAGAGATTAACAGAAAACTACAGACCTACATTTTGATTTAAAAAAATTTTTTTTTCTTTTATTATTATACTTTAAGTTTTAGGGTACATGTGCACAATGTGCAGGTTAGTTACATATGTATACATGTACCATGCTGGTGCGCTGCACCCACTAACTCGTCATCTACCATTAGGTATATCTCCCAATGCTATCCCTCCCCCCTCCCCCCACCCCACAACAGTCCCCAGAGTGTGATGTTCCCCTTCCTGTGTCCATGTGATCTCATTGTTCAATTCCCACCTATGAGTGAGAATATGCGGTGTTTGGTTGTTTGTTCTTGCAGTAGTTTACTGAGAATGATGATTTCCAATTTCATCCATGTCCCTACAAAGGACATGAACTCATCATGTTTTATGGCTGCATAGTATTCCATGGTGTATATGTGCCACATTTTCTTAATCCAGTCTATCATTGTTGGACATTTGGGTTGGTTCCAAGTCTTTGCTATTGTGAATAGTGCCACAATAAACATACGTGTGCATGTGTCTTCATAGCAGCATGATTTATAGTCCTTTGGGCATATAGCCAGTAATGGGATGGCTGGGTCAAATGGTATTTCTAGTTCTAGATCCCTGGGGAATCGCCACACTGACTTCCACAATGGTTGAACTAGTTTACAGTCCCACCAACAGTGTAAAAGTGTTCCTATTTCTCCACATCCTCTCCAGCACTTGTTGTTTCCTGACTTTTTAATGATCGCCCTTCTAACTGGTGTGAGATGGTATCTCATTGTGGTTTTGATTTGCATTTCTCTGATGGCTAGTGATGATAAGCATTTTTTCATGTGTTTTTTGGCTGCATAAATGTCTTCTTTTGAGAAGTGTCTGTTCATGTCCTTCGCCCACTTTTTGATGGGGTTGTTTGTTTTTTTCTTGTCAATTTGTTTGAGTTCATTGTAGATTCTGGATATTAGCCCTTTGTCAGATGAGTAGGTTGCAAAAATTTTCTCCCATTTTGTAGGTTGCCTGTTCACTCTGATGGTAGTTTCTTTTGCTGTGCAGAAGCTCTTTAGTTTAATTAGATCCCATTTGTCAATTTTGTCTTTTGTTGCCATTGCTTTTGGTGTTTTAGACATGAAGTCCTTGCCCATGCCTATGTCCTGAATGGTATTGCCTAGGTTTTCTTCTAGGGTTTTTATGGTTTTAGGTCTAACGTTTAAGTCTTTAATCCATCTTGAATTGATTTTTGTATAAGGTGTAAGGAAGGGATCCAGTTTCAGCTTTCTACATATGGCTCGCCAATTTTCCCAGCACCATTTATTAAATAGGGAATCCTTTCCCCAATGCTTGTTTTTCTCAGGTTTGTCAAAGATCAGATAGTTGTAGATATGCAGCGTTATTTCTGAGGGCTCTGTTCTGTTCCATTGATCTATATGTCTGTTTTGGTACCAGTACCATGCTGTTTTGGTAACTGTAGACTTGTAGTATAGTTTGAAGTCAGGTAGCGTGATGCCTCCAGCTTTGTTCTTTTGGCTTAGGATTGACTCGGCGATGCAGGCTCTTTTTTGGTTTCATATGAACTTTAAAGTAGTTTTTTCCAATTCTGTGAAGAAAGTCATTGGTAGCTTGATGGGGATGGCATTGAATCTGTAAATTACCTTGGGCAGTATGGCCATTTTCACGATATTGATTCTTCCTACCCATGAGCATGGAATGTTCTTCCAGTTGTTTGTATCCTCTTTTATTTCCTTGAGCAGTGGTTTGTAGTTCTCCTTGTAGAGGTCCTTCACATCCCTTGTTAGTTGGATTCCTAGGTATTTTATTCTCTTTGAGGCAATTGTGAATGGGAGTTCACTCATGATTTGACTCTCTGTTTGTTTGTTGTTGGTGTATAAGAATGCTTGTGATTTTTGTACGTTGATTTTGTATCCTGAGACTTTGCTGTAGTTGCTTATCAGCTTAAGGAGATTTTGGGCTGAGACAATGGGGTTTTCTAGATATACAATCATGTCATCTGCAAACAGGGACAATTTGACTTCCTCTTTTCCTAATTGAATACCCTTTATTTCCTTCTCCTGCCTAATTGCCCTGGCCAGAACTTCCAACACTATGTTGAATAGGAGTGGTGAGAGAGGGCATCCCTGTCTTGTGCCAGTTTTCAAAGGGAATGCTTCCAGTTTTTTCCCATTCAGTATGATATTGGCTGTAGATTTGTCATAGATAGCTCCTATTATTTTGAAATACGTCTCATCAATACCTAATTTTTTGAGAGTTTTTAGCATGGAGTGTTGTTGAATTTTGTCAAAGGCCTTTTCTGCATCTATTGAGATAATCATGTGGTTTTTGTCTTTGGCTCTGTTTATATGCTGGATTACATTTATTGATTTGCGTATATTGAACAAGCCTTGCATCCCAGGGATGAAGCCCACTTGATCATGGTGGATAAGCTTTTTGATGTGCTGCTGGATTCGGTTTGCCAGTATTTTATTGAGGATTTTTGCATCAATGTTCATCAAGGATATTAAATTTTTATAGGATTATTTTATTAAAAGTAGAAAAGCATTTGATGACATTTTACACATATTCATAATAAAGACTTACAGAAAAGTAGGCAAGAGAAACAAATTATTTCAAAAGTAATAAACATATATAAAAATAGTTAATATAGTGAAATACCAAATGGTTCCTCCTACTATAAGAAAGAATGCAAAAATATCCACTATGAACCATTCTGTTCGATACTTAGAAAACTGCAATACAGTGCTGAGAGACATTAAGGCAGACCTAAATAAATGGAGAGATAAACCAAGTTCAATAATTTGAATGCTTTATAGTGTTAAGAAGGTAGTTCTACTAAATTGATTTCTAGATTAATTGCAATATCAGTCCAAATCTCCGTAGGCTTTTTATATAAATAACAAATATTTTTTCAAAATTACTAGGTAATGTTATAAAATATTATAAATTAATATTGAAAATATTTTACATGAAAGTTCAAATTTCTGGAGTCTTTTAAGATAAGAGGATGGCAGTATTTCTATGGTATAACTACTAAGTATATAAAAACTGAAGACTTCTATTAATATCAGACAAAATGGGCCACAAATCAAGAAATATTTTTAGGAGGATAAAGATCAATATAATTGGTCCAATTCATCAAGAGAACCTGATAATGCAAAATGTTTTTTCACACATTAACAAACAATTCTGCATTTAAAATACTCAAGCCAAAAACTTACAGAATTGAAAAGAAAAATATACAAATCCACAATATATTTAAAGATTTGAAAACTATTTTCTGATATTATTAAACAAGTAAATAAAAAATTTTAAAGAAAATATCTACAAATTTAATGACATTATAACCTAACAAGTTCTAGGATGCATAGAATATTATACTCATCACCAGCAACAACTTATTTTATTTTCCAAGTGCACTGACATTCATCACATGTTAGGCAACAAATAATAAATTTTCAACAAATTTAACAGGATTAGATCATGGAGAGTATGTTCTCTGACCCAATAGAATTAAATTTAAAATAAAAAACCAAAACTACAATGAAATCCCCAAATATTTAGATATAATAAACTTCTAATGATGCCTTGTAGCAAATAGTAAATCAAAAGATAAATTAGAAAGTATTTTGGTCTGGATAAAAATAAAAACACTACAACTTCAGGATTCCTTTGGAGAAATACGAAGTTTTTAATGTTTATATTAGAAAAAGGAGAAATGTCTAAAATTAATGACACAAATGTCTACCTGAAAAAGTGAAAATAAAACCAAATTAAACAAGAAGTAGAAAGTAAAATATAGAGAAAAACTAAAATTTTATAAAGACATAACAGAAATACAAAAGGAAAAGATGAAATTTAAAGCTGATTCTTTGATAAAAGGAATAAAATGAATTAAATTCTAGATAGTCTGAGAAGGATACAAAGACAGAAATCTGTCAGCAACCACTTTCAGGAAATAAAGTGGGCAAGGTTGGGAAGATGGTAGGTGTTGTAAAGATACTACAAATATCGAAATGATAATAACTTAAATTATAAAAACTTTATGCCAATAAATTTGATAATGGTTGAATAAATTGTATGGTTAGCAAAATAATCTTTACAATTACTCTAGAATAAATAAAATTTCTTCATATCTTTAGATTTATTAAAGATACTGAATTTTAATTTAATACCTTCTTAGGGGAAACAAATTCCAGACTCAGGTGCCTTCACTGTTAAATTTCATTCTTTTTAAATAGGTAAATGTTACAGTGATTATTACTCAAGTGTATATCCTGAGAATTTTTACATAAATTTGTTACATAGATTAACTTTTTTTTCTTCAAAATACAACTAATTTACTGATTATACTTTTTGGGTCTTCTATTAACATTATTAGCAAAATTTAGAAAATTTATTCATTTATATACAAAATTAATAGATACATTAAATACTTACTCTGTGCCACCCAATGCCCAATTCACTGAGAGCATTTTACTGAATAAACAAAAAATTTTGACCCTTGATTACCTTATTGTTGGAGGTAACAAACCATAGAAGATAGACAATAGTCAATGTAAAAATAAATAAGTGGTTTTGACAATGGACAATAAGCAAAAATACCTGTTCACTTGTTGTATTGGTCCGTTCTCACACTGCTATAAAGAGCTGCTAGATGCTGGTTAATATATAAAGGAAAGAGGCTTAATTGACTCACAATTCTGCAGGTCTGGGGAGGCCTCAGAAAACTTACAATCATGCCAGAAGGGGAAGCAAACCATGTCCTTCTGCACATTGTGGCAGGAAGGAAAAGTGCAGAGTGAAGGGGGTAAAAGCTTTCTATGAAACCACCAAATCTCATGAGAACTCACTCACTATCACGAGAACAACATGGGAGAACCACCCCATGATCTAATCACCTCCCGGAGGTCCCTCCCCCAACACATGGGGATTATAAATCTGATTATAATTCAAGATGAGATTTTGTGTGGGAATGGAGACAAATCATATCACTAGAATAGATAATATATATAATACATAAGTAAATTTTATAGTATACTAGCAGATGGTTAATTCTACTAACAAATACAGAAAGGTAAAGGATGAAAGGGATCTCTTGTTTAAGAAAGGGATACACATTTATATGTGTTGATTTTAAGGAATCAACAAGGAATGATTAGCAAGACTTGAAGAGAAAGGAGAAGCCATGTGAGCCTCTGGGGTGGAATGTTACAGGCAAAGATAAAAGCCAGGAAAAAGCAGACACTTCCTATATTCCTGTATTCATCCATTTTTATCCTACTGATAAAGACATACCCCAGCCTGGGAAATTTACAAAAGAAAGAGGTTTAATGGACTTATGGTTCCACATGGCTGGGGAAACCTCACAATCATGGCAGATGGCCAGGAAGAGCAAGTCACATCTTACATGGATGGCGGCAGGCAAAGAGAGAGCTTGTTCAGAAAAACTCCCTCTTATTTAACCGTAAGATCTTGTGGGACTTATTCACTATCATGAGGATGGGATGGCCTGCCACCATGATTCAATTATCTCCCACCTGGTCCCTCCCACAACACATGGGAATTCAAGATGAGATGTGGGTGGGGACAAAGCCATACCGTATCACCATCTCTGTGCAAATGTTCTCTCTCTTCTATTTAGCTCTGCAATTCTAGCTAAATTTTCCTTTCTAAGCCCCAATCTTCAATTTCTCAATATACAGGGAGAGTTATCCTTTCTTTGGATTATCCTTTCACTGTGTCTTCTGGAAACTGAGAGAAAGCTTGGAATAAGATTTTATTTTTTCTTTTATCAGGGATCAGCATCCTCAGCTTCTTGTCAATGGTTAAAAAATCACTGTTGATTATATTTTGTCTGCAGTTAGTTTTTATTTGTGTGTGTGTTTTTTTGTTTTTTGTTTGTTTGTTTTGTAAAGAATTTAGTTTAGTTCCTCTTACTGTATCATGGTGAAGTACAGCTATCTTCAACCTATTTTTTCTGACCAACCTTTGTCTTTATATTGATTTAACATTACTTTTTAAATTTAGTCTTAAAATTCTTACTTTAAATAGTAGTTTTAGACTACTTATATTTAATATTGTTATCTATATTTTGACCTTAAATCTACTATCATAAAATTTATTTTCCATAAAATTTAATCTGTTCTTTATTACTATTTTCCACTTTTGATGCTTTACCTTGGATTAAGTGTTTAATTTTGAATTTTATTTTATTTCAACTAATAGATTATTAGTCATATGTTTTTGCTTATTTTGTCCTGTTAGGTAGGTGCTCTAAGGTTTATACTATGGACCTTAACTTTCCAATAACATTAAGGTGACTGAATATTTTTGCCCCGATACCTAGAAAAAGACAAGCATGCTTGCTCTGATAAATTCTTTTGAAGCTTATACTACACGTCTTAGCAATGCAATGAGAGAGGTAAGAATACATACAATTTAGAAAGAAAGATGTCTTTCTTCACAGATATTATTATATTCTGTGCAGAAAATAAAAAAGATATTTGCAAAAAAGTTAGTAAAATTGTGTGTTTATCTAGATCACAGGATATAATAATAATATACAGAAATCCAGTATATTTTGATAGATTTGCAATGACTATTCATAATCTGAGATTAAAAAAATAACAAGGAAAATAAGGGAGTGCTCAAATGCTAAGAAAGACATGTTAAAAGAGCTGAGAAACTTGAATAGTTCCTACTAGCAAAATTAGCAAAACTGAATCAATAAAATAAGTAAAGGAACAGATCATGGGCCACTGAAAGAAATAGGAATCCATGGGTCCACGTGAGATAAATCCACGAATTAATGAATGAATAAAAGAAGGAAACACTATTATTTTCCCACAGAGTGCCAACCAATAAAAGGAAAAGGGTTGATATTGTATGTTAAAAAATTATCATTTGAAAATTTTCACATTGTATTTGATTGAGTGTTGAGGCATCAATGGATGCTAAACCTAGTGGGTAAATGTTGGAGAAGAAATGGGATATTTTCACACTCTCAAAGTATCTCTCCGCAAAACACTTAATTTTAGATTAATTACATGTGTATATACATGTATACAATAGATAGTCTATATGTAAAAAATATCATTTTATGTCATGTTATATTAATATAAAGAAAATGAGGAGTACCTCTGCAATAGAGAAATCTGGAAGACATTACCTTTCAAATGATCAAAATTAAAATCACCACTGATGGGAAAAATTAATTTCATATATAACCTGAAGAAATATGATAAGAAGAGCATAGCATCATGTTGGTGATTTTATTGCCAATAATGCATGTCTTGACACCTCATTATGAGAAAACACCAGACAAATCGAAATTGGGAGACATTCTAAAAATAGAATCCATTGGAATATTACCTTCAAAAAATGTTTAGGATGCTATGAAGGTTGAAGAAGGACTATGGAATGCTTCTGATTTAAAGAAGTTAAAGAGACATAGAAACCAGGAACAACACATTATCCTGAAGTGGATTGTTTTTTATAAAAAGCATCAGGGCAGTTTGTGAACTAGAATGGGTCCTCTCTTGGTGATTGTTACATGACAGCCGTTTGCATCACTTTAGCAACTTAAAGATAAATTGCTTAAAGATAAATTGGCATCGTTTCATACAAACATTAAAGAAAATGGTAATGTCCAACAGGCAAAGAGTGCCTGCCTAATTACTGTTCCAGGGGTCCTCAGGGAGCTGTTTTCCTACTATCTTCTTGATTTTTAAAATATATTTTAGTTGATTAGTTTTATTCATGCCATAATTGGTGGAAATTAATCCTTGATTCTATAAATTGTTACCTCGTCAGTTTCCAATGTTTTTTGTTTGTTTGTTTCTCTTTCCTTATTTATTTATTTATGCTTTTCTTTTACTTTTTTTGTAAAGTGGAATAAGTTAGGAATGAGTATATTATGACCAACTAAACTGAGTAGTTTTATGTCAAGTTGCAAATTACGTTAAGTATCAAATATTTGATTTTTCTTAGATTTCAAAATAGTCACATTTTCAGAAAAAATCATTAGTAGTTTTCTAAAAATAAAATCCTCTTGATTCAACAAAACATACTTGATGTGGTTTTTCCTCCCAAAACAGGCTCCTCCTTGAGTTATTGGGAATAAGTAATGCTTCTCAATAAAGCTTCGTGTCAACAAATCTGAACATATAACATCTCAGCTAGAGCAAGTTACTAAAAATAGGATCAATTTGTAGCTTGCAGTCATGCCTTCATATCCACTTTTCAATTAATCCTGCTTAATTCAGAGAATGTATAAATATGTAATTTTGCATCACTTAAGGCAGCCATTTTATTTTGAAATGCAACTAACGTTATATGCATAAATTCAATAAATATAAAGCTGTTTTCAAAAATTGAATGTTTTTACTTGTAAGTTATTCTTTCAATAATAGTAAAGAGATGATCACTAGTCAGTTTATTTTTCATAGTTGAATTGATTTAGTTGAGCTTCATTGGGTGTTCTTATGTTTTAGTCATGAGTCCATGCTCTTTAACAAGCTAAAGGAAACCATATTATATGCTAAAAGATGTCAGTTTGTGAGCAATTTAATGAATATATAGAGTTACAACATTTTTCCCGATTGGATGTTGGGGTTTACTATAATTCTTTGTTACTTTATATGTGAATATACTCACTACTCACTATGTTTATGTATGTAGGAAACATGCTAGTGATGAAAATTCAAGCAGTTATTACCCTGGTTTTCTTTCATTAACAAAATACAGAATAGAAATTATCTACTTATTCTTGGAGGTCTTAAAATATCTTTTCAGTTGACTGATAATTCTGCTATCAAGAGCTACAAGTAGGTGCTCTGGCCGTCTATATCTGTATTTCCATATATTCAATTCCTTACTATATATTTCTCATTTGATATTCTATACCCAATTCAAACAAAACCATTTCATGTATACAATGTACTTTTATTTATGCTTTTCTCTATCATTAAGTAGAAAGCCATTTGCACCTTAGTCTAAATCTGAAATGTGCCTCTACCTAACATTTCTAATACATTTTCACTATTTCTTAGTTATTAGAATAAATTTGCATAATTTCTGAAACAACTTTCCCTATGGAGTATTCCCTTTAGTTTCTTTTCCCTTCCAAACAATTTAATGAATTACAAATATGGGGGAGATACTTTTTCAATGGGTAAGACTTGACTTCTACAAATACATGTTTAATTCCTTCTCAAAATTATTTCTACTTCCTCTTATTCAACACTGTGCTAGATTTTAGGGATATATAATAAGACAATATATGAGGTCCTTGCTGTTGTGAAAGGTACATTCTTATCTTTGGCAAATTGTAGAATCTTTAGCTTTGGTATGCAAGGGCATTGGTGTTTGGTACATGCTTGGCTCTTTGCCTTAAGAATTGCCTCTTTCCACCATGCATATTTCACCTGTGTGGGAATTCTTGCAGATCTCTGTATTATTGATAGTCATTTTGCTCTGATATTTTATACAAAGCTGAATCAGCAACAGTATGACTAAACACAACCAAAAAAGAAAGCTAGAAAGATTATATTAGACACTTACGTGTATGGATCATTATGGTGAGGACTGCTAAAAAAAAAAAAAAAAAAAAAACCTTCAGCCAAAATAAATTTACAGTTTAATCGAGTAATGAATGATTCATAAATTGGAAAGCCCCCACAATCACAGCAGATTCAGAGAGACTCCAGGCGTGTCTCATGGTCAGAATGAATTTATAGACAATACAAAGTAAAGTGACGCATAGAAATCAGAAGTGAGGTACAGAAACAGCTGGATTGGTTATGGCTTGGCACTTGCCTTATTTGAACACTCAGCTGTATGCGACTAGTTGAAGTATGGCTGCTGGAATTGGCCAAGACTCAGCGATTGTTACAGGCGCATATTCCTAAGTTAGGTTTTAGTCTTGTGTACCTATTGAGTTAGGTTGCAGTTCATTCACAAGGACTGAAATATAGAAGTATGGCGTTTTTCTCAGGCCATATTTAATTTGATTTAACAGGACTTTGGGTATGTCATTGTATTTTACTAATATATTTTACAAACACCCCATGTTATCTTAATCTATTTAAGTTCACACTTTTTAATCAAATTTTACTTTAAATGTATCTAACCTCCTAAATTTCTGCCTTTGTGAACCAATAATACTTTTTCCAAATTCTTATTATAGCATATATCAGACTATATAGCTATAGACACTTTGGCATCATTGTTTTCCCATACAAAACACAATACATTTAATGAATTAATGAATGATGCATCAGCAAAGAAGGTTTTACTGAAAGTAAGAAAAATTATAAGCCAGTTTGGGTTTCCCAAGAATCAGACACCAAGATGGAATTACACGTATAAGAGAGTAACCAGAGAAAACGCCTTTGAAGAATAAAGAGAAGATAGAGCAAGAGGCTGCAAGAGCCTCCAGATCATGATGCAAGCCGGCACCTCAAAAGAAGAGAGAGCATGAAAGATAATTGGAAAGGAGGAGCCTCAGAGAAGAGTGCAGATCTGAGAAATTGTCAGCCACACTGAAAGAGCACCAAAGTGAACTTTGACCTTTAGATGAGTCCATGTGGGACAAGAATGAAAAGCCCTATAATATCTTCCTTGCTCAGCATTGGCAGGGAGCAACCTAAGGAGAGCATGGCACCTGCATGTAAGCCAAAAATAAAATTCAATGTCCGTTAACCAACTAAATGGGCCCTTTATCTTGGCCAAGGGCATTTTAAACTAAACCTGAAACAGTAATGGAGGCCATGACGGAAATGGGTAGTTGAACATGCCTCGTTATTTACTTTCATCCTTTCGGAATTCATGCATAGCTGAACAGTGTTAACATTAAAGTAGAGACTTAAGAATGACAAAACAGACTCTTCGTAGCAATAAGATATCAACATGACAGATAGCAGGCCTTGAAAGAAATCAAAGTATTTCACCACAAAAATACATTTCTTTGACATATTTTGAAATGGCCCTACAAGGCTGTTTCTGTGGGGAAAATCTCCATTTTGTAGAGAATCCCCTTCTCTTTCCAAGTCTTTTTCCTGATTTTTCCTGATTCCAAGTCCTTTTTCCTTTTTATGTCTGATAAAAATCATTTACAATCTATTCTCAGTGAAGCCTGCTACCTGCAAGCTTCATCTGCATAAGAACCTTGGTCTCTAAAACACCTTATCTTAACCCATACACTCCTGTCTATTGATTCCGGTCTTTAGATAAATTATTTTAGCCAGTTGTCAAATGCCAGTCAGAAAATCTTCGAATTCACCTTTAACCTGGAAGCCTTCACCCACCCCACCCCCACCTGCTTTGAGTTGTCTCACCTTTCCCAATTTTACCAATGTGTATCTTAGGTGTACTTATTGATGTCTTATGTCTCCCTCACATGTATAAATCCAAGCTGTAGCCCAACAACCTTGGCACATGTTCTTAGGATCTCCTGGGCTGTGTGACAGGCCGAGGTCACTCATATTTGCCTCAGAATAAATCTCTTCAAATATTTCTCAGAGTTTGACTCTTTTCTTCAACACGCATTACCACTGTAGTAGCTCTGAAGTGGTTGAGTTGGAGGTAACCCACCAACAACCCTCCTCATGGAAATTTCTCTTGAATGAAAATATGGGAGGAGTAAATTCTTCACTGCCAAATACTATTTCAAATTCTTTCAAGCATAAGGTAAATTCATTATTTAACATAAAAGTCAATCAAGAGGTAAAAAGAGGTCACAGTTTGCTTACATATTTTCTGGCACTTCTTTGCTATTGGCTGTGTCACTTTTACCCTTAACATTTCTGCAAAAATGTCTGCAGACATTTAGGGTCATCATATTCAGATACAACCTTACCCAGAAGACCAAGAAAGAGACACCAAGAGAAACATTTATCTTAAAAACTCTTAAGGTAATTTGCCCTGATTTGCCTTTGTACTGAATTGGGCCATATGCGTATTTTTGTTCTTATTTTTGGCAAAGAATCAGGCTATACTTAGAGTAATCACATCATACCTGAATCTGAAGACGAGACAGTAAACTTAGAGAAGTACTGAAGCCTTAGAAGCCTTGGATATATTGAATATGTTCTATTTTAGAAAGAAAAGGTGAGATAATGTATGCTGGCAGTCAACCAACAGCATATGCTCCTAATGAACAACTGGAGAGTCATTTAAGTTCAATGTTGGGGATTTTATTAGAAACTGTAAGATGAACACACAATTCATTTTCTCTTTCCTTGTAAATTTGGACAATATTTGCTATATTCGCCTATATTTTGGCATAGAAATTTAGGTTCTAAGTATATAGTAGTGATGTAGCCTTCTTACAGGGTCACATAGACCCAGAATTAATAATTTTTAACACTCTTTTTATCCTCTCTGGTTGGCTAACATTAAAACAATCCACAGAAAACCCCCAAGAGCTATGTATTGAGGATGGCAAAACCACAGATGGGAAAATAATAAATCTTTGAATGACCCTGCAGGAAATCACAGATAGCATTCCTATTATTTAAGCAAGCAATAACTTTTATTGTTTTAAGAGTTGGAGGTTTAATTTTTTCAGCATTACTGTTACCACAATTATTACAGGAAATGAAACCAGTAAAAAAAAAATAGAGGGAACAAGGTTTATTGACATCTATGAGGCATTTTCTTTCCCCTAATATTACATACTCTAGATTTTATTTCTGCACAAAAAATATTCTCTATGTCTAGCCTAAAGAACTATGTCTTATTCATATTTATACTCTTCATAGATCAAAAGTGTGCTTAAAATACTGTACATTTAATGAGTTATTTTTGAATGTAAGCAACTTTGAATTCATCTTTGCATTTTTAATCTTATGTTTCTATTAAATGTATTATTAAATTCTACTAACACTTTCCTCAAAATAATTCTCAATATTTTGGTTTTTAATTTTTTACTGCCTTTGCATTCTCCTGGCAGAGACCCATTTCACCTCTCCTATAGATTATTTCATAAAGATTTTATCATCTGTATCATATATATTTACAATATTAAAAGTTATCTGTAGCACGCTCTCATTGTTGCTTATAGATTAGGTTTGCTTCTCTATGTACTACTCTGGTAGGCAGTGGTTAAATATACTGCTTTAAGCCTTTTCACAGTACCTTCTATAATATCATCATGCACAATTTTAGGCACACAGCAGAAAATCAATGAAACATATTTAATTGACTAAAAATTGAAAAACATTGGTATATATGTAGGACAGATACTGATATTTTTATAAGCCCAACTCGGAAATGGTGATGCATAAAAAGTTGATAATTCCTTTTAGCAGAAACTATTAATAGTCATTTTTCAACATAATGCAAAATATATTTGAGATTGATAAATATTTTAGAACTCAAGTGCAAGAAAGCCATTAAGGGAATCCCACAATTTTTGTTGTTTCTAAAACCTAATATAATTTAAGATTATGAACAGCCTTCTTTCTCAGAAGAAAAACATATCACCAACCCACCATATTAAAAAAATGCATTATTCCAATCAATCTTGTTAATATACCATAGAAATTGAATTTTTTAAAAAAATTCAGAACTTTAAAAATAAATACTAACCATAATAGCTCAATTAAAATTATATCTATATTCTTGGAGGTTTTCAAATGCCATATCTAAAAACAGGATATAGTAAGGTATATCCAGGGATAAACTAGCTGTTAAAAAATAATTGATTGAGACCTGTTATTATTGGCTAAGTAAACTTCTCTTACCTTCCAAAACATGTTCCATTATTTCATAAGATCTAGAAATGATATCAAGTTTGAAATTTGTTGAAATGTTTTCCTATTGACCTACTTATAAATGGGTTATTTACATATTCAGCGTAATTACTTGTGCTTAAAACTGTTTTCAGGATAAATTTGAACTATGTCATTGTTCATATAAAAGAAAGATGCTTCTTTTCAATTAATTTGTATTAGTTAATAATTCTACAAATTGTGTTTATTTCAATGGAGATTAAAGAATATAAAAAGAATAATGTTTCTGTTTTAGACTATACTTTATTAGTAAACCATTTGGGGGGTGGGGCAATGAGGATAAACTCCATCAAAGGAACATAAGTTAGAAAAGCTGTAACATAAACTTAGGTTATAAGTCTGAATTACCCTAGACAGTTAGTCTATGGAATATGAGACTGTATGCAGCCTCAGCTGGAAGCACTGCCCTTAAGCAAAGACCATGAAAGAGATGCTGAAATAATTATTCAGGCAGAAATTTAGTATAATATTTCTTTGGGAATGTTCTCCGATAGTTGGAAGTCAAAATAACAAGTAATTCTCACTTCCATTCTTTGTCTTCTCAATATACATCCCTATATCTTGCAAGGCATTTAGCAAATTAAAGTACATTTACCAGCCTCTTTGCACTTTGATGAGTCAATGTAACTAAGTTTTGGACGATAACGTGTGAACAGAAGCAATATTTGCAGCATCTAAAAGAAATGTGTGTGACCTTTTACCCCTGTTACCATGCTTTAGAATTCATAGCTGTTTTCAGCTATTTTATATATAAAATAAGCATATAAAAGCGACAAAATAAATCAACATCGTAGAGCTATCGTGACATCACTGGACTTCTCCTAAAACTTTTACATGAAAAATATGTGAATTATTTCAAGCTGCTCTACTTGTTTTTCATAGACTCTGTCATTAATTAATTTTTTATGTACCACTAAAAAGCATTTTAAAATGCCTCTAAACTATGGCACACTGCTAAATATTTTCTAGATGCCTCAAAAAAGTTTTTATATGCAGTAATTTTGTTTTACATACACATGCACACTTAACTGATTTCAAGTTTTTTCAACTTTCATATGAAATTGAAAGTTGAAAAGGTACATGAAATGTCTTTTTGAAATTCCTAACTCAATTTAATTTTTTTTTACATTTAGGTTTACCATACTGTTTTAACAAAATGATCCGTATTTATTCTAATATTTTTAAAACTTTAGGAATAAATTAATATTTTGGATTGTTCTACAGTATTGTATCCTGAACTGGAACTTTTATTACTGATTTATTAATTGAAATATGAAATATGATATGCACATGTGAAAGACACAGATCTTGAGCATATAGCATTAAACATTTTTAGAACGTAAAATACTAATGTCATCACAACCTACATGAATATGAATTGAGTATTACTAGAATCCAGGAGTCTCTATTGTGAACCTCCAATCATTACTATAGGCAACCACTGTTCTTACTTTTATCTTTATAAATTACATTTGCTTGACATTGAACTTCATAGAAATTGAACCATACAATAGATATTAATTTCAATCTGGTTCAAAAAAACACAACCAACAGCGTGGGTGTCAGTGTGATATTCTGTGCTGCTTCTCAGCTGAATCAATGGTGCTGACAGCTGCAATAGCAACAACAGTGTCTTCAGAAGTTTTACTGAGAGTTTGGAGTCCAGAGTTTCTGCCTAACGGCAGCTGCGCTCAAATAGGGCCAATGGTCAGTCTGGAATCATGGGACCCAGAATGCACCACCTTCTCCTACTCATTTTTCACAGTTAAGGATGGAAGTGGCTTCCTTCATTTGCTCATCATCTGGAGTAGCAGGCCTCTTTTGCTCTTTCAGTGTTTCTAACATTGTTGTAACCACGCCCCCAACCCCTGTATTATATTGTCTATGCTTTAAAAACTATATTGTGGACTTGAATAAAATTTATTTTCCCATTCCTGGTAAAAAATAATTGGGTCATTCTTTACTCATGTATCAATTCAAATTTCTAAGACTCTATTTATCTCTTCTCCTCAATAATGTTTCTTTTTTCTTTTGCTTTTTTTTAGACTTGTGCTTTTTTAGGTCTTGTGCTCTCACCCAGGCTGGAGTGCAGTGGCTGGAACACAGCTCACTACAGCCTTGACCTCTTGAATTCAAGTGATCCTCACACTTCAGCCTCCAGAGTAGCTTTGATGACAGGTGTGTGCCACCAGGCCCAGCTACTTTTCTTTACTTTTTGTAGAGACATGGTCTTGCCATATTACCCAGGCTAGTCTCAGATCCCTGGGCTCAAGTATCCTCCTGCCTCCACCTCCCAAAGTGCTGGGATTATAGGCATAAGCCACCATGCCCAGCTAATGTTTTCTATTTACCATAGCTTTTCACATATATATGTTATTATATATGTAATATACATATATAATATAGTATGGATGTGTATATACTATATTATTAACAATTAGATCTAAAATATAGAAAGAATTTTAATACCTTTATTTTCTGTACCTTCATAGTTAATCTCATATTTTCTAAATCTGTTAATGTGGCACTGGTCACAGTTATAGCTCCAAAGAATGAGCATCCACTTAATCTCATAACCAGGACCCAACCTGCAACATTAGTATTACAAATTAATTTCTAATTCCAGTCTCACTCTTTCATCACCAGTTCTATCTTTGCACACTTACTAATCCCAATTATTTTAAAGCAAGTTGCTTAACCTGCTGTGGCAGTTTTCCCCTCTCCTTCAACTTTCTCTCTCTTTTTTTTTCTCCTAATAATACCCGCCAAGTAAGAATCCCTTTCATTACATACATCAAATAGCCACTTCTTCCAACAATTTTATTCAACCTAAGTATTCAACCTAAGGGCTTAGATTCATGGTCTGTCCTTACAATGCCGTTCCATCTTTTTAAAGCTAATTGCAATGCACCTAGTCATTTTTATTGCAGCACTATGTATGATAGCCAAGATACAGAATAAGCCTAAGTGTCTGGCAACAGATGAATGCAAAAAGAAAATGCACTATCTGTATACAATGAAGTACTCTTTAGCCATAAAAAATAAAATCTTGCCATTTATGACAATATGGATGAATCTAGAGGACATCACGGTAAGTGAAATAAGCCAGACACAGACAGACAAGTACAGCATGATCTCACTCATAAGTGGAGTCTAAAAAAAAAAGAAAATACAAACATTTAAAAAAGTTAATAGCATAGAAGCAGAGAGTAGAAAAATGTTACCAGAGACTAAAGACAGGAGGACGAAAAGAAGGATGAGGAAACTTTGATTGGTGGTATAAAATTACAACTAGATAAGAGCAAAAAATTCTGGTGTTCTGTTGCACGTAGAGTAAGTATGGTTAACAGTGAAATATCGTATATTACAAAATAGCTTGAAGAGTTGTCTTCGAATGTTCTCACCACAAAGAAATGATAAATATGTAAGATAATAGATTCACTCTGAATGGATCATTATACAACATGGATAGGTATCCAGGTATGAAATTATACCCCATGAATATGTACAATTATTACATGTCAATTAATAAATAAATAATAAGATCACTAGATTTAATCAAGAGACTCTTATTGACTTGCTCTCATTTTAGAGTTTTAAAACTAGTCTGCCCTATTGCAAACTACCTATTTTTAAAACTACTCTTCTCCTGCACAAAAATCTCTCAAAGTCTCCTTTCTCCTGAAAGAAAAATGACCTATTTAATTTACAAATATTTCAAAAATTAGTACACAACATTTTATATATGAAAAGAATGCTGTAGACTGACTTGCAAATAACATTCTAAGATTCCCATTACCTTTAAGAGGAGTCAGCTGTCATTTTGGAAAAATTAAGATTTCAACAATTTTACACATATTTTGAAAATAATTTTGATAATGAAAAATGTTCAATCTTAAATCGTGTAAATAAGTAAATAGAGAGGTAAAATAAAGAGCTTGATGTTTATGTGATATTGAGAAAAAATCTTTTTTAAAAATAAAATACAGATTAAAATACAACTTTGTGCTTTAACTGAAGGGTGTCCCTACTCCCTGATGTGTTTGAGACTGTCACAAACCTGAACCCATTTGGACAATACATCAAATAATCATTTTGCATCATTTCACTATTGGGGAAATGATAACTTCTTACATTAAATGAAAAAAAACTGAAAAAGTAGTATTACTTTGTCTTTTAAGTGGCAAGATAGGGTTGATATGATGCCGAAGTACAAACAGTAGGGACTAAGTGAGGATGGAGGATATATGAATAAATGTATCAAAAGTCAAGAGAAATGATAAAACAGACAATTCTGGGGAACAGTAGTAGAAGATATGCATGGAATATGGTTAGACAGACAGTGATATTTACTTTTGAGTTTTGCTTATATATTTCTAACATTTCTTGATAGGACTGGCATTCTAACAGTTATTCTTATTGTTATAAATTCTTTTAAAAATACTTTTTCTCCAAACATCTCAGTTCAAATTATAGAGTTAAAGGAAACTATAGTAATAAAATAAAATATTAATTATTTCAAAAGAAAAAGAGAAAAATTTGTACACTTAATTTAAAATTGTTTTCAGTCTTATTTTCGCAAGCAATTTACCAATAGATTTGTAATGCACAGTAATGTTGAATGAGTATTGAAGCTATTGAAATACAGAAGTAAGTCAGTTTTTCATTATGCTGTGAGTGATGTCCTGAAACACATTAACTTGATATTTTATCTATTGTTTAATATCATTCCCCATGAATTACTTATAATGGTAATAGATTAATATCTTTGGGAGTACTGTAAATAATTATATAATTCAGCCAGGAATTACCTTGTTCATTTGCTAACATTGTTATATTCTTTCAAAAGCAAATAGCAAAAATAATTTTCAACTGACATACATATGGAATACTTACTCTTCAACTATCTCAAAATGCCCAGATTTTCTCAATAACTTTCCTATTGATTTAATTATAGGCATTAGAAATGAGTATTCTAGTACAAGAATAAATAGTGTTGTCTCTCCTTCATCCCCCAGTACTCCTAAATATTTACTAAAAATCTCAATGCTAATCAATAGTGGAAGTATTTGGTGCCTAATGATGGCATTCCATTCCTTCCTTGAAGTCCAACACACAGAGTAATAGAAATCTCATGAATGTGATTGTGTGAGGTTGCTCATAATACTTGGATCTATAGAGAGAATCACTTAACAGACATTAGTTGAATCAGAAACTACTTCTCATTTCATTGAGTTCTATGTAGTCCCCAACCTTTGTGGCACCAGGGACTGGTTTTGTGGAAGACAATATTTCCACGGACAGGGGAGCAGAGGATGGTTTCAGGATTGTAATGGTTAATAATAGGTGTCAACTTAATTGGATTGAAGGATGCCTAGATAATTGGTAAAGAATAGTTTCTGGGTGTGTCAGTGAGGGTGTTGCTGGAGGAGATTAACATTTGAGTCGGACTGGGAGAGGAAGACCGATCCTCAATGTGGGTGGACACCATCCAATTGACTGTCAGCTTGGCTAGAACAAAGCTGGTGGAAGAAGGTGGGATAAGCTGACTTAATGAGTCTTCTGGCTTTCATCATTGTGCTGTGCTGGATGCTTCCTGCCCTTGGACATCAGATTCCAGGTTCTTTAGGCTTTGAACACTTGAACTTACAGCAGTGGTTTTCCAGGGGCTTTCAGGCCCTTGGCCACAGACTAAATGTTGCACTGCCAGCTTTCCTACTTTTGAGGCTTTTGTAGCTGAACTAAGCCTTTGTTGGCTTCCTTGCCCCTCAGCTTGCAGACAGCCTATCATGGGACTTCACCTTGTGATCATATAGTCAATTCTCATTAATAAACTCCTTTTCATATATACATATATCTTATAAGTTCTGTCCCTCTGGAGAACCCTGACTAATACAGGCATGAAACTTTTCCACCTCAGATCATCGGGCATTAGATTCTCATGAGGTATGCACAACCTAGATCCCTTGCATGCTCAGTTCATAATAGGGTTCACATTCCTATAAGAATCTAATGCTGTAGCTGATTCGACAGGAGGCAGAGCTCAGGTGGTAATGCTCACTCACCTGCCGCTCACCTCCTGCTGTATGATCTGATTCCTAACAAGCCATAGCTCATAACCAAGGGTTGAGGACCACTGTGTTAAAAGATAAACTAAGACACAATAAAATTTTAAATATGTTATTTACACAATGATTTATGACTCAGGCAGCTCCAAACCATAAAAGTGGCTTAAGAGCACCACTGAGGGATCACAGGGGGAGGCTTTTAGAGGACAGGCACAGAAGAAAACTAAAGATAGTATTTGACTATTTATAGTTGTACAGTTATTTGTACCTTATTTGGTACCAAAGTTGTACGTTATTAGGTCTATCCCACTGGAAAGTCTTCAGTTGTATGATTATGTGTGTTGGCTACTTCTGATTGGTTGAACTTAAGTTCTGTTTTTCTTTAATATAGAAATTGATAAGAATAGCTCAAGTTTCCCTTATATCTGTAGATCAAACAAGGTTTAGATCACTTATGATGCCTAACTGGTTTTGTCTGCTCAGAAATTCTTCAGGCCTGGACTCCATTTTAATTTACTTTAATGATTGTTACTTTAAATTTGGATTAAACAGTGGATTCATATGTACTGAGTGAAAAAAAATGGAAATAGATGTTATAAAATTTATTTGAAATCATTCAGCCAGGATGTTTTAAACAGCATAAATTAGCAGAATTACCAAAAACACATTTTGAAAAAACCTTGAAGCAATTTTAATGTATTGCAAAATGTGAAGGAGACTAGTAGGACAAAAACTTAAAGGTTGAGTTTGAGATATGATGCAGGGTTTTTTGCTCCTTAGCCCAGCTAGGCCTAAGTTCTGAAGAAGTAGGCACATGGACACTCAAAGGGTAAGTGTAGTAGAATTTATTTAGTGAAAGGAAAGCTCTCAGCAAAGAGAGGGGTCCTGACATGAAGTTCTTGGTTGCCCCCTTAACAGTTGAATACAAGGGCATTTTTTTTTTCTTGAGACAGAGCCTCACTCTGTTGCCAAGGCTGGAGTGCAATGGCGTGATCTTGGCTCACTATACCCTCTGCCTTCCAGGTTCAAGTGATTCTCCTGCCTCAGCCTCCTGAATAGCTGGGATTATTGGCACATGTCACCAGGCCCGGATAATTTTTGTAGTTTTAGTAGAGATGGGATTTACCATGTTGGTCAGGCTGGTCTCCAACTCCTGCTCTAGTGATCTGCCCGCCTCTGCCTCCTGAAGTGTTTGGATTACAGGTGTGAGCTACTGCACCCGGCAACAAGGACATTTTTATACAAGCTGATAGGGCTGTGAATTCCTGGTTGTATGAGACATGAATTCCTGGTTGCTCCACTCCACCTTTCCAGTGAGTTAAGTGGGCCCTTAGTCTGTGCCTCTCCATATTGATTTATTTCCCTTAATGCACATATGTTAAGGAACGAAATTTTCCACTATGGGCATGTTTAGGCAAGCTCCCTTAGCAAGTACGCTTATCCGCACAAAATATTTGGTATAAACACCTGGGGGGTGGGTAAGAGGTTCTCCAGGGGACCCTTTCCTGACTGTCTCCCTAAAGCAAGTTGGCTGACTCCTTTCATTCCTCCCTTCAGGAGTGGAGACCCCAAATTCTGTTGGGGAAAGTGTACAACGACTGCTCTTAACTGCTTCCTGCTGACAAGGGGTGCTGTTTTGGGAAAGTGGCAGTTAAGGCTCCTCCTGAGGTCAGTTTAAGGGTCCCCAAAGAGAACGGTGTGTTCATGAGTGGTTCTGTTTGCATCACCATTTGATGTTGAACGGCCTTTAAGTGAGAAGAAACAATTTGGGTTATTAGAAGACATATTCAAAATGAAACAAAGGGATAAGGACAGCTCAAAACAAAACAAAACAAAACAAAATCTCAAGGCTGCCAATACAGCCAGATAACTCGTGGCTATAGTTATGCCTGCTAAGGTTTGTATTCATGGGGCTTGGCTTTGATTAGCTCCCTTGGTCTTATTTTCCCAAACAAAGAAATCTCTGGGTTATGGGCACCTATTTACTCCGATCACCTGGAAGGATTTGCAGGATAATTGTTCAGAATTAAAATATTGATCCAGATTTTTTATATTATTCATCCCTTTGGTTCTTTTGAGCTGCAGCCGTACATTGCTGGTTGGTCCACAGGAATAAGCAGGGTAGTCTAAAATGTAGGCAAAAACTTAAAAACAACTAATGGGATTATAATGTAATGACAAATGTAGAATACGTTTTGAAACATAATTTCTCTCTCTCCAGTCCTCATTTTTGTCAAAAACAAATCATGATAGGACTCAGTTGTTTGAAAAAATAAACTTTAGCCTTATACTTGTCTTATTTGCATAAAGTGCAAAAAGAATAATTATTTTTCCCATAGGCTTTTAAATTGGCTTTGATGGAACTCTGTTCCATAAGGCATCTCAGTTAAGACCTTTTAAGGCCAAGCCCAGCCAAGGGTTTCCACCCTCAAATATCTACAAGTTTGGTAAATCATTCTCTTCTTGATGTCCCAAGAACAAGCTTTTTAACAGGCCCAGGAGCTTTTTAACAGACTCCTAAGCCTGTTAAAAAGTGACATGCTTTACTCCCCATGGGTTAGGAACCTTGTACAAGGACTGTGTTGACAAGGTATATAGCCAGTTTTCCCAAGGAACTTTTATTGGCAAGTCCAGCTTAATGACTTAAAGGAACATATACCCTTCCAGTAAAAGCCTTGGTAAAACCACCAGTTTCTTCAATTGTGTCCTGTTGCAAAAGAAAATGTATTCTTATTGCACTGATGAAAATAACTGAATTGCCATAAATTAAATATTCTCACAAATAGTTTCCAAATTCTGGCAAAGCCAGGCAGAGAGAAACAAACATCCTTCAAATTTTGTTCACAGGTGTATAGTTTACTCAATTATTAAAGGCTTTAAATAGTTCAAAATAAGTATTCTTGACTCAGAAAAACAAAGCAAGGATCACCAAAGTTTTAAGCAAAAAGGTTAAAAATAATACTTGTTTTCTATTAGTTCAATCCATTCTGTTCTCTTATTCTGCTTGATATTCATGAACATTTCAGTTCTTTATGAGTACTGTATTTTTTTCAATGTCATAATCTCCAGAGCTAATGGAATCTTGCATTTGAGAACACTTGTCAAAATCCTGTAGCTGATTATAAATCATCTTTTGAGTAGGATCAAAAGAAGACATTTGTCTGTGAATGATGAAATGTCCAGGGTAGTTACTGTCAAGAATACAATTGACAAAGAAATTTAGTTATTTCTAGGGTTTACAATAACTAAACATAATAACCTTAATTATGATTGATAGCATATATTCAGACATTAGAATTTTAGAAATCTCATATAATTTTGAAACATATTAATATTATTCACTAAAATATAACCTAAAGCAGATTAAATATAACTTTGGAAATACCATATAACTAAACATTTCAAAAAACCCAGTTTTCTTCTGTTTTGGATGTTCCAGGGACCAGGAAAGACAATTTTGAAACTGAAGTTTGATTTTGGGAAGACTGTTAATTACGTTAGAGGCTCAAAGCACTTGATATTATAAAATAGAATTCCAAGTTACCATATGTCATTTATTTTAGCCAAAATGATGACTCAAACATTTTAAAACAACGCAAAAGCATATTCACAGGAAGAGGGAAAACTTAGCTTTCCAAACAATCTGTCGTTAATTTTACAGAGAAATGCTGTTCAAGTGAAAGCCTAATTTCATCCTTGCATTAGTCTACTGTTGATGTCAACCCCAATTTTTTTAATGAAAACTTATAGATAATTATATCTAATCTTATCTAGTTTGACCATGAGGTGAGATTTTTTTACACTTTTATAACCCTTTACAAATTGTTGTTAAAGAGCAGATCAGCGCCTTTAGAAAACCTTGTTGTGTTTTATTTCAATGCTCAATTTACAAAAACAAAATACTTTTTTGAAATTAGTCAATATGTTCACACAATTTCTTTTGCAAGATTAATTTTTACAAACTTTTCACCATTTGTTTAAACCTTCAGCTTTATCTTACCTAATTCAAAACAATCCTTTAACCCAAGGCAAAAATTTACATTTTCATGCATTCTTATAATCTTTTACTAAAAACATATTTTACTTTCCTTACTTACCTTATATGTAAATCTATTTTCATTGTCTCAATTACAGGTTATTATGGTAACTCCTAGCAATTTTTAACTTTAATGTAAAACCTGGCAAGTTGCTTTAATTATGTAGTAGGCATAAATAAAGTCTGATTCCTTCCTGCATAATTAAGGGTGTGGTTAATTCCATATGTCCCTGGACTTATTAATTGTGAAGCAGGCAAATTGAATAGTGTATTAGTCAATTTTCATGCTGCTGATAAAGGCAATCTTGAGACTGGGCAATTTACAAAAGAAAGAGGTTTAATTGGACTTACAGTTCCACGTGGCTGAGGAGGCCTCACAATCATAGCAGAAGGCAAGGGGGAGCAAGTGACATCTTATGTGGATGGTGGCAAACCAAAAAAGAGAGCTTGTGCAGAGAAACTCTCATTTTTAAAACCATCAGATCCATGAAACCCATTACTATCATGAGAACAGCATAAAAAGACCCACCCTCATGATTCAATCATCTCCCACTGGGTCCCTGCCACAACACATGGAAATTACGGGAGCTACAAGATGAGATTTGGGTGGGGACACAGAGCCAAACTTTATCAAATAATTCTTAAAAGCCAAAGAAGCAGTTAATAACTTTGAAGCATTTAGCTAACCTAGTATCTGACCTACATGATTCAGCCCACATATTTACATTTTAAAGACATTTGTATTTTACCAATTATTTTTAAAACAGCCTTTATTTCTTAAAGATTATAGTCATGTGAACTGAAAAGGTATTACAGCTTTTATTTTTCTTCAAAAAATATTTGATCTAAGTGCTTATTTTCCTAGAGCTTTTTTATATAAACATCACACCCATAAGAAATAGAAAATTACACAGATGAACAAAAGCAAATTCAGTACTTGTAAGATTTTTCATTTGCCAATCTTCTGAATAGATTATTGGCCTCTGGGTGAAGCCCTTCAAGAGCAGGGTCTAGGACAGCATACAGTTTCTAGGGCCTAATAAACAGGCATAGCTGGAAGACAGAGACAGATTTTGAGAAGGATCTATCCACTTTTAATTCCTGGGGTTTCGTGAGGAAAACAGAGGGTGTTTTTTCCCCAAAATGGGGTCTGCGGCACCTTCTTTGTTTTTTCCCAGGAGCCCCGGGCTATCAGAAGTTATCTTAGAGCCTCTCATGTATGCACTGAATGACAAGACAAAATGGGAAAAAAAAAATCATTCAACAGAGAAAGAACCTTTTTCCAGAAAAACAAGATCCATGCAGAGAAAAATTTAAAGGCCTTTAAATATACCTATAACTTGGATATCCACTTTTAATTCAGCTGTGCTCTAAGAAAATCGTTTCATATCTATTACCCAACTTTAGCCATGCCGAGCAGCCAATATTTCTGGCTTTTGAACTTTATTAAAAATAACCTCACAGGTGAAACCAACAAGCCTCAACTAAGGTTATGACTTAACTGTAAGTGTAAAAGTTATTTTCAAAGAGGTGCTAAGCAGTTTTTACAGAATCTAAGATCTTTAAAGTTGGTTCAGACAAAGGAAGATTTAAGAAAGGAAGCTAAAGTTGTTTATAGAGGGGAAGAGAATCAGCAAATGGTAGAAGTCACACAGATATTGGCCAAAATATACTCATTCCCTAAGCCGGGATTAAACCCGGGCCACCATTGTAAAATGGCAGAGGCCAAAAGAAAGTATTATCAAGTGGTTACAAGGTCAAGCTCCTAAGGACAAAAAACAAGATGAAGAACTGCAGCAAGGTTTGTTACTGACCAGTTTGCCAGGCTGGTTTGATCAGCAAACTTTTGGGGTCCTAGGCCTGCATTCTATCCTAAGGTACCCCTCTTTATGACAGAACTATACAGAAAGACACACAAAGCACACTACATTGGCTACAGCTTAAGGCTAGCCTCATAAATCCTTTTTTTCTATTTATCAGAACTTCAGAGAGTATATAAACAGTGATTTAAACAGGGATTTTATCATTTATTCAACTGGTTTGCACAGGGAGAAGGAGGCCAGAAGTCTGACTGGTAAGAACTATTTTTTTTTTTTTTTTTTTTTTTTTTTTGAGACAGAGTCTCCCTCTGTCCCCAGGCTGGAGTGCAGTGGTGTGATCTCGGCTCACTGCAAGCTCCATCTCCCAGGTTCACGCCATTCTCCTGCCTCAGCCTCCGGAGTAGCTGGGACTACAGGTGCCCGCTACCACGCCCGGCTAATTTTTTGTTGTTGTTGTCGTTGTTATTTTTAGTAGAGATGGGGTTTCACCGTGTCAGCCAGGATGGTCTCCATCTCCCGACCTCATGATCCGCCTGCCTTGGCCTCCCAAAATGCTGGGATTACAGGCGTGAGCCACTGCACCCGGCCCTGGTAAGAACTTTTACCCTTTTGCTGGTGTACCAGGCTTCTGAGTTGCCCTTTTTCATGCTCAGTTTTGAGCCAAGCAGTTTAAGGTTTGGAGAAATTAACTTTTCCCAGTTTAAGAGATGCATCCAAAGGGAGTGTCCTGTGGTACAGCGACACAATGACCCACCCACAAAGAGAGGACAGAGGAGGAAAAAGGAGAAAGGAGGTGTTTTTTCAGAAGAGTCCTAGTGATTCAGGAGGCAATCAAGAGAAATATGGGCTGCAGATGATTGGTTACTCACCTAAGAAGAGGGGAGCAAGGCATCCCTAGTTTCTTCTTTTTCCTAGTAAATACCTGAGGTACATGAGGGAGAGGAGAAAAGTGTCCTCTTTCTTTCTTCTGTTCTTATATCCCTGAGTCCTGGTGATCTTGGCAGGTTACCACCCATGGGTGCCAGTGCAGCTTTCACCTATGTTAACAGGGGGCTTACAGGGTGCGAGTTATCCACCATTACCCATGCGCTGCTTGTCCCACTGTTGTCGATAACTTTTGAGTTCTCTAGATTTCATACATGCCGTGGATACTAGAATGACCTCTATCCACGAGATGGAAGGGGGCCTAATCGGCAGCAATGAGTCATGCTAACCTAAAGCTTTGGAGCTGGGTCTTCCTTAAACAAGGGAGAGAAAAGGCTGTCTTGGGAATTGGGGTCCTGGCCTAATAAGAAAAAACAAAAACAAAAACCAACAAAAAACCTCTCATAAAAGTTAACTCCTTACAAAGTGGAGAAAAGAAAAAAAAATAAAATAAAACAGCTTAAGTGCAGGGTGGGGAAGATGCCTGGAGGAGAAACCTTTTATTCTTATGCAAATGAGTTCCTCCTATAGGGAGAGAACATTTTAATTGCTGTCTCCTCCTTTCTGGCTCAGCCAGGGGAGGAAAGACACTGTGGGTGCATGGGGAGAGGGAAGAGTGAGCAGGAAATGCTGGCCACCTAGCCAAGTGGGGCCCTTGGGCTATGTGCCCCAGACGGGAGGGGAGGGGGTTGGGAGTTGCCACTCTCCCATTTGTCTCACATGTGTACCTGTGGCCATTGGAGGTTGGGGTAAGGGACATGTCTCTAAAAACGGAGGGAGAGCACATTGTTCTGAATTGTATAGAATTTATTAAGTTAAAGGAAAGCTCTCAGCAAAGAGAGGAGTCCTGAAAGTAGGTTCCCGGTTGCCCTCTTCACAGGTGAATCAAAGGCATTTTTATATAAGCTGATGGGGCTGAGTTCCCTATTTGTATAAGGCGTGAATTCCTGTAGGCTCCACTGCATCCTTCCAGAGTGCATGCAGACCCTTAGTCTGAGACATTCCATATTGATTTATTTTTCTTACTGCCCACGTGTTAAGAAACAAAATTTTCCACTGCGGGCATGTTTAGGCAAGCCCCCGGAGCAAGTACCCTTATGTGCACAAAACATCTGGTATAAACACTTGTGGAGCAGATAGGAGGTTCTCTGGGGGACCCTTCCCTTAGTGTCTGCCTAAAGCAAGCTGGCTAACTTTTCAGAAAGAGACAGAGAAAATGAAGTAGCTACCAAAGTATTCTGGGTCTACAAGTGATATTATTTTCAACAAGTATTCAAATGCCATTCTAGTCTAAACTAATTCATTATAAATCAGCTAATATTAAGTAAATATTTTACAAATTAAAAACTAGTTACAAAAGGTAGAGACCTCAAAGAAAGGCAGAAATGAGGCAAATGGGGAAAAATTATGGTGACTTAAAGCCTATATATTGTGATCTGGAGAATTAGAATTTAATTTGTCTATACAAAGTAGGTCATGATCCTGATAAGTTTAGCAATTAGAGTATTTATAAAAAGTAAGAGCTAAATAATTTGTTTCAGGGATGCACTTTTATTTCAATTATCTAGACCTGAAATTATATTTTTTTGAGATCGTTCAGGAAGAAGAAATTACATGAGGAGAACTTTCTAATCAGTATGCTTAGTGTAAATATATCTGATGAGTTCATAAGTCTGTTTCATTTATTATTCTTCAGTATAGGTCTGTAGCATGACACAAACAATTCCTGATGACTTCAGCTACCTTTTTAAGGAAGGTAGACTTGCTCCATCCCCTATCTTCTATTTTGCATCTGAAAGAGGATCATACTCCTGTTTAAGTCAACTTTATTAATGTTTTTCAAAATATTTCTTCTCTTGCCAATATAAAATAATGAAATTGTAGTAAAATGGGGATTGTCTTCCTCAAGATGAGTAATTTTTCATGAACAATTTATTTAATTATTTCAATAATTATTCAAAAATGATTTCAAATTATTTCAACAATTTATCTTATGAACATTTATTTCATTATTTATTCACACCATCAAATAATATTTTACATTGAGTCCAAATTTTTTGCATTGCTGTTCATGTCAGGTTTATATTGGAATTAATTCTCTATGACCTCCTTTTTAAGCACTGCTAAATAGATAGTAATCTTTCTTTCTATAACAGTTGAGTTTAAATTGCTTTTCTTAATTTTCTCTGACAGAGAACATTATTTTTTATTGTTGTAAACAAGCTATATTCTACATATTTAATTATTTGGAATTTGATTTGTGTATATTTTTCAGTGGAAGCTAACTTCTTCCTAATGTCTCCATCTACATTTCATATTTATTCATCCATTCACATATTCAACAAAATTTGAGAATCTGTTTTTGGGCTTTTAATACTCATCTTATTCATTTTACTATTTATGTATTTATTTCTTTATTTATTTAGAAACTGGTTCTCACTTAGTTGCCCACGTTAGAGTGTAGTGATGCCATCATAGCTCATGGCAGCCTCAAACTCCTGGGCTCAAGTTTGTTAATTTTATTTTAAATGTCCACACAGTGTTCTCAGTCAGAAACAGATTTCTTAATAATGTGTGTTGGCTGCTCCTTTTCCCAGTTCTTATCTTTGGACAGTATAAAGAGATCCAGATCATCCTAGTGAGAGGCCAGACTCTCTGAAAGCAAGAAGTTAAGAACAATGGTTTTTTTCCTTGTCTTTGTTTTTATACTTATACTAGGACGGAAACGGCTGTTTTTCTGTCCTTCTAAGAGGATATCTTCTTTATTCCAAACTTTTGGAATGTTGTAAAATCTCTCCTGGAACCAAATAACCCTGTATCTCCAAGTTTTTATGACCTATAGCTGTCTCCAAATTCTGGAACATCATATCTTTTGACATATGAATACAAAAACCTAGTCTTCCTCTTACCCTAGTACTTAACCTAGGAACCTAGTAATCTAAGGATTTTAAAAATTTGACCCTCTTAGGGGAGTAAAAGAAGTTTTCCTATTGTTGCAAATCAGAGAAATTAACTGGACAAAGGGCTACAGATTTAATTCTCTCAGTGTGTGAAGAGTCTCAAGAAGCTAGTGCTTTGAGAGAATCCATGAGAAACCCAGGGACCTTTAATATCTCCTCATTATTATTTGCATAGCACACTACCAGGGGAGATGGAGAATTAAAATAATAATATATTTTTAATAACTTTAAGTTCTCTTAAATCATATGGTTTTTTAAGGATAAAAAAAATCCTGGATATCTATGGCTATACTTAGACATATGTAATATACATACATAACACAATAGCTTTTGGGGAACAAGTGGTTTTTGGTTACAGAGTGGTAAAGTCTGAGATTTTGGTGCCCTTGTCACCCAAGTAGTGTACATTGTACCCAATATGTAGTGTTTTATCCCTCACCCACCTCCTACTCTCCCCATTAGTGGTCTCCAATGTCCATTATACCACTCTGTATGCATACCCATGGCTTAGCTACCACTTAAAAGTGAGAATATATGATATTTGGTTTTCCATTCCTGAGTTACTTCACTTAGAATAATGGCCTCCAGCTCCAGTTGGAGTTGCTGCAAATGACATTATTTCATTCTTTTTAGGGCTGAGTAGTATGTCATGGTGTATGTTTACCACATTTCTTTATCCACTCATTGGTTGAGGAGCACTTAGGTTGGTTCTGTATCTTTGTAATTGTGAATTGTACTGCAATAAACATATACATGCAGATGTATTTTTGATACAATGACTTTTTTTAATTTGAGTAGTTAACCAGTAGTGGGATTGATGGACTGAATGCTAGATCTACTTTTAGTTATTTCAAAAATCTCCATAATGCTTTACATAAAGGAGGTACTAATTTACATTCCCACCAGCAATGTATAAGCATGCCCTTTTCACCACATTCATGCCAAAATCTGTTTCTTTGTTTTTTTTGACTTTTTAATAATGGCTATTATGCTGGGAAAAGATGGTATCTCACTGTGGTTTTAATTTGCATTTCTTTGATGATTAGTGACATTGAGAATTTTTTATATGTTTGTTGGTCATTTGTATATCTTCTTTTGAGAAATGTCTATTCATGTAATTTTTTTTCACTTTCTGTTGGGATTATTTTTTCTTGCTGATTTGTTTTCCTTGTTAATTCTAGATATTAATTATTTGCTAGATGCATACTTTGTAAACATTTTCTTCTATTCTCTGAGTTATCTGTTTACTGTGATGACTATTTCTTTTGCTGTGAAGGTTTTTAGTTTACTTATGTCCTTTTTATTTATTTTTGTTTTTGTTGCACTTACTTTTGGAGTCTTAGTCATAAAGTTTTGGCTTAGGTAAATATCCAGATGTGTTTTTCTTAGTTTTTTTCCAGAATTTTTATGGTTTTGGGTTTTATATTTAAGTCTGATCCATCTTCTAATTTTTGTAGATGGTGAGAAAGAGTGATCCAGTTTCATTCTTCTACATGTGGCTGTCTTGTTTTCCCTGCATCATTTATTGAATAGGGTGTCCTTTCCTATTTATGTTTTTGAATGCTTTGTGGAGGATCAGTTGGTTGTATACATTTGGCTTTATTTCTGGTTTCTCTATTCCTTTCCTTTGGTTTATTTATCTACCTTTATACCAGTACCATGCATGCTGTTTTGATTACTAAAACCTTGTATTATAACTTGAAGTCTCTTAAAACTATGCCTCCGGATTTGTTCTTTTTGCTCAGAGTTGCTTTTTTAATTCAAGCTTATTTCTGGTTTCATAAGAATTTAGAATTGCTTTCTCTAATTCTATGAAAAATGATGTCAGTATTTTGATAGGAAGTGCATTGAATCTGTAGATTGCTTTTAGCAGTAAGGTCATTTTCACAAATATGATTCTTCCTATCCATGAGCATGGGATGTATTTCCATTTGTTTATATCATCTCTAATTTATTTCAGCAGTTTTTGTAGCTCTCCTTATGGAGATCTTTCACTTATTTGGTTAAGTGTATTTCAATTTTTTTTCTGCTGCTATTGTAAAAGAAATTGAGTTCTTGATTTGATTCTCAGCTTGATCATTGTTGGTGCTATGCAGTAGTACTAATTTGTGTACATTCATTTTGTAACCTAAGATTTTATGAATTCATTCATCAAATAGAAGAGTCTTTTGGTGGAATTCTTAGGTTTATCTAAGTATATGCTTAAATCATCAGCAAACAGAGATAATTTGTCTTCCTCTTTTCCAGCTTGGATGCCCTTTATTTCTTCCTCTTGCTTGATTGCTCTGGGTAGGACTTCCAGTACTATGTTAAGTAGAAGTGGTGAAAATGGGCATCCTTAACTTGTTCTAGCCCTCAGTGGGAAGACTTTCAACTTTTCCCCATTCAATATGATGTTGGCCATGGGTTTGTCATATATAGCTTTTATTATTTTGAGATATGTTTATTCTATGTCTAGTTTGTTTAGGGTTTTTATCATAAAGCAATGCTGGATTTTACTGAATGTTTTTATGCATCTATTGAGATGATCATACGTATTTGGTTTTTAATTCTGTTTATAAAATACATCACATTTATTACCTTGCGTATGTTGAGTCATCCTTGCCTCCCTGGGATGAGACTCACTTGATTATAGTGAATTGTCTTTTTGATATGTTTTTGGATTTGATTTGCCAGTATCTGTTAAGAATTTTTGCGTATGTCTTTATCAGAGATGTTCATTTGTAGTTTTCTTTTTTTATGATATGCCTTTTTCTGGTTTTGGTATCAGGGTGATACTGGCTTCATAGAATGAGTTAAGGAGGATTCCCTTTTTCTCAGTCTTTTAGAGTAGTTTCAGTAGGCTTGGTACCAGTTCTTCTTTGAATGTCTGATAGAATTTGGCTGTGATCTGTCTGGGTTTTTTAGTCGGCATTTTTTTTTTCTTACTTATACAATCTCACTGCTTGTTATTGGTCTGTAAGGATACCTATTTCTTCCTGGTTTAAGCTGGTAGGGTTGTATGTTTCCCGGAATCTATCTATTTTCTTTACTTTTATTTTTATGTGCATAGAGGTTACATAGTAGTCTCAAATGATCTTTTATATTTCTGTGATATTGGTTAAAATGTTTCCATTTTCATTTCTAATTGAGCTAATTTAAACTTCTATCTTCTTAATTGTTCTAACTAATGTTCTAACTAATTGTTAGAACAATTGTTAATCGTTCTAATTGTTAGAACAATTGTTAATCGTTCTAACAATCTTAATTCTTCTAACTAATGATCTATTGTATTTCTATTTTCAAATAACCAAATTTTGTTTCATTAAACTTTTGTATTTTTATTTCAATTTCATTTAGTTCTGCTTTAATCTTTCTTTTCTTCTCCTGGCTTTAAGTTTGATTTGTTGTTTCTATAGTTTCTTGAGGTATGACATTATGTTGCGAATTTGTAATCTTTCAGACTTTTTTACGTAGGTGTTCAGTGCTAGAAACTTTCCTTTTAGCATTGCTTTTGCTATGTCCCAGAGGTTTTGATAACTTGTGTCACTATAATCATCCATTTAAAGAATTTTTTAATTTCTTTCTTCATTTCATTGTTAACCCAGTAATCATTAAGAAGCAGATTGTTCAATTTCCAGGTAATTGTATAGTTTTAAGGGTTCCTTTTGGAGCTCATTTCTAGTTTTATTTCACTGTGACCTGAGAAGGTACTTTATATAATTTTGACTTTTTAAAATTTATTGAGATTTGTTTTTGTGGCCTATCCTATGGTCTGTCTTGGAGGCTGTTCTATGTGTTGATGAGAAGAATGTGAATTCTGCGGTTTTTGGGTACAATGTTCTGTAAACATCTGTTAGGTCCATTTCTTCTGGACTGCAACTTAAGTCCAGTGTTTTTTTGTTTTTGTTGTTGTTGACTTCCTGCTTCAGTGATCTGTCTAGTGCTGTCAGTGGAGTGTTAGAGTTCCTCACTATTATTGTGTTGCTGTCTATTCCTTTTCTTAGGTCTAGTAGTAATTGTTTTATAAATGTAGGAGCTCCAGTGTTATGTGCATACTTATGTAGAATTATTATATTTTGTTGAATTAATTATTTAATTATTATGTAATGACTTTCTTTGGTTTTTTTTTTTACTATTGTTGCTTTAAAGTCTACTTTATCTGATATAACTACACCTGCTTGCTTTTGGTTTCCATTTGCATTGAATATCCTTCTCCACCCCCTTACCTTGAGTCTATGAGAATCTTTGTATGTTAGGTTCTGATGCAGCTCAACATTTTGTTTCAAGATTTAGCATTTCTTGTAGGACTGGTCTGATAGGGACAGATTCCCTCAGCATTTGCTTGTCTGAGGAAGACATTATTTCTCTTTCATTTATGAGACTCAGTTTTGCTGGATACAAAATTTTTGACTAATAGTTATTTTGTCTAAGGATATTAAAGATAAGCCTAAAGATACAGTGAACTTCTGGCCTGTAAGATTTCTGCTGAGAAGTCTGCTGTTAGTCTAATAGGTTTTCCTTTATAGGTTACTTGTTGCTTTTGTCTCACTGTTCTTAGAATTCATTTCTTCATGTTGACTTTAGATAGCTTGATTACTATATGGCTTTGTAATGTCAGTTTTGCAGTGAACCTCCCCAGAGCTCATTGAGTTTCTTGTATTTGGACATCTAAATATCTAGCAAGGCTAGCAAAGTTTTCTTCAATTATGCCCTCAAATAAGTATTCAAAAAGTTTTGCTGTTTCTTCTCCCTCAGGAACAGCAATTGCTATATTTGGCCATTTTACATAGTCACCTATTTCTAAGAGACTTTGCTTATTTCTTTGAATTATTTTTCTGGCATTTCAAAGATTTCATCTTGGTTGGGATCCATTGCTGGGGACTTAGTGTGTTCTTTTTGAGGTGTTATAGAACCCTATTTTGTCCTATTGCCAGAATTATTTTTCTGGTTTCTTCTCATTTGGATAGAGTATATCTTCTAATTACTTTTGAGACTATATCTTCTAATTATTTTTGAATTTATTTTTTGATTTGACTGTGATTTTTCACTTTTTTTTTTTTCACTTTGAGGATGTGACTTTAATGTTTATAGTTTATTGTAACCTAATTCAGCTCTGGGTGCTTTCAGGGGTGAAGACTGTATAAGTTCCCTGGTTATTTAAAATCTTTGTATGTTGGCTTTCTCAGATGCTAGTTGTGGTAACATTATGCTCAGTGTGTGTGTGGAGGTTCACTGTTTCCTGTGGGGTAGCAATGGCAGAGGTCTCATGAAGCTTATCTAGTTCCCAAGTGGTGTGCACGTTTTTGCCTTTTTTTTTCTCCCAGTGTTTTCTTTACCTGGTTGAATAATTCAGATTTCAGGCCAGTAGGGGAGGTGTCCCTGAGTGAAAACCAGCAGATTGGTAAATGCAATACCCAATGGTGGGAAGAAGCCCAAGCCTTGACCGAGGCATCTGTGGGAGCTCTTAGTGAAATGCACTGAGGTCTTTTCACGGGGAAGGGAGGGAGCCACTTCAGCTCCCTTGCCAGGCCCCCAGGAAAGCAGGTCACACTCCTAAATACAGTTCTAGCTATTCAGATTAGCAGGCCCTTTTTATTTGCAGGAATTCTCACGTTCCAAGTAGAGAGAGATTGTGATTCTATGCCTTATGCAAATCTGAATCTGGAGGGGACTCCTCCTCTGGGGACGCAGGTAACTTGAAGTGTTCCAGAAAGGCTATCTACAGGTCCACTCATGCTAAATTCCCATAAGAGAAGCACCAGCTGTGTCTGCAGTGGTGAATGAGGGGGGAAAGTCTTTTTCTTCAAGACCGTTCTGTAGATTTTCCCAAGTCCAGCACTGTACCTGTGCCTCTACTGAAAGAAACTTTCCACAGGTGGGAAGTTCTGGACTCAAGTCCTGCCATCTAGATTCTTTTTTCCATGGGGTGTGCCACTGATGTGCACTCCCCCTTATCCTAAGAGTAGGAGTCCCTGAGGGCCAGACTAGTATGAATGCTGCTACTTCTCTGGTTCTAGCCACCTAGTGGGACTGCCACACTCCAGGTTGGTGCTGGGGAATGTCTACAAGGGGTCCAGTGATGTGACCTGTTCTCAAGACTCCGTAATGAGTAGCAACAACAGCTCTCATGGGGGTGACAGGAGAATGACATAGACTCTGTGAGATTTCTTGATTATAAGTAGCCTTGGTGCATTGGCTTTTCTGTAATGCCACCTGTAGTAGTAATGAACTGGTCGCATGGACAGACTCAGGACCTCCTAGTTAGCCAAGGTTATATAGGCAAAGGTGATAGCTTAGGTCACACACAAGTTTTCTCTTTCCTGTGCACTGTTAGTGTGCCTGCAGATGCTGTAATGGATTGTGTCAGTAGGCCTCCAGCCACAAGGTGGCACTTGAAAAAGAGCACCAGCTGGTAGCAGTGGGATTTGTGCTTGCCTTATGTTACGCAGGGGAGGTAAGCTGATGACTCAGGCAATGGGCAGGGCCATTGAGCTCTCAAAATTTTCTATTCTTTGTGTTAAGCTACCAGGGCAGATGGAGGGGCAAAGCCAGCTGGGGGCTGAATCAGGCAAGTTCACATTCTAGCTCTCTTTTGTCTGCCATGTGTGGGCAAAAGCACTGTCCCCAGTGGGGATCAGATAGTGGTCCTCTGGCTGTAGGAGTAATGTTGCAGGGAGTACCACAGCTGCCTCTGCTGCAGAGAAGCATCTGTATGAGGATTAGGGAGCAGCAGGCAGCAGTTAGCCCCACTCAGCTCCCACACACTTGGCAAAGCAGGTCTTGCACCTGCAGTGTCCCACTCGCAGCAGCTTGGTTCCAAGCAGTCAACACTCAGAACTCAACACTGCCCAAGGCCATAAGACTTCCCAGAAGAGACTGCAACCATGGCTTCCAGGTCACGCCTCTCCTAGTTGGCCCATGAAGCAGGGGCACCCAGCTCTTGCACCTATGGCTGCAGCACATTTCCCATCTGCCCCATGGTTCTGACCAAGGGGGTTTGTCTCCACTCGAGATTATATCATGAATCTCAGTTGAGAGCTTCTCTCAACCTGTGACCACTGCCTGAGTTACCTGGCTGACTTCTGTGAGGTCCCCTGTGAGATAGGATCAGGGATGGCTTTCCTCTGTCCTGCTGGGCATGCACACTAAGCCCGTCCCCATGCTGCTACTTCTCATATATGCCCCACTGCTCACTAAATCAGCTCCAGCGCTGGGTGGGATTAAGGCCTTTCCCTGTGGCCTGGATTGCTTGGTTCCCCAGTAGGAGTATATGTCCTAGAGGCAGTTTATCCCTATCTGACATTCTAGGGACTTAAAGTTTTCCTCCTGGCTCATGATTTTAGACAGCAACCTGACACTTCTTTCAAAAAGTCTGTGCTTTCTTTCAGTTTTCCTGTTAATTTTCTGTGTTGCTTCTTGGAAAAAATTTACAGTGTGAATCTCCACACACAATTCTGTCTTTCCAAATAGGAGAGGCATGCTAACAATGACTCTAATCTGCCATTTTGAGAAAAAAAAATACTGGAGGTCTTTATTATTTTTTTAATACTATAGCCCATTCTGAGTTTTCATTACAACCTCCACTCTAGTATTGTATCTACTTTTCACAAACCCCTATCTTTGGTAGCTGGATTTAATTCATTAATTTTAAAATTTTGATAAAAATTATGACATAATTATATTATTATGTATTTTCATTTGATTATCTAGGTTTATGAAACTGACTAAACTAATAATTATTTGATAATATGATTATATTCTGCCAATTCATTCTACGTGTTCCTTGGATATGTTAATAAACAATAGAAACAAGTCCAACTAAAAGACATCACTTATTCTGACTCTTGTTTTGAAAAATAAAACCTGACAAATCAAATAAAAGTAAATGAATTATTATTCAGACATCCACTTATGGTTTGGGTATATATTTTGACAGTCCATGAGAAAAATTCCTCCAAGGGTCTTCACCTCCAGACATAAAATCACTTTGTTGCTTTTCTAAAAGCTATTTTTAAAAACACCAACATCTTTTTAAATTCTCCCATCTATAAGTTGGCAAAAATATCTGTTGAGGTTTGTAAGCAACATTAACATTTTAAATAATAAATGTAATATTTAGGGGCAATTTAATTTAGTGACTCAAGGCATCTAATATTTGGTATCAGTATACGAATATTAAGAAACATTTAGCCCTTTTATTTATAGTATTTTTTATAGTAAAACAATTTCTACTTTCTATTATGCTTCTTGTTCTGTGATAGTTTACTATTTCTGAAACTTTATTTTTTACAAAATTTCAAGTTGAGTCTAAAAAAATTATATTTTGTTGTTTTGAAAAATATGTAGCCTAAAACTGTACATGCTAACAGTTGAGTTTTATCAGTGTTATTTTTACTAAACCTAATCACTATAAAATAGCTATATCTTGTGTATGTTAAAAATGTGAAATAAGATGAGAATGTATTTGCTATTCTATTAATTAAATTATATGAATTAGTAGCAACTATTAAGATGCTTTGAATATTCCCTTAGGTGGATGAGAACATGTGAGCAAGTACTAGCACAGTGGTAGATGCTTTGTAAATTGCTCTTACTTTCCTAATGATTGACAGGCTAATAGCTAAATAACTAAGATAATATAAGCACTTTCTTAGAATTTAGAGATCCACTTAAAAGACAGGTTTTCATTAGGAATTTCTGTACTTTATTTCACATTTCCATAAAAAAATTCCTCATTGCAAGAACCACTGCACCTATTATATGAAAAAACTCAAGAGAAAACAATCAGGTGACCATTACCTCTAAAACATCTGATTTGATTCAGTTATCCTATAGGAATCAAGTATCAGGCTTTACAAGATCCTCTTTTTTCAATGTTGTTTTACTGCCTAAAACAATGTTTAAGATGACTAATTCACGTTTCTTTTTGTGACTTATTTTTACTTGATCTAATTTCTAAAGTGATCTTTATGAGGTGTCTTGCCTAAAAATTTGCCTATACTTATAAATGCATTTTCACTTACTACAATCTCATTTTTTACTGTACTGTAGATGTACAGTTAGTTGAATGCATACATAATACTTTTGAGAATATATGAGGTTTTACATAAGAAGAATCATATTGAAGTGGTTATCTAGCATATCTAAAGAGGAAACAACAGAGAAGCAAGCTGGAAACAATATGTAGACATCAGTAATTATTTTAATTTCACAAGACAAACATTTATCAATCCTGTATTCAAAACCTACATATATGCTACTTAGGATGCAGAAATAGCTATGTACATTCATTGCCACCAAGGCATTTATGATCCAATTGAAGGGCAAATACAAACACAATGAAGTTTCTTTGTGTAGCAATTACACAAATAAAACTTCATAAGCTTGCCAAGAAAAGCAAGAACGAAGAAAGGAAAGAAAGAAGGAAGAAAAACAAATGGCAAAACAGAGCAATATTTAAATGTGGTTATGATTCAGCCAACCATTACATTTAATGATAATGTGCCTGTTTGGGAAAGAAAATAGAAGAATTAACTGAATGCCAAGGGGAGGGGGAAGGAACAAATGAAAAAATCAAAACAAAATAAAACTGTGAAAGATAATTAATGGGAATAGAAAAAATTATGTACAAAAAGCATTTTATTTGGAGAGTAATTTAGATCTTTAGGAATATATTGGCTATATTCAAGTTCCTATACTTAAGTGCTATACAATAATAATTAAAGGTACCAGATTTAGTAAAGGGATTTTGCACCATGAACTTTTTTTTCCTGTAAAGATACAAATATATCTCCTTAGTAGAACAGATAACCTCACAGATTTATGACACTGTTATATATCAATCTATATTTATTTATTTAACCAAGCAATCTTAATGTTATTTTGCTAAATTGCTTCTAAATGTCCCAGTTTCTCAGATTCCCTTTGTGTCATTTAAAACATCTATTTGTTATTTATTAATTCAAGTTAATATCTTTAAAACCTATTCATTTTATATTTGTCTGAGAGCTATGATTTTAAGCTTCTAAAGATTATATTTTAATAGAAATCAGGGACTAGTTACCTTTAATCTGGGGGAGATACTACATATTTTAAAGCCTGAAGTCAATGTCTAGACAAAAGTTTCTGCTTAACATCAAAGGGTATGCAACATTGGCTGTGGCTCTCAAATATTAAGAAAGGAAAACACAACTGGGAATTTGTCACTAGCACTTTATTCTTTACTCAGGATTGAAGTAGAATTTTTTAACGCCAATATTTTTCAGAAACTTTAAACATTAGAAATAAAATAAAAACTAGCCCAATTCCAATATTCCCCATGGATTTCCTAGCAGAAGAAATGTGAAACTCTTATGGAGAAATAATCCAATATTGCAAACACAAGGATTTGCCACTACAGAAACTAACAAGTTAAATTGAAAACTATATTAAAAATAAATTCACAAACAAAAATTACAAAATACACAATGAAAAATAATATACATGCCAGGCGCGGTGGCTCACGCCCGTAATCCCAGCAATTTCGGAGGCTGAGGCGGGTGGATCACCTGAGGTCAGGAGTTCAAGACCAGCCAGGCCAACATGGCAAAACCCCGTCTCTACTAAAAATACAAAAAATTAGCCAGGCATGGTGGCAGGCGCCTATAATCCCAGATATTTGGGAGGCTGAAATAGGAGAATTGCTTGAACCTGGGAGGCGGAAGTTGCAGCAAGCTGATATTGCACCATTGCAACCCAGCTTGGGCAACAAAGTGAGACTCTGTCTCAAAAAAAAAAAAAAAAAACCAGCAATAAGAGTCAGCAGATGTAAAACAGCAGAATTAAAAGTATGTGTAAAAATAGATGAATAATTTGAAAAAAATTATAAAATTAATAATATCTAATGAACATACATAAACACTAAAGACATTTAAAAAGAAATGAAGAGCAGATTTGGCAAAGGATATCCAAAAATAAAAATATAGTAATTGAATTTAAAAACCTATGAGATATGGATGATTAAAATTAATATAATAAATATATATCACAGAGAAATAAAGTTATCAATATAGAGCAAGATGGACAAAAATTATTATTATATTAGATACTTTGGGTGCATTTAAGATGGTATTGAGGCAATATCTAAAGGTAATAACTGGAAATTTTCTGTAAGTCATTAAAGAAAAAAAATTTTCACATTCAGGAATTGGACAAGTTCTGAACAGATTTGATAAAAATAAATCCAAACTAGAAAGAACACTGATTTGGTGAATATTTTAAAAAGAAGCTAGTTCACTGAAAAACTAATACAATAATGCAATGGCATACCAAGTTCCAAATGCAAAATATACAGTGCAAGATAGAATACTATACACAGTGCTGAGACTTTTTGGGTCTACAGAATTTTAAGAAAGCACACTCATGGATTCATTGAACAACCTTTTTAAAGTAACAAAGAAAGAAAAAAGAAAACACTAAAAAAGACAAGTGTGAGAAGCAAGTGGCAACTGTAAACCTGTTAAATGTAAGGGTAAATCTAAATAAGCATTAATTATTTGAAAATGTGAGGCCAGGAGTCCAGTCCAACCTGGGTAACAAAGTGAGGCATGAGTTACAATTAAAATACTAGAAAAGTATTGACCATTTCAATTAAATGTTCCTTTCAAATCACTGATTATTTTCATGTTCCAAAATTTAAAGGTTAATTTTTTATTCTCATTTTATTGATCTATCAGTAGTCTCTTTTTCTTTAATTAAAAAACAAACAAACAAAAACACATAAACAAACAAACAAAAAAACCCAGCTTTTTTTCTTTGGCTTCCAGAACACGTCCTCTTGGCTTTCTTCTTATGTCTTTGTATGCTATTTCTTAGTCTTTGGAACACTTCTGTGTCCACCCCCACTCCCTTGATGAGTTCTCACAGAGCCATGGTTTACAATATTGTTTATGCTAAGAACTTGCAAATTTGTACCTCTACCTCTTACTTCTCTTCTAAATGCCAGGCTCTTACATCCAACTTCTTATGCTGTCTTCTTTTGAGAAGCTAATAAACATCTCAACTTTGAAATGCACATTCTCACCTACGACCATTTGTCTCAAAGCAAAAATCTTAGAGTCAATCCTACTTATTTTCTTTGTCAAGAATTGCACATCCCACCTTTCAGTGAGTCTTGCTGCTTGCTCTACATTCAGAATCTATCCAAAGTTAGTCACTCTCTTAGTCTCTCCCAGAAACAGATCCCAGTAAAAACATTCAATCAGAAGTAATTTGGGATGTAGAGAAAAACTGTATTCTTTTTCTTCCCTCAGCCTTTTGATGTGTTTATTTCAATGCTATTTTTACAATGTTTCTTACTGAATACATTAATTAAAATTGTAATCTGCCACTATTACTGTGTATCCTGCCTTGCTTTATTTTCTTCACAAAATATATAACTTTTCAACACCTGTCTATATTTTATTTCTTTTGTGTCATCCTATATCTGACTGTAATCTTTACAAAGGCAAGGATTTTTTTCTTTAATATCCTAAATGTAGATGTTTGTCTCTAGTAGATTCAATGGTGCCTCCCAAAATATGATAAATATGCACATATCTTTCCATATGCTAGCCCACAGAAACTGTAGATGTGACCTAATTTTTTTGTATATATTAATAAGGATCTTGAGATGACGTCATACTGGATGATCCTAGTGCACCCTAAATCCAATAAGTGTTCTTATGAAAGACAGAAGAGGAGAAGATACAGGAAATAGAAGAAGGCTACTTGAGGATGGAAGCAGAGCTTGGAGTTATGCAGCTACAAACCAAAGAATGCCTTGAGCCACCAGCAGCTGAAAGAGGTAAAGTAGGATCCACCCATAAACACTTGAGAAGGAAAGTGGGCCTATCTATACCTTGATTTCAGATTTCTGCCCTACAGAACTGTAAGAGAATATATTTCTTTTGCTTTAAATGTTTAGGTTTGTGGTAATTTGTTATAACAGATCCAGCAAACTCATATACTAGCACTGAGCAGATATTCAATAAGAATTGATTATGAATTATAGTCATTAAGATAGTGCGGCATTGACTCAGAGATGAACAATTTGTTCACTAGACTATAGCAGAAAATTCAAAAATTCATGGTAGACTTTCGATATTTTACATATGAATTGTCGTATCACCCAGAAAAATGAATAACTATTCATAAAATAGCAGTGATACATTTGATTAACATATAGAAAAATTGTAAATTGTATTCTATCATCACATTAACTTCAAATGTGAAAGACATCTTGTATCACTTTTAAAGAAAATATAAAATATATTTTATTTAGTAAAATTGAATTTGTAGAATGATGACTTTTTTTTTACTTTACTGCTTAATACTTGAGAAATTCTCCTCTTTGATGAGGCTATTAGAAAACAGGAACTCTAACAATTATATAGTGGGAAGATAAATTCATACAACGACTTTGGAAAGCTACTTGACAATGTAAGGATGAAAGTGCCCAAAGTTGTAAAATTTCCCTGCTCTATGTGTATCCTATGAAAATTCTAATATATATAAACAACAAAACAATAAATATTTATTGTAGCTTTGTTTTTAACATTTACAATGGTAAATATAAAAATGCCAATATTTCCTGATATGAAAATTGATAGCTTTATATTATATATATAATGAAATCCCATATAGAAATTAAACAAAAACAGATACCCAAGTATCAGCTGGAATGGTTCTCAAAAATATCATAGTGAGATTATAAAGCATGTGTTGAAATAATACAGAGAAAACAATAACATCTTATTTAAATTTGAAGATACAAACACTACTGTATGCTGTGTAAAATATTCTATACACAGACCTGTACTCAAAAATAGAGAAATATACAAGGGGATGCTAAACAATTTTAGCCTGTAGTTATCCCTTGTAGAATTTCTTATAATCTTGTTTCTGGTTATGTTGCTGTATCAATTATTTTTCAGTTTTGGGTATGTGTGAAATATTTCATAAAAGGAAGTTGGACGTTTTAATAATACATTGACTTTAAGAGGAGGAAGAATAGGTGATTGGGGTATTTTGTTATATACCAACACATGACTGAAATAATCATCTATTCTAATTCTGTTCAGTTCAGTGGAAAGTCTTTGAAGCTTTTTTAACAGAGTTGCAGTTTGTCATATCTTTGAGAACATTGTGTTAGATTAAGTGGAACAGGAATGCTTAGAGGGAAGGAGATTAAAATAATGTGTTGTATGGATATTTGAGGTGACATACAATAGAACTGGAAAATAAAGAAACTTCATGAAAAATAGTATAAAAAGAGACATAAATGACTTACCAATTGACTGCTGTGTTTGATAGATGGGAATTGTAGTCGTAACATTGGATGAAATAGGAAAGACAGACTAGTAGAGCTCTTTGGAGGCAAATTCTATAAGTTCTTTTTACATTTTGAGTGGAAGTTTTCACTTTTAAATGAAATGCATATGGATAAAAAATAAAGGTAAATATAGTTATTATGAAATTGTCAACATAAAATGAGAGTTGATGCATAAAAATGAATAGACTGGAAAAAGGGAACTTTTTAAATATAAAAAAATTGCCTCTTTTCTGACAGTATTCTTTCTTCTTAAACTTCATGAGTATTCCTGGACATTAAAGTGAAAAAAAACTATCATAAAACTATGACTCTATCATACTGTAACATTTCAGGGCCCACATTATTATACCTCCTCTCTCCATCTTGCATGACTGTTTAAAATGGTTCTGTTTGATACACTGACACTCAATTTCTTTTTATATGGAATGTAATTTGGGAGATTCTCTAAACAATCTGTATAATGGCAGACATGGAGTACAACTGAAATTAGAAATATTCTGTTGTAGTTTCCATTCTTTCTTAAAGGTTTTAACATTTTGTTATGAACATGACAAGCCTTATTTTTTTTTCCACACATAGAAGGAACACGATATAAATAGAACAAAACACTGTGAAATACTGCAAATGTAGAATAATTATTTGATCTCATGCACACACCTCGGTAATTTAAATTAAATTCTATAAGTAAATGACTAAATATTTTAAAATTAACTACTTTAAATTAAGATGTATTTAGAAATAATTTTAATGTTATTGAAATTTTTTTAAAAACCTATTGTAATATAAGAAATCATGATATAATGCAAATACTACATATTTTCAGAAAATTTGGTAATGAATATCATCTCCCAAAAAACCATCTTAGTCATCGCATAAAATTCTACAAATGATATCTGATTTTAATTTAGAGGAAAGTACATGAACTGAAAGTCCCAACTGAATAAATGCTTAAAAAAGGATGATTTAAAAAAATTTAAAGGTAACATTTATTAATTAAAATAATTCTGATAGAAAATCCTAACAATGTACATTATTGTCTAGATTTATAATTCCGTAAATTAAATATACATCCCCCTGCAAGTGGCAATACTTCAAAAATTAATTCTAGTTTACAATTTAGTATAAAATAATGTATTAGAAGTGTCCCTGAAAGATGGAGTTTAATGGAGAAAAATGAGGAATATTATGAGTATCAGGACATGGAGAAGAGTAAAAAGTCAATATTGTGGGACAAATTAAATGACATAAAAAAATCACCTTTTTTCATTTGATATAATGTAATGGTTATAAAATATCTCCTCAGAGTTCTTCAACTGTCATTTCATTGAGATGTGGGGACTGGGGTCTCTGACCTTGAATCTGGGAGGACTTTTAACTTCTTTGACTAAGAGAATACAAAAAAAAGCAATGCTGTGTAACTTTTGAGATCTGGCCTAAATCGACAATCTGACTTCTGCTCACTTTTTTTCAGAATCCTCCGTCTCAGGAGGGCCCCAGTATTGCCAGGCTGGGAGAAACCCAAACCATGAGGATAGACCACGAATAGGAGTTCTGGTTGACAATCCCAGTTCATTCCTAGCTTCAAATACACAAGGCCAAGTGCCAGATATGGGCATAAAAAGCAATTTTGGAAGTGGACACTCCAGTCCCAGCTGTCCTAGCCCTCAGCTATTTGAGTTGCATCCAGACATGTAAATCTTCCCAGCTGAGGCCTCATCATTGAGGTGCAGAAAAGGGGCATGCCCACTGTGCCTGTTTCTAAATTCCTGACCCACAGAACCTGTGAGCATAATACAAGTTTACTATTTTATACCAGTAAGTTTGGGGTATAGTATTATGCAACAATACAACCTGATATACAAAAAATCTCTTCTTTGTTACATAAACTCTATATAAACTGGCATATGCTTAGTTCTTAAACCTCTCTCCAATCTCCTTCTCTTTCCCCATACTCAAACTAATCTTTTTTTTTCTGCTCCTTCAACAAACCAGCACTTGTATTTACACATTAGATAAATTGCACCATTAACTTAAAAAACACAATTTCCAAGATTTTTACAAAACTGTGTCTTATAGTTTAAAGTATCTCAGCCTTTAAGTATCACTTGTTAGATAACATTTAGTTGCCAATCTTTTTATAATTGCTTTCTCTTACTCTACTCCGTAGCTTACAGTCCTTCCTGCCATATTTATCGTATTTGTATAACAGATCAAAATCTGTGGTTATCTATTTATTTACCTAATTTTCAGCTCTCTCCACTTATTATCATATAAGTTACAAACATTTCAGGTCATATCTTCGGTTTACCACACTATGCCAGTAGCTTAAATATCACATTACCCATACTAGCCACTCAAAAATATTTACTATGGAATTAATGGAACTCTAAATTTAATCTGGTCTCCAAACTAAATATATGGCATAAGTATCAATATAGGTTTCAGGTAGATAGGGTTTAGCTATAAGGAATACAGGGTGCAACTAAAAGCAGTTTTCACCGGCAAGATGTTTACTTACTTCTACAAAAGACAGGAGTACAAGCCAGGACAGGATAAGAAGAGCAGCCACACAGGGACGCTGAAGATTTGTTATACACATGCAGGGACATTAATAGCATTTCCTTAGAAAGAGGTATGCTATAAGATAGCATGATGCCTGTAGCACCCTGAGACATGATTGCTCATATTGCAGCCAAGAAAAATAGGAAAGGCTGAAGCAGCAAAGGGCAAAGGGGCAAAAGGCCAAAGCCATGCAGGCCAAGTTTGTGCTTTTTTAAAGGCTTTACCGGGAACCTATCTTATGATATCCATTTCAATGTCACAAAATTCACATGGCCACACTAAGAAACATGGATATTTTACTTTCCAAATAAAAAACTAGGAAGAGAAGTTTACATTTGCATAGCCTATCAATAGTGTCTGCCAAGATATTTCCATTTTTTAGTGTATCAGAAAATTGGGCACACATGACTAACATACTTTTTTCATTTTAAATAGAAACAAATGCGTGTGCATATATATATGTAAAATATACATATTTATATGTGTGAAAATATGTGTGCATGTATGTGTGTGTGTGTGTGTAAAACCAATCAACTTCTGCTGAAAAACTTCTGTAAAACTCATTTTTTTTTTTCCAGTATGTTTCCTCTGAAGACAATCTTCACATCTAGGGAATATTAATGGTAATAATAACAGCATTGATTTATTGAGAGTTTTCCTATGTAACAATTACTATACAAGTATGCCATTTAATCTATTTCTCTAGTTTCAATATTAATATTGGTACTTAATAAATGAGTAAACTGAAAATAATAAGTTTAAAATCTTTTTTCACAGCTAGTCAGCAATACAACTGGGATTTGATATCAGATTCATACGATTCCGAAGACCCTGACCACCAAATGCAAAAGGTACATGGCAACAGCTGATTGCAATGAGAGAAAAACAACTAATAAGGCAACAAGCAGGATACTAAGATATTTTCCAAAATGAATAGCACTGATTCTGTGAGGAATGAACATTGCCAAACAAGTGTTTTGTTTTGTTTTTCAACTCCTCTAAAAAAATTCACATATATGCATGCCACTTTCCTGAAAAATATCTGCCTCATAATTGCCATAAGAAACGGTATGGACAACTCTTAAACATTCTGAAAGTAGTCAGGGATGGGGGAAAGCATTTGCTGTTTTAGTCTGTTCCTGGTCTTATAACAAATACCACAAACTGGGTAATTTATGATTACAGAAATGTATTTCTGAAAGTTCAGGAGTTGGGAAGTTCAAGATTATGGCACCAACATATTCATTGTCTGATGAGGGCCTGTTTCATAGATGTCATTTTGCATGACTTAATCACATGGTAGGAAAAGCAAAGGGACAAAATGGACAAATGCCATGTTGTCACATGGCAGAAGAAATGGAAGAGCCAGGAAGCTCTCAGAAGCTTCCTTAATTAGGATATTAATCTCATTATGAGTGCACAGCCATCATGACTTAATTGCCTCCAAAGGCCCCACTTCCTCATCACTTTGAGGATTAAACTTAAACATGAATTTGGAGGAAATATATTCAAACTCTAGGACTAGTTTAAATGTAGCTAAAAAGGTTTCTTCATTCTGTAATCGTTAATATGCTAATATTTTTGTAAATATCCAAGAGGAAGCTAAAGCATATAATATTCCAAAATTTATTTCTGTTTGTGGATATTATGTTTTCCTCTCATTCTATCTTAAGAAATTAGTGTCCTCAAGAAACACTATATAGGATAATTGTCTTTCAAGTTCATCAACTACCGGTTCTTGATTCTTCAGTAGCTAATCCTAGATAGTAATACTTAACAGATTATAAAAACTTGGGTGCTGCTATATAAATGCGCTGAAACTCCCAGGGAACCAAACATAAGGACTTAAAGAGAGATGTAACTAGGGATCATAATCATGAATTTCAGCTGCTTCTCTATCTTTGTCAGTGAGCAAATGACCATACAAAATAAGGTATTCAATTATTAATTCTGTGCCCATATCCCGGAATTTTGCCCAATATATTTGTAAGTTTAGATAAATAAGGCACTAATGCCAGGGATATGTAGCATTAGTTCTGGGTTTATAAAGGGATATTCACAACCTCTTGCCATCCACAGAATTTATCAGCCCAAAGTAAACTATACTCGTTAGTTAAGGGCAACCTGAGACATGTTTAAAACTGAGGTGGACTGAAGAGTCAACTAATTGCGGGAATCTTTTATTTGGCTGAAATGTTCAAACAAGTCCCACTCTGAATTCTATTAGAAGTCCATCATTGGCTTCTCTCTCTTTCTCACTGTCTTAAATCATGTATTTTATAACACTATGAAGAATGAAGTTCAAAAGAATAAGCTAAATTTAATTAATTAAATTATTTATTTATTTATTTTGAGACAGAGTCTCACTCTGTCACCCAGGCCAGAGTTCAGTTGCACGATCTTGGCTCAGTGCATCCTTCACCTCCTGGGCTCAAGAGATCCTCCTGAAGCAGGGTATTTCCCTGACCCCTTCATGGGACTCGTGACAGGGGTGCCCCATTTACTCAGCCCACTGCTCTCAACTCCTCAAGGGAGGGAGTGCGCAATTGAACAAGGCAGGAACTGGAGTACACGAGTGTTGGAACCAGTGGCCTCTTTGGTGCCAGAAGGAGTGAACTCACCCACTCTGACCTGCTGTGTTCCACCTCTTGCAGGAGAGAGCATGCAGGTGAGCAGGTACAGGAGCCAGGAAGAGAGCTTTGGGGTGTTGGCAGGAGCAAACTCCATGTGGGCCCCATAGCAGCCCCTGGGGTTAGGGGGGTGCCTGTGATTCCTGAAGCCCCTGTGGGCATATTACAGTGCTCCTTTAGCTCTGCCGTCTTCAGACAGCTGAAGTGTTAGCAGCTCAGCATGCCTTTTTGTATCCACACTCACTCCTGAGCTCTTGTTTGGCATCCAGGAAAAAATCAGCTCACAGAAACGAATTGAAGGATGGTAAATGCAGAGGATTTTATTGCCAAGGAAAGTGGCTCTCAGCAGGAAGGGCAGCTGGGAAGGAGATGTAGCAGGAAGGTTTCTGGCTGGACTCTTCTCCAAAGTTGCACTGTCAAGCTGTCTCTCTGAAATCAAGCTGCTTCTCTCCAACGTCCAACCGTAGTCTCTGATGCCCAGCTGCTGCTTCTCTTTTGATGTTCAGCTGCTTCTCTTTTTTGCTAGCTGAGTCTGGGGTTTTTATGGGCACAGGATGGGGGACAGGGGAGGTCATGGGTAATTTTGTAAAAGGCAACATTTGAGTGGGAAAACAGGAATGTATGTTCTCACTTTGGGCTTTGGTTCCAGGCTTGAGGGTGGAGCCGTTGCCAGGGACCTGCCCTCTTTTGCCCAGAATTTCCCTGCCTCCCTTCCCTATCACTCCCACCCCATCACTCCCACCTCAACATCCTGAGTAGCTGGGATTATAGGCGCACACCACCGCATCTGATTAATATTTAAATTTTTTGTAGAGACAGGGTTTTGTCATGTTGCCCAGGCCGGTCTCAAACCCTGGGCTCAAGTGATTTGCCCACCTCAGCCTCCCAAAGTTCTGGGATTACAGGTGTGAGCCAGTGTGCCTGGCCCTAAATAATATTTATATGGGCATTTTGTAATTATTATTTTTTAATAATATAAATGTTTCCTTTTTAATATGAATTTTTCAAGAGTTTTATAATTGACTGATTATTCATTAAAATTTAATGAAGGACAGGAATTGGCTATTTTTCTGAATGACAAAAATTAGGAAATTTTTAGAGAGATGATGAATTTATCCTAGAATGTATGGAAAGAGTAAATCTTGTTATATAGAACAAGCAACTTTCCAATCCGAAGGATCTTAGAATAATAAAAATTTTTTTTCTTATAATTGTTTTCTTATAATTGTTTCAAAGTAATACTTTAGACCAAAAATTGTATATCTCAGTAGGTGGCCTATATGATAATTAAAAAATTAAAAGCTAAGTTAATTAAATTTTTAATTAATTTAATTTTTATTAATTTTAATTATCAATCTTCATTGAAGAATTTTGTCCAAAAAATGTGGACAATATGTGTCATAAGGATTAATCACCATAAAATAGTCCCCAAAGGAAATTAAAGGACTGATTAGATAGTACTAAAATAACAATCATACAAAGTAGAAAGTGGTGTTATAAGAGAAATGTAGATAAAATATTGTAAGAAACTAAAGTAGGAAGATAATGTTTTGAGTTGTGGGAGATCAGGGAAGGTTTTTTGGAAAAAGTAACGTTTAAGCTAGATCTTAGAGAGACATGACTTAATAGAAAAGTAGGCAAAAAAATATGAATAACCCTTTCAGATTACAGGCAATACAAATTATGATAAATATAAAAAAATTCTCACTTCACTAATAATCAAGTAATTGAATTAAACAATTGGATACCATTTTTTCTTCAGCAGACTGGCAAAACATAAGATGTTAACAAGGGTTTTGAGGGTACAGGGAAGAGGGTAGGCTCAAACTATGCTGGTATCAATGTAACCAAGATCTCCTTTGGAGTACAATTGTTATATAGTCTACATTCTGTAAAAACTAAACACATATGTTTGCCTTTCCACTTTTGGAAATACATGGTAGATAATCATGCAAGAATGTCAATTGCAGTATTGTGTTGTAATTTTTAAAAATACTCTAGATATTCATCAATATATAACTACAAATAAAAATAGTTGGACTATCATGCAGACTACAATGCCTCTATTGTGGCATAATAGTTAATAATACAATCTCTGAGAGCAGAATATCTGGATTTGAATAATTTGCTCTCCCTCCAAATGACCTTGAGCAAAGTACTTACAATCTTTTTCTCTCTTCCATAAAATGGAGATAACAGCATTGCCAATTTATTAGCATGTCATGATGATTAAATGAGATAATCCATATATCACACCAAGTACCCACTACGTAATAAGCAACTAATTAAATTTGACTAATATTAATAATTTCATTATTATTCATCTTAATATCATGGCATGACTTCTAAGGTATATTATTAAATAGAAAAAGAGAAGTTTTAAACTGAGCCATAGTTTAGAACTTGACTTAAAGCAGACTCACAAAGCAAATGCTCATATCTAGGACAGGTAAATCTACACGTGTTTATACACACATTCACTGTATTTGGGGAAAATACACACCAAACTGGAAACACTGGTTGTCTCTGAAGAAGAGACAGGGCTTTGGCAATATTCAAATTAGGCTTTAACTGTTTCTGAAAGTTTCAGTTCTCTATAAGGAGAAGGTGTTACTTATGTAATTTTTAAAAATTACATATTAAGTACTAAATGACTGAAGCTTCTTAGAATTGATGGGGGCAGGCATCACATGGGCAGCAAGGCATTCACATAATGGAGAATCATGGTCTCCTGTAGATGTCTAGGAGTGATAAAATTAACTACCTTTTAGGTGGTGTAGTTTCCTGGTTGAGCTGATAATTATTAAGTTAATGATTAGTAGGTTATTTCTCAACACCGAAGAGATTATTAGTGTTTCAAAGTTTTCACTGTAATTCATCTGTAAAACCATTCAACCTACTTCCAGTACACCTCAGTAATCTGGTGACAAGAGAGTATTCTTGCTCACTTTATTTACTCTTCAGTGATCTAATGCCAATAATGCCAGCCTATAGAAACAACAGCCAATTATAACAAAAAGCACATTAAAAAGTCAAATATAGCTGGGTAATAGACATAAAAATACCTTATTAACATTTTTATAACACTCTGAACTGAAATAAACAGACCACTCTCGATTTTAGCATCTGGTTCCAAACAATTCTTGTTTGGGTGATAACTTTTTAAAAACAAATGTTGGGCATCTTTCATCGACTTTTCATCAAGTAACAGCTGTTCCTTTAGAGCAAAATGTATGCATGTTGGAAGTGTGACTGATGCTCACTTCTGTTTTGTTCTGTGTGAGAAAGCTTTATGTTGGGTGCAATTCAGAAAACAAATGGTTTCAAATCTTTTGAATAGATGCCATAGCACAGTTTAAATGCAGCTTCTTGTGATTTTTAGAATAATTTCAGCCACAATTTTTACATTCAATTTATAACTATACTAAGACATTCTCCTTCAGAACAAAGGCATTTCTGTTTTCATGTGCTCTTGGGCATCTTCGGGTCATTCATTATATCAATCATTTATCTTCGTAAAGTGTTTGGCTATGAACAATTACTTACTACACCAAAGCATGAAAGAAATAGATACAGCTCATCTGCTCTTGAATGCATTTCTACAGATTCCCTTAGGATAATTCCTGTTTCAACTTAAGCTATTAAATTTTTTGCTGCATTCAAATCACCTCATCTGCTGAAACATGTGGAGACAAATAACCACAGACGTTTGCATGAAGGTTCAGGTGTATTTAAGGGCAGCTTAATTATAAGACACTATGAAATTCTCCTAATTAATTTGGAGCTAAATATTCTACATCAAATATTTTACAAAACTTAAAGAAATATTTACTTTTCACATGATTACGATTTTGATACTAGGTTAAAAATGACTTATACTGGCATTTTTTAAACAGTTTAAGACAAATAATGTTTTTGATACTGTTTATTATAACATATGAAAAGTCTTTATGCAGATATACTCTATTTTATCGTCTGTTCATTTCATGTTGCATTTGCATGCACTCCTGAATTACTTGTTACTAAAACATACAGAACAAACAGAAAGTTAAAATTGGTTAATTTCTATCTAATCTGGATAAGATAAACACAATGAGTGAAATAAATCATTATGTCAAATAACAAAAACCTCATGCATAGAAACTTCAACATTTCTGAATAACAAAAAGTATAACATTATGTAGGGCAATGTTCCACTTTTGTATCAACTAGAAATAAGCCCTGAATCTGAATGATGAAATTTTAATAGTAACTGTTGACCACAGGGCAGAGTTTACTCTCTTGGTCAGATGCTTTTGTGAATGACACAAACTGTGTGTCCAGATCACTTTTCCCTATAATCACTTCAAATTACTTGACTTTTTGATCTCTTCCTTTTTTCTGTCTCTTTTTTGTCCACAACAGATATTCCAAATATCCACCGAGTTTTCAAATACTCCAGTCCATATTTGGTCTTCCCATTCCTAGCAGAAGTACTTTGTCTTCTACTTCCCAGAATAATGTTAATTCTCTTATTTTAGACTTGCTTGCTTTAATTTGTATTTATTCTTGGCTTTTTTTCTTTCCATCTCACAGGATAAGAGGGCATCTCTTCTTCCATATTCATAAATACGTTGCCAACAGGAATTTGTTGTTATTTACACTTTCTTCTCCTAGACATTTTAATTTTACTTACCTTCCCTGAGCACATGGCAAAGTCAAAACACAAGCAGAATCTTACTTATGAATAGAGGCAGATTTATTAAGCCAGGGGTAGGCAAACTATAGCCAATGAGCCAAAGCCAGGCTGCCACGGGTTTTTATAAATAAAATTTTATAGGAACTCAGCCACAGACATTCCTTTACATATTGCCTACAGCTGCTTAAGCACTACAAAGGCAAAGTTGCATATTTACAACACAAATAATATGGCCTGCAAGCCTAAAGTATCTACTATCGTGCCCTTTATAGAAAATGTTTATCAGCTTTTGTTCTCTTATCCTAAGTTATGAGGCTTACATTTCCGGCCACCTCATTTGCATTTGAGTTTCCAGTTTTGAGTTTGTAGTTTTGTATTCTTGCTTAAAGAGCCCCAAACCCTGACCGCCAAATTGAATGTGCTGTAGATCCCACAAAATATGGATCCAATCAAGCTGATGCCATGTCATTATCTGTAGCTTTTATTCTTTGCCATCACACACCTTCCTTGAACAGTTAGGCTTCTGCAAAAAATCTTAAATAATCACTGATATGGGTTGGTTCTGTGTCTTCACCCAAATCTCATCTTGTAGCTCCCATAATTTCCACGTGTTATGGGAAGGATCCAGTGGGAGATGTCTGAATCATGAGGGCACGTATGTCCCATGCTGTTCCCATGATAGTGAATGGATCTCACGAGATCTGATGGTGTTAAAAATGGGAGTTTCTCCACACAATCTCTTTTTTGCCTGCTGCCATCCATGTAAGATGTAGCTTACTCCTTGCCTTCCACCATGATTATGATGCCTCTCCAGCCATGTGGAACTGTAAGTCCAACAAACCACTTTCTTTCGTAAATTGCCCAGTTGCAGGTATGTTTTTATCAGCAGCATGAAAATGAACTAATACAGTAAATTGTTACCAGTAGAGTGGGGTGCTGGTGGAAACATATCCAAAAATATGGAAGCGACATTGGAACTGGGTAACAAGCAGAGGTTGGAACAGTTTGGAGGACTCAGAAGAAGACAGGAAAATGTGGCCAAGTTTGGAACTTCCTAGAGACTTGCTGAATGGCTTTGAACAAAATGCTGACAGTGATATGGACAATGAAATCCAGGCTGAAGTGGTCTCAGCTGGTGATAAGGAACTTGTTGGGAACCGGAGTAAAGGTGAATCTTGCTACATTTTAGCAAAGACACTGGTGGCATTTTGCCCGGCCCTATAGATTTGTAGAACTTTGAACTTGAGAGAGATGATTTAGGGTATCTGGCAGAAGAAATTTCTAAGCAGGAAAGCACTTAAAATGTGAATTCGGTGCTGTTGAGGGCATTCAGTTTTATAAGGGAAGCAGAGCATAAAAATTTGGAAAATTTGCAGCCTGACAATGCAATAGAAAAGAAAATCCCATTTTCTGAGGAGAAATCCAAGCCAACTATGGACATTTGCATAAGATAATGGGGAAAATGTCTCCAGGGCATGTCAAAGGTGGAGACCTTAGCCTCTCCCATCACAGGCACAGAGACCTAGGAGGAAGAAGTGGTTTTGTGGGCTGGGCCCAGGGTTCCTTTGCTGTGTGCAGCCTAGGGACTTCATCCCCTGCATCACAGCAACTCTAGCTATGGCTGAAAGGGGACAACATAGAGCTCAGGCTATGGCTTCAGAGGGTGCAAGCCCCAAGCTTTGGCATCTCCCATGTGGTGTTGAGCCTACGAGTGCACAGAAGTCAAGAATTGAGGTTTGGGAACCTCTGCCTAGATTTCAGAAGATGTATGGAAACGCCTGAATGCCGAGGCAGGAGTTTGCCACATGGGTGGGGTCCTCATGGAGAACCTCTGCTAGGGCAGTGCAGAAGGAAAATGTGGGGAGGGAGCCCCCACACAGAATCCCTACTGGGGCACCACCTAGTGGAGCTGTGAGAAGAGGGCCACCGTCTTCCAGACCCCAGAAGTGTAGATCCACTGACAGCTTGCACTGTGTGCATGGAAAAGCTGCAGACACTTAACACCAGCCCATGAAGGCAGCCAGGAGGGAGACTGTACCCGGCAGAGCCAGAGGGGTGGAACTGCCCAAGACCATGGGTATCCACCTCTTGCCTCAGCGTGACCTAGATGTGAGACATGGAGTCAAAGGAGCTTTAGATTTGACTGCCCTTCTGGATTTCAGAATTGCATGGGGCTTGTAGCCTCTTTGTTTTGGCCAATTTCTCCCATTTGCAATGGCTGCGTTTACCCAATCCCTGTACCCCTGTAACCCCATTGTATCTAGGAAATAACTAACTTGATTTTGATTTTACAGGGTCATAGGTGGAAGGGACTTGCCTTGTCTCAGATGAAACTTTGGACTGTGGACTTTTGAGTTAATGCTAAAAAGAGTTGACATTTTGGGGGACTGTTGGGAAGGCATGACTGGTTTTGAAACATGCAGATATGAGATTTGGGAGGGGCTGGAGTGAAATGACATGGTTTGGCTCTGTGTCCCCATCCAAATCTCATCTTCTAGCTCCCATAATTTCTGTATGTAGTGGGAGGGACCTGATGGGAGAAGACTGAATCATGGGGGCAGGTCTTTCCCATGCTGTTCTCATAATAGTGAATGGGTCTCACAAGATCTAGTGGTGTTAAAAACAGGATTTTCTCTGCACAAGCTCTTTTTTTGCCTGCTGCCACCCACATAAGATGTGTCTTGCTCCTTTTTGCCATGATTGTGAGTCCTCCCCAGCCATGTGGAACTGTATGTCCAATAAACCATTTTCTTTTGTAAGTTGTCCAGTCATGGGTATGTCTTTATCAGCAGTGTTAAAATGGACTAATACAATCACTCTATCAAATGAGATAATATTTATTCCTTTACCACTGACAACTCTCTCTCGGCTCTTCTATTCAATCATGTTACTGATAGACGCTTTGCTTTTTGTTTTTGTTGTTTAACCTGATTGTTATAGCTTATTTTATGAATTTCTGTTCTTCTTTTAATTTTACAACAATTTTACTATTTCTCCTTACATGTTTATAAGTCATATGGAGACTCCTTCTCATCTACCCTGACCCCAGAATATTAAAACTTTTCAGAGTTTCAGGATTAATTCCATTATATGGACATGATTCCTTGAGATAGGAAAAACTGATTGGATTGTGACATTAGACTTATCAGAATCTAAGATCTTACAAAATATAAAGCTTTACTAGTAATTTCACGAACTCAGGTAATCATTAGGCATGGGCAAATCAGAGAATTATTTAGATCTCTTAATCTGATTCTTTAGATCCTTGGTTCTGTCATTAGATACTCCCTTGCCCAGGCAGATAGATGAGACTTCTAGAGAGGTATGCCGACAATTTATTTACATGGAGATACCTGGCTCAATTATCAAATATCTTAATTTTTATGCAGATAGTTACATATGTGGTATATGTGACATTTTCCAGGGAGCCCCATAAATCCACAACCTTCTACTTTGTTAACCATAAGCAATTCTAAACGACCAAGTACATTCTGCTAAAAGCATTTCTGTGATAGATAATCACTCTCCTGCCAGCAAAAAAACAAATTGTTTGTCAGGAGCTGTCATTAGTATGTTTATATAAGCAAAATGGGCTTCCTTCCTTCTGTGGATCCTGGCAGGGCATCTCAGTAATCAGAAAGAATCAAAGACCCTTTCCTTCCCAATCTGCTCTGGCCTTGGTCAACATCTTAGTGCCAAATATTGCTGGTGTATTATCATTATTGGCTTACACCATTTTCTGCAGTGTTTCACTTAAGCCAACTAATACTCTGACCTTGATTTGAACCATCCAACAGAGAGTAGGAATTCCCTCCACAAAGCATGTTACTCATTAACATCTTCCTTTACAAGTCTCTTGATGTTCATTCACAAACTCAATTACCTTTTACCTCCATCAACCTCAATTATTTGCATCATTTTCCATGGGCCTATGGGAGTATTTAATTGAATACATATTTTTTCTTCTCAAATCAAATTTTCTGAAAAAAATTTGTTTCTATGAACTGTATTTTAGGTATATTCCAGGTTGGTACAAACACTAATTTTCAGGGGTCATTATGTCAAAGAGCCCATCCACACCCCATGGCCTACATATGTCAAAGGATTGTTCTTTATTCATCCACTTTCTATGAATTCCACACACGGGAGATAAACTTCTTTTTCATCCATATTACCAGGGTTGTCAGGGAGCAACACTGAAGGTCACAGTGTTCAGTGAAACCTTGCCGTAACTTAGACTAAACACGTTTTTCCCATAATTTTACTTCTTCAAATTCTTTCTTTCTTTTTCTTTCTTTCTCTTTCTTTCTTTTCCTTTCTTTCTTTCTTTCTTTCTTTCTTTCTTTCTTTCTTTCTTTCTTTCTTTCTTTTTCTTTCTTTCTTTCTCTTTCTTTCTCTCTTTCTCCTTTTCTTTCTCTCTCTCTCTCTCTCTTTTTCTTTCTTTTTCTTTCTTTTTTTTTTTTTTTGACAGGGTTTCACTCTTGTCACCTGGCTGGAGTGCAGTGGCACAATCTCGGCTCATTGCAACCTTCACCTCACAGGTTCAAGCAATTCTCCTGCCTTAGCCTCCCGAGTAGCTGGGATTACAAGCACCTGCCACCATGCCTGGCTAATTTTGTATTTTTAGTAGAGACGGGGTTTCGCCATATTGACCAGGCTTGTCTTGAACTCCTGACCTCAGGTGATCCACACTCCTCAGCCTACCTAAGTGCTGGGATTTTACAAGTGTGAGCCACTGCGCCCGACGTTGAGCTTGTTTCTTTATGAATTCCTGCAACTCAACATTAAAGACATAATATCCCATAGTGATTAATATATCCAATAGTCCTTCCTGACTAAAGGTACAAAGTTAATCCTAGTGTTGTTAATAAGCATGGAAGTCATTATTTATTCAGTGTCTTCAGTTCAAGCATTGTCTTAAACCAAACTGATTTCCTACTACAACTGAGTCCTCTAAAAACAGCTTCCTCTAGTGTCCCTATTTGAAGTAGCAAGTCATTTTTATCATAATGATGGGCCTCCTAGAACACTACTTCGATTAGATTTAATATCACATGACCAAATCCTGTAATTCTTTCAAAATGCCTGGCAAAGGGTCCAGTGCTGCTTAACTTGCCACTCATGTAGTTCATATTATGTGCTAATTAAATGTGTCTAGTTTGAAAGCATTGTCTACACCTACAAATAATGTGCTTCATGAAATTCTCAATTAGGTATATCCTAGCACCAGATACCGTTTTATCTGGCTGTGCCATAGGCTTCCCTTAAATGTCCTCTACGTACCTCTTGAGGGAGTTATTTATAATTTTAAAGCATTAAAGCAAACATAAAATCACATTCTCTGAGGCTTTCTAGGTTCTAGTTTTATATTATTTAAATTAATTCCATTTACATTCACACTGATATGTTCAAAGCAACAGACCAGATCAAGCTGTGACATACCAGACAGGCAGCCACTATCTGCTTTCTATCATAACCAGGGAGCTGTCTTAGCAATGTATCATTTTGATTTATGGCCATATAGGGTGCAGAAATTCTATTCTACAGCATCCTCTGCTCTGTACAATTCATTGGTAGTTTCTCTGGAAAAAAATAATCTAGAATGGTAAACAAAGCCTAGAAACTGAGTGATAACTGTAGTCAACTACACACAAGCTGAGTTGTCAGGGGGCACTTTGTCATCTGTTTTATTCAAATTATACAGGTAGAACATCCAAATCAGTAGGAGTCCAATTTTCCTTTTCTGCAGTAAGCAGGCCAAGAGATTTTCACCAACAAAGCCCATTTGTTTGGATGACAATAGCAAAAGATAGTTAAGTATGATATCCTCACTCTGAGCTGTTTGCATGAAAATATTGTAGTGGCTTCCCTCCACGGTAATGTAATCTACTTATAAACACCTTTCCCATCTGCTATGATTTTACCCTATTTCCAAATGCTTCCTCCCAATATCAGGCTGTATAACTCATCATGCATAATGTTTGCCCGCACAATCAATAACAAGAACCTTACTAGCACACCCAAACAAATGTTTGGGTTTTATTTGTTTGTTTGTTTAACTTTTATTTTAAGTTCATGGGTACATGTGCAGATTTGTTACACAGGTAAACTTGTGTCATGGGGTTTGTTGTCAAACAAATGTTATAAGTGACAGACAAAGGACCTCAGAAGTCTCTCCTCTGCTTGATAATGGAGCTACCTTCACCTTTAGCCCTAATTGGTTACATAGGAAGGAACTTTTGATCCACCACAAATTACCTTTCAGAAAAGGCACAGTCAAATTAAATGACACAAATATCATGTCTTGGGTATTGTATAATCTTCCTCTGGTGCAAGTAAATTTAAAACTGGGTTTGAGACCGCCATTAGAGGCCAAATAAAAGTATTAGAGGTGGGAAAGATATAAAGTTATATATTATTGCATTCTCCTTCACTCCCTCATTACTACCTCTTGATATTAGTAAGGCACAGTGGATTTTGTTATTTATTTCTCATATTAGTCTCAGGACGCAATGGTTTCACTAAATGAACCCTTAATAATTTTTGAGCAAGGGGCCTTGCTTTTCATTTTTCACTGGGTTACAGAAGTTATGTAGCTGGTCCTTCCTGTTGACATTGGCTGTGTCATTCAGTGCAACAGCATGTGTCTTTCAAATGGATTATAGCAAACAGCTGCCACAGGCATATTTTGAGTCAAAATCCTAAGGAGTCTAAATTGGTGGTCTCATTTAACTTTTCCTAAAGGGCTCTAGTTTGGGTATGCCCTAATATCATCTGACCAGTTGGATGGGATCATAAGGGCCTAATGTTATTGCCTGTGCTACCACCTACCACAATACTTTTCATGCTTATTTCTGTTCAGTACCTGCAGTGAGTTAAGTAGTGCTCTTCTGAAATTATTATTCATTCAGAATCTCAGAAGGTGACCTTCTTTAGAAATTTGCACATATAATTAGTTAAGATGAGCTCCTACTAGATTAAGGAGGGTCCTAATTCCAATGACTGGAGGTGTTTTTATAAGAAGAGAGGACACATGGAGAAGAGATTGAAAATGAAAGCAGAAATTGGAGTAATAAATCTATAAGTAATAAAGCTCCAAAAATTTGTAGGAGAGAGTAGAACCTAGGCAGGGGCAAGAAAAGATTTTTTTCTGTGGCTTTTCAAGGAAGCGTGACCCTATTGACTCCTTGGCTTCAGACTTCTAGCCTCCAGAACTGTGAAATAATAAATTTCAGTTGTTTTAAGCTACCCAGTCTGTGGTAATTTGTTCCAGCAGCCCTAGGAAAGTACTACAATGCTGTATTCACGTTCTGAACTCTTTCCAGTTATTTTGTGAGTATGGGTAGACAAGATTCTTAGAACAGTCTTGACAGTCTCTGAGTTTATTGCTTATTGGTGGGTCCTATGAAAGATAAATTACTTCTCACAGTTTAAGGAATGTCCTAAGTTGATCTGCACTAATTTATAGGATTTAGTTGGAGTTTAAGGAATGTCCTAAGTTGATCTGTACTAATTTCCAGGAATTAATTTGCACCTTGGGCTGTGCCTTAAATTCTAGCTGGATTTATCAGCCAGCTTCTATTTGTAATATGGGTGACTATGGTCCTTAACTCCTCTCCTAATTTTTGCTCTGAGAAGAAAATTATCATCATACCATGAAAGTAGTAGATGAACTCTATCTTTTAGGTTATTCTTTACCAGATTATGGAAATGTGATAATGAATTTTTTTTAAATCCATGATAAGACAGTAAACATATACTTGTTTCTATTCTGCAAAGCTTAAAATCTTCCTACTTGAAATTAACAAAAAAAAAACTCTTAGGAGGCCCCTGAGATTGGTTTAATGCTCTGTTGTAGCTATCTGGAAATTCTTAATAATTTTTGAGTAAGTATCCATGCATTTTCATTTTATACTCAGCTCTATGAATTATGTAGTTAATCTTGATAACATATCAGAGCCTCTTGTCTACTTTATTTTCTGTACATTCTTCATCATATCAGGTACAGATGAAGCATGCAAATGAACCACCTTGATACTCTACTGTAAATGTCCAGGGGCTACCTACTTATTGACCAGTTAGAACTACAAAAAGGAAGTTAATGTGGGGAGGGGAACTTCCTTCTGAACCATTTTCTTAATTACAACAGTAGTCTCTTATTGCGCCCTTGGAATTCTGCATTGCTTAATATTTACTACTGTGGAGAGCTTGAGCAATTCCAAAGGATCCCATTTGGCATAGCTGATTAAAATTTGGTGAAGAGTGAGCTCAGTCTTCATCCTCTGTGGAAACACAAAGACGACAATGTCCCATTCATATTGAATGACAATTGCAATTTTGTATTTATGTAAAGGTAGCACAAGCAGGTAATATTCTCTCCAACCACACATTTCAACCTGTAACTTCATCTTTACCTTGGTTTCCTCCCTGATGTTCTCTTCATGCACTCCAGATTTCACTTAGAGCATGTATGAGACTCTTTCCTACCTTCCATAAGGCCTACTGTAAATTCTGCTCTACATCCTACCAATGATAAGAAACTTTGAATACCACCCCAGGTAACTTTGTTCAAATTATATATATGGCCTCAGATCCAGACCTCAGTTCTTTATTTAATTGTTTTCAGATTCTACGGCTTTAATTAAGGCAGTAAACCCAGCCCCCTGTTCAAGTATGTTCTGTTCTATATCACTATCCTCATAATTGGATTTGAACTCTTTCAGCCACAATAAATAAAGCAAATTTTCTATGATTCTTTAAGGGATTGGTGGGGGCTACAGTACTCCTCTCCTCTGATTCAAAAGTTGATAATGTGCTTTTATTTTCTTATTAAAAATTCTATCAAGGCTTACTTTTTAAATCCTATTTATATTTTCTTCAAAAGTAAATTAATTCAAGTGAGCTGCCTTTCTATTTTCTCTTCTGATTTTTAATTTCTCCCTGTTGTGCACATGATATAAATGCTTTTTCTCCATATAATCCCATGTATAGTAACTAAACCTGTATGTTTGTTACTGTTCTCTGAATATATATATTTGGCCCTCAAGGTTATATAAGTCTTGTAAGACAGAGAATCATTAGCTTATCCCATTCACTCTATCTCTTATTATTTGTATCAATAGCATTAACTAAGGTGTTTTCTCTCTGGAAAATATAAAGCCTGTCAACATTTACACTTGTATCATTCCTATCATGTGAAAAGGAGAATCCAATTGGCAATTTGGAGAGGAGTAGTAGCAGTTACCCTTCTCAGTATAGGACTGACAAATCTCACCTTAACAACTGCAGCCGATATGCTGTCACAGTATTTGGAAGTGTTTTCTCAAAAGTTTACAGCCATTTAATGATTAGCCATGACCATGAATAGTCCTTTGCATCAGATAATAATAGAATTGCAACATGTCCTCCATCATTAATTTGAAGAATCCATGCCAATGTTAATTCACCAGTCTTCTGTTAGTGAATACTCTGTTCTTTAATAAAATATAGTTTTCACTCATCACCTGTCCTTGGACTCCGGTTACATAAATAGTTTGTCCAATAATCAATATTTTGAGTCATTTCTAAGGATACATGAAATTTCTCCAAGAAACCAGGGAGGGATAAGAAGGTTTTCCAGTGAATAAAATGTAATCTCGCAGCTTTTTCTCCCACTATCATCTCCTCCTATTAAAAACTAACCTATTAAAAGGTTAGCTTTTACAAGTATGCTAGCAGGAGTCAGTCAATGGGATTTGTACCCAATTTCCCTTTGTCCATGTACTCCCTAGACCCGTACTCCCAGACTGTAGTCTATGGCCCCCAGATTTCAATGGTAAGACTTATTTCCCTTAACCTGCCTCAAAGATTCCACTACCTCATACCAAAAATGTACAGCCAACTATCCTGAGAACAAATTCTCATATTTTTCCATTATTTCCTTTTGAAAAGGAGCCCAGGTAGAAAAAGAAAACATTCACTATTTTGGTGTGTGGGTCTAAAAGACAATCCTGCTCTCAGTGCCAATCTGAACCCACAAAAAGCATTGAATTGTCAAATCGGACTCAGATTGAAGATTTTGCTCAGTATCATGCTTTCTGAATAATTTCAAAGATAAAATAATCATGTATGGGTTAAGTGGGGAGAGACCTGTGTCCTTTCATCTTCATTGAATGTGGTCTCATCCAAGTTTCTAGATTTGGTTTCTAAGTAAAATGTACAGTTGCTTTACTTACTCAGGTGTATTCTCAGTTACAAACCATCTCCTTTTATACTTAGATAGCAACACAGCTAACGTGACATTTTCTTGGGAATCATCACCCTACATTTATTGATTCCTGGCTTATTTTTCTTAAGCAATTTTAGACAACTCCTCATGGTCTGCTAGAAACATTTTATGAGGAATGATTCTTTGGCTACCAAAAACTATTTAGTTTATTTTCTAAGAGACTTGCATTAATATGTTTGCAGAAAAATTAAACCAGAACACCTGACTTCTTTATTTCCCAGGAGTTTTCCTCCACACCTGCCCCCATCAGGGGAGAAAATTGATCAGGAGGTACCACCCCTTTCCACACCATTCTTGAATCTATTCTACAGAACTCTCTCACATGGTCTAGCAATATGTTTAAGGTAGAACCCTTTTTCTATCAATATTTCTTATGTGTTAAATTTGCATTATTATATGTTGACTAGAAATTATATATTCCTTCTTAAACATTAATCATAATGAATCTAAAAACCTAATTTATTTCAACCAATAAATTTCTCTTTAATTCCTGTCCTCAACATTCTTGTCCTCAATATTCCTATTGTTACTGTTACAGTTATGAAATCATCTTAATGAAATCACAGCTAGACCAGTGCATTAATTTAAAACAATAGCATCCTTTTTCTATAATTTAACTTCTTCCAACTTTTCTTCGCTGTTGTATAATGATAATTACTCTAAAATGACAATCTGATCATTAAAACTTTAATCATTTACTCTCTGCCAATTTCATAAATAAATATTTGATTCACAGTTGTTATTTCTTCTTCAAGATACATCAAATAATCCACCTTTATGAAAAGCAATTTACTGTTTCATAAATGTGCTTTATTATGTCACATATTCAGTCTTTTAAACATTTTGTGCCATCCTTGGTCATCAAATAAATTTCTATCTACTAAATATGACTGACTTAGCAAAACGATAGCCTTAGTTTCATGCATGTCTCCATCAATTTTGGAATTGCTTTTATGCCCAAACTGCAGTGGGAGAAAAACACACAACAAAATTGTGTTGATTGTTATCTCTTTAAAACCACAACCTTGAAAAGCAAATGTGCCTTTAAGGCGGCCAAACAAGCCCATTTTTCTTTTGTTAGCCATTGCCTTCTTCCTCTTATGTAAGATTAACTTATGGATTCTTTCCTCATTTCACACCCCTCACATACTTTTCTTCAATCTCAATGCCAGCTGATGACCTTGTTTCCTGTGTCAAAAAATAAATACATAGATAGATAAATAACAATGAAGAGGAAATGTATGCAGACTCCCACTACTACATATACTTAACGCCAGTATCTAAAATTACACACTACTCATCCTGCATATTAATAGAGCAGGGTCTTTTCTCTGGTACTATGGACAAACTGAGCCAGATAATTCTATGTTTGGGATGGGGTGTTGGAAAGGTTGCCTTGTATGTTGCAGGATGTTTAGCAACATCCCTGGCCTCTCCAATTCGATGCTAGTAGTAACTCCATTCACAAGTTGTGACAACAGAAAACATCTCCAAACATTGCCAATTGGCTCCTTGCAGAGTGAAATCTCTCCTTAAAGAAAACCACTGCCAGAAATGAAATGTTTATACACCTACCTCAAGCTTACACCTTTACTTGTTCATCAACTCTTTCTGACTACACAGGCTATAGACAGATACTTTTCAATACTTACCCCTCTTATACATAATCAAATTTTCCTCATTATTGGGTCATTTCATGATCATACAAATAAGCTATTACTTCTGTCATACTAGAAAATAAAAGCAAATAAGCAACCAGTATTCTTCATTTTCCCCATTTTCATTGTCAGATACCACCAGGGAATTTGATCCCTTTTTCACCAAAACTCTTTAAAAGGATAATTTATAGTCACCGTGTCATTTGCTCCCTGCATTTTCTCTTTAATCATTTCATTTCCATACAGATTTTTGCCCCCCACTACTCTAATTAAACCTGTCCTCCACTTTGTTAATCTTATAGTTATTTTTCTCACCTTACTTGATTTATCAGCAGCATTTGAAGTAGATTATTCTCATAATACTATCTTCATTTGACTCCCTGGTTTTATATTATTTGTATACTTCTCTCTCTCTCTGTCTCCCTCTCTCTCTCTCTCTTTTAGTGTTTTCTTCTATTCCTCAGACTCAATGTTGGAATGCTCCAGGCCTCAGTATTTTATTTCCCCCCACCATCATCTTTCTCTGTACTTCTTTCCTTGGTTATCTCATCCAATCTCGTGGTTTTACATGCAGTGTAAATGCTAATGACTCCCAAATTTATATTTCCATGCCATATCTCTATCCCAAATTCCACACGCATAAATCCAATTGCATTTTTTACACTTCCACCTGAATGTCGTGATGATAATGGGTCTATTTTTCCTGAGACCCATTCCTCACTCTGCCCAGTTCAGTTCATAAGACAGAGGGGATGAACACTGTGGATTATGTAGCTCAGATTTTCTGAAAGCTGGCTTCCAGTTAGGCTCAAACAATAGGAGACACATGTAGAAAGATGAAAGGCAGGAACAAGGAGAAATCTAGATATTGTCTCATTTTCTCCCTGTCATCCCTAATAACAGTTACATTTTTTCCAGGCTCCTGCTCCTTTACATAGGCCCACTGTGGTTCCAGCTTCCCCCAAATATCCCTCCCTGCAGCTCCAGTAGTACAGCCTCCTATCCCTGTTCTCCAAGGGAAGGTGATAGTAGCCTCCCATTGTTGCTAAATTGTAGGTTGCCTCACTGTCCCCTGGTTGGCTTTAATTTTTTTAAAGTTATTTCTACCATCAATTACCTGTATCAATTCCCTTTGTTTTAAATTCTCAATGATTTCAGTTTTCCTGGCTAGTTTCTGATTACTTCAGATACCTAATGGAAATCTCAAAGAAAGTATGACTCAAGAGAAATTGTTGATTTCCATCTCCCAGCTACTACCAAACCTGTTTATGCTTATCCATTTCATTTGATGGCAAGTCCTTCCTCTGGTTGCTTAAACTCAAAGACTTTATAATATGTAGAATCAACTACTTCTCACCATGTCTACTGAGGTGTGAATTACTACTGTTTTCCTCTTGGATAAAGTCAATATCTAAAGAGGGGACTTTTCCTAAAAGTGTCCTCTTACAGTCAGTTACCAACACAATATCCACAGTCATCCTTTTTACATAAAAGAGCGTGTCACTTCTCTTCTTAGGACCTGTAGTGACCCTCTCTTTCATTGATGGTAAAATTCTAAGGCAGTGTGAGTTTTAAAATACCCTGTAAATATGTACAATTATTATGTCATTTAAATATAATATATATTTTTAAAAATTAAAAACGTATATCAAGGCCCAAATTACTTCTGTGTGCTCATCGTTAACTCCCCTTCCTCACTCATCTCCAGCCACACTGGTTTCCTTGAACCCCTTCAAACAAGCCAGATATGGGGCTGTCTTGGGCTTTTGCACCGTCTTTTCCCTCTGCCTGGGTTCCCTTCCTTCAGATATCTACATGTTTAATCCCTCACCACCTTTAAATTTTTGCATAAATGCTATCTTTTCAATGATGTTTTCTACGGCCTCCCTACTTAGCATCTCAACCTGTTTCTTGGACCAGCATTAGAAAATGAATATAGAGAGATGAACACAATATATATGGCCCTGCCCTCATAGTCCTAGCAATCTACAGGGACACAAAATAATATGCAAAAAAGTATTTGAATTATCTTCAGCACCTTTCTAAAGAAAAAAAGCTACTTAAAACTTACACTTAGAAGTGCTCAATATGAGTCAATACATTATGTCACCACCTAAAGTAACAAGATGTTAGGCTGCAACTGCTGTATGTTTTGAATGAGACTCATTACACTACAAAGTCACATACTTGTTTAATATTATAATAAGACAGAACTAAATTTAAATCATAGTTATACCAAACACTAGCTACTCTGAATCTCTACATCTCAATGTTCTCACCAGCAAAATCAAGCTAATAATAATACTAGCTTCTTAAAGTTATTTAAAAGATAAATGAGCTAAGATATGTAATGCTCATAGCCCATTTAGAAAGGCAAAATATAAGGTACAGTACATAGAAACCACTGACCATTGGTAATTCTGAAACACTACAGGTCAGACAGTTTGAATGAACCATATACTAAAGGTTGGAAAAGTTATTTGATTAAACTCTGCCTTTTTTTTTTCTGGGAAGAACACATAGATTAATCACTTTGTATAATCCCAACCTCTCCCTTCTTGGGAGTGGAGATAGGGGAAACAGTTTTCATCATCTATGATCTTAAGTTTCCTCATGCTCTTTCTCATCGTTAAGACAATACCACTTATTTTAGCTTATTGTTACAATAGTATTTCATTTTTTTCTAACAACTTGGTATTAGTCAAGATGGGATATAATAACAAATGACTCTTGAAATCTTCATGGGTGCCATGGGAAGTTTCAAGAACACAACTTGAAAGTGAATTGCATGACTTTGTTCTGTATTTCATTGACCACTAACTCATTCAGTGAGCCTGAAAGTAACTGTGTATATCACTGTTAGTATACTATGCATGCCAGATACCCAAGACTCAAACTTTTCCTTTCCTTTAGATACCACCTACTTAGTCATCAATTTTGGTTCAACCTACTCCACTAAATAGCTTTGACTTCCATTCACTTACCACTTTAGATTAGTGCTATAGACTCCTATTTTACCTCCTTCATATCAATCCCCTTAAAACTCCCAATAGCTTCCATTGTTTCAAACAAAAGCTCAAATTCCTTTAATGTAAAGTGTTATATGAACTGGCACCCTATATACTTTATATCCTAATCTCTCATCTTTCATTTATTTCTTTAACTCCTGACTCATGTAACAAAAATGTATTTATCTCAGCACGTATTTGATCCCTTATTTGTTATGCTCTCCCAAATGTCCCTGTATTTTTCATTGAATAGTAATTGCCACATTTTATTTTATATGCTTGTGTTACCATTTATATATATATTTTCTACAGACTCTGCTTTTAGAAGGCATACACTGGCCAGGCGCAGTGGCTCACACCTGTAATCCCAGCACTTTGGGAGGCTGAGGCTGGCGGATCATGAGGTCAGGAGATCGAGACCATCCTGGCTAACACGGTGAAACTCCATCTCTACTAAAAATACAAAAAATAAGCCGGGCGTGGTGGCGGGCGCCTGTAGTCCCAGCTATTCGGGAGACTGAAGCAGGAGAATGGTGTGAACCCAGGAGGCGGAGCTTGCAGTGAGCCGAGATCGTGCCACTGCACTCTAGCCTGGGCGACAGAGTGAGAATCTGTCTCAAAAAAAAAAAAAAAAAAAAAGGCATACACTGTGATATTTGCAACATCAAACAAACAAACAAAAAAACTAAAATTGGAAGAATACCCAAAAATAACTCAAAGGAATAATTTTAGTTTCAATTAATTGATTATGGCCTTTATCATTTCAAGATTTTTATATGTCTACTTTTATGAACTCTAGGCTAGTTTTTTCCACTTTTATTTCTACAATCATAGGGCCTATTTTATATTTTCTCTTGCACTTGATTATAGAAGAGATTGAAATGAGTTAGGAAACATGTACTTGAAACCAATAATGGGCACACTTTACAGGATTCCAAAATCTAAAAATATCATAACATAACTTCAGGGAAGAGTAAGAAGTATTGGTGTCATTTTTTTCCTTTTAGTAGATTAGTTGAAGAGGTAAATTGAACATGGACTATGTGTCAGACTTTTTTTTCCAAATTATATTCTTAAATATATAGTAAAACATATGCTAGAGACAGTTTTTTAATAACAAACAATATTTGAATTGAGATCCTGAAGAAAAATAAATTAACTGTGTAAAAATGTATTACTAAATATCTGCATTTTCTAGAGATGTATCCTTAAGTATGTAGGTATAAAATTACACTCTGAGATATATTTTTAAAATAATTTGGCAAGAAGAGAACAGGGATACCTTAAGCAGAAACAACAAAATTATGATAATTGTTGAATATGTGTGATGGTTGTATGTTAATGTATTGATTATTTTGTGTGGGTATGAAAACATGATAATAAAATCAAATTACAAAAAAATAAAAAATACCTCTTGCTTTTTTAGCAGCTTATTACATTGTTTATAACAGTGTCTACAGCGCTATGATTGGTCAGAGCCAGAGACTATAACATTTAATAAAACGAGTCCTCTAGAAGCTCATGGGAGTTCATTTACGGCAGCGAAGACCTATATTAAATGGACTGAATATTTAAGGAGTAATTATGTTGAGTAATGTGTTTATTTATAGTTTTAATTATACATTATCTTTTTTGGTTATCTTTAAAATATATTAAGCTTATGCAAATAGGATATGCGTCATAACCCAGGATCTATTATCTGAATTGCTTATATACTTATAATAACATAACTTTAAAAGAAAGAATCAAACCATATTGCTAGCTTACAGGTTGGATCTTTCTAGACAATAGTTATTTACCTGAATGTTTATTTTTGTTTTGCATCTTCATCAGTTAAAACCAACAGTTACAATACAAATGAAAGTTAAAAAATAATAATATTATTAATGTGAAATTTCAATGTGCTTAGCAATAAATAATGGGAATAAGAATTATCCAGGATGTACTAAATGCTACAAGAATTATATAAGTCTAATGAACATGATGCTTTTGAACTTAAGTAAATTCTATGTGCTTAACTATTTTTATTGTTTATAGATTTAGGACTTCTGAATGCATTATTTTTGCTGTTATGGGATATTATGAATTCACCTTAGTAGACTTTTGCTTACAGGACATAAAATTAATTTATTCTATGAATTTTTTCTTCTTTTCCTAAAAATGTGTAAGTTCTGTGATTTCTTGGACTAAAAGATATCTATTTACATAGTGAAAGGCCAGGCCTTGTAAAGATCGTGACAGTATTCAATCCTATTCTTGTTTTTTTGTTTCAACGTGTTGCTAGTTATCTTATCTCAGTGTATTGTATTTATATAACTGCATATTTGATTGAGATACCTAACCTATGAGACATATTAACATAATGAACACATGTAAGCACACAACCCAATTTAAGCATAAGAACAGTATCAATAATTTTGCAGTTATCTTTCACTCTTTTTCAGTCACACAGAGACAACTATACTCTTAATTTTGTGTTTAGAGTCCTCTATTTTCTTAATAGACAGATTGCACATGGTTAAAGGTCTATCTTTACATCAAGAGAGCCTGTGTTTGGATCTTGTTCACCCCGCTTATGTCTCTTTTGAAGTTATGCTTAAGCTTTATCCCTTGTTCCTTTATGGAAATTTGAGTATTTTAGGAAAAGTAAAAAAAAAAAAAAAAAAAAGAAAGAAACTTTAAAGTAGAATGATAAAATCTAGTGTTTTTAGATACAGAAGTGAGAAGCTGAATACGGGTAAAGCATGATGGACTATGGGAAGAACGGAATTTCTTGTGTGTGACTGCTCATTCAATAAGCTATATTTTTAAAGACCTGAACAGGTTATAGCTATTGGTTATCTACAAGTGGAATTCTCAAACACGAAAATGAAAGCCTGACAAATAAGATGCTAATGCCATTTTCACTTAAAAAATAGAACAAGCGAAAGAGAGAAATAAAAGCACTAGCCCAGTAAGAACATCCTCTATTTGCCTTACTCATAAGCCATTTCAGGGCCATATCTGCAAAACTAGGAAGAAACTGCTAAGTGCTAAAACATTTTAACCAATCACTTTAAGAAAGGCAGAGGAAGCAAATCACTCTAGTAGATAAAACAGGAGAGACTGAAGTTGCTATAGTTGTAATCTTTTTAAAAATAATCTATTTGTTTTGAAGAAAATCCCAATAGGAAGGTGTCTTCATTTTTAAAGGTATCTCTCTTCAGATACTATTTAATATTCAATGTGCTAATAATGTCAAAAATTGTTAAATGCATATATATCTGTATTTCAAATAGGATAGTTTATCAAGTCAGGTTTTCCAAGAAGCTGATACTATGCAATTATAAGTCACTCAAAAGGTTATGAGAGGAACGTTAGATAAAGATTAAGAAGAAAAAGCAGATCTAAGTGCAGGGAGTCTTCAGTGATGCAAGCCTGGCTTCTGTCAAAGGAGGGGGAGAAGGAAGAAGGATGAGAATGAAAGAGTCACAGCCTGAAACACAGTTTAGGAAGTTTTGGCCCGGACAATAGGAGTCTCCAGTCCAAAGTCTTCTGTTGGAAGGTTATCACAAATCTTAAAAATGGCCTTCATCAATACTCCGAGCATGCTCAGTCATTGGCCAGGAACAGCCAGAGAAAATATGGTCTGAGTGCAAAGATAGTCATACAACCAGAAAAACAGTAGCTGGGGCTGCCTGTCATCCATGCTCACTGAAGCAAGAGTTGTGAGTGGTGACCACATATATCAAATATTTCTATGAAAAAAACAAAACAAAACAAAACCCAATCAAGTGAAACTCCAAAATGATAACCTTTAATGCTTATTAGATGGCACAAGTGTTAGGTTGGGTATTTTACTAAATATTTAATCATTGTATATGCACATATTTATGGGCATGTGAGCTTAATTTCTGTTTTTAAATTCAGAATGCTTCAATAATAACATTGCATTTTATATAATCCTGATTTTCTTTTTTAAAATCAGCTCAAAAGGAGAAGTTAAATATTCAGCTTTAATTTCACCAGTAGATTTTTAATGTTTTGTAATCATAATGTTTAATTTGTGCTGTTCTTAGAACTTTAATTATGAAGCTAAATTGTACTAATACCCATTAGGTACTTCTTAATTGAAGGCACATCATATGTCTGATGTGGCAGTACTAATTGGTGTAATTAAATTCTAATATGCTTCAGTAGCCTGATTTTTTTAAGTGAATAAAAAGCTGATAGAAATAAGTCAGCTCTTGAAGCTGCATAGTTGTATAATACATACACGTGTTTGCATTTGTAACATGCACATTTATTCAGAAGAAACAACTCATTAATTTATTCTAAAACCATTTCACCTGATAACTTAAAATACAGAGTAAAACAAATTGGTCAGGTAAATATACATGTAACTTAAAAAGAAACAGTCATGTACTTTAGGCATAAGGACAATGCTTTTCTCTTTTACAAATTCTAAGTTAGGTCAAATTCTCTGAAAGTCACTACCTTTCTTTACTGTGATGTGTTTTCGGTGAAGTTACAGCCTATTTGCAAATCACATCACTGGTTTGTCCAAGCAGAGGTAGATGAGAGGTAAGCTCCTGTCCTGCTAAAAGTCTCCTAAAAACAGCAAGAAAATATTTTTACATGTTCAAAAATGCTCATTTATTTATATTCCTAAATTTTCTTTTACTCAGTATAATATAGATAATTTAAAAATAAGTAGAATATTTTTATTATATATGTTTTATTTTTATACTTCTAGTTAAATTAATAGTGGAACATTATATATCTATTAAATGTTTTAAATTACATGGAATTAAAATATCAAAGTTAATTATGTTATTATAATTTTTAAATTTCAGAAACCTTCTTTAAAATTCTTACTGTTTTATCTTAAAAAATTCATATAGAAATTGTGGTCAGATGTAAACTGTGACTCTGAGCACAAATCCCAATGCTATTGCCAATTTAATTCCAATTTTTGTGTTCACACATGAAATGTAGTTTTTCTTTTATTGAGTTTTAAAAATCTGTAAGATTTACCTATCTGAATATACACTCAGGTCTAGCTTCATGTTCCTGTGACCTGTGTGGTCACAAAAGGACCCATGTACATAATGACCTCATACTTGGCCTAATGCTCTCCTGTTGCCATCTTGAAACGCTTAACACTTTGAACGAGGTACAACATCCACTTCATTTTGCGCTGGGCCCTGCAAATCATGTAGACAGTCATATATGAGTCCAGTATTTTCCTACCACCAGACATTTTAATGTACTGAAGAGATAAAAAAAAACCTAATAATTAGAAGTTTTAAAAGAATATTTTTAAGAGTTGTTGTTTGTTTGTTTGTTTTTTAATCCTAGATGTCTCAAGCTTGCCTTCCATTAGATAATGCAGTAAGGAACCCCCAGTTTACAACACAGGGCAGGCAGGAAGACAACCAACTCAATGGGATCTCTGTCCTGTGCAGTCATCACCAGCTGATCCTTCTTTTTCTCCACTAAGGTGGTGACAGCGTTAACCCCCATTAAAAGGACAGGTGATCTCTTAGTGGGGATGTCTCCTTTGCTTTTTTCTCAGCCCAGGCCAACAGTCTCTGCTGCTTCTCTTGCTTTGTCTCTGGTCTGTACTTGCCAGCCAGCTTACCCCATTGAGCAGCTGTTTGGTGGTCCAAGGCCCTGGTGAACTGACTAATCACAGAAGGCACTTCTAGCTGCTTATAGAGGATGGCTCTCTGCTGCTGCAACCTAGTATAATGGGGCCATTTGACAAAGCAAGTGAGGTCCCTTTTGGGCTGGATGTTCTGTCCAATGCCAAAATGTCCTGTCCAGTGCCAAATTTCTCAAATGGAAGATTCACCACTTTCATGGTCTCCTGCTTTTTCAAGACCGCAAGGGTTAGCACCACCTTCTTCCCTTTGGCCTTTTTTCTTTTTCGCACCTTGGGTAGCTGGAGAAGAGAATAATAAGATCTTGAGAGAAAAATAAGTTGAAGCCAGAGGTAAAACTGAATATTGGTAATATCTTTTTGTTTTAGGGTTGCTTTCCATTTTAGAAAGTAATTCAGAGTGTTATTTTTTAAAAATCATATATCAGAGTTCTCTAATAAATTTCAAACTTAAAAGAACATTTAACTTCATAAGAGAAGAGAAATGTTTCATGAACATATTTTAAAGATAGGGAAACTAGAATACAATTTGGAGTAAAACTAATATTTTAAGTAACCTGGAGATAGGACTCATATCTTTTAATAGAACATGCATTCTAACAAGCCAGTGATTTTTCAAAGTTTTCTAAAACACTTTTCTCAAACCACATTTAACCTAGAAGTAGAAACAAATAAAAGACACAAAATTAGAGTTAATTTTATTGTAACTGGGTTGGCTCCAGAGATTATAGTTAGGAAGTGATTACATTAAGCTCTACATATGCAGCATTCTAGCAAATTTCAATGCAGTAGACAAAATCTATAAATAATGTGAAACACATATTAACATGTTAAGCATAATATGCATTCATTGTCTTCAACAGAATAGTTCCCTATTAATTTTTTAAATGTAATACAATTTTACTTTAAAAACACTGAAAAATCAACATATTTCATTAAGAAAAAATTATAAATGTTGCAAAATGATGATGAAAATACCTATAGTAATAATTCCCAACTATAACAATTTTGTTTTATCTAATACTGGTCAGCTTTCCATGTGTCCAAGCATTACAGGACTTTTCATTAAGCCTAATCCTCACAAGAACATTGCTTTGAGCGATGTTCCAGAGTGGTAGTCCTTTAAGGCATTAGAACGATTTGTGAAATCCCTAAAAATACTAGGGGAAATATTCAAAAAATGACAATAGTGCCATTATTCCTCCTCCTCAAAGAGACTATCAGAACTAAAACTCTTTGCTTCATGTTCCTGTTTACTTCTGTCACTTTCAAGTCACAGAGGTATTATCAGACTGTCATCATTATATGACTCTGCTTTTCCAACAGAATCAATTACCTATTCCTTATCTCACAACTTGATAGTGATAGATATTGAATGCTTATGTTCTGATTAGCAAACTCTTTTTGCGTTTTTAATAACAACTTGAACTCCTGATATGTCTGGAAAATATAACCCCTTCAACAGCCCTTTCAATGGGTTGCTACTATTTTGCTCACCCCATCTTCACCTGCCTAATCATGAGGAGGCGGGGTATATACAATTTCAGTTAATTTGTAGTTATCAGTCTATTATAGTTCTTTCCTTCTGAAAACCAACAAGTAAATAAACCAGCAAGCATCACCAATAAACTTTGACAGTTTATGGTTCATAACGTACGTCTACACCAAACTTTCCATTCAAATGCTTTTTCAAACCTTTGTTTGGTTTCTTTCTCTATTAAGACAACTTTTGCTTTTGGCTTTCAAAGGCATTCTCTCCATTATAAACTCTGTCGTTATTCTCTATTGTGCTTACCTCAAACTGATAACTCTTTCAAATCTTACCTGTCAGTTTCTTGACCACCATGCATGTTAATAACATTTCTTCTCTATTTTAGACAGCAAATGTTTCTCAATATTAAAAAAAAAAAATCCTACTCTTTGGTCCTCTCTACCTCCCATTTCATCCAATATCACTTGTTCAAGACCTGAACTCGTACAGGTTTTTAACCTGTTGAAGACTGTCACTCTATGGACTCTACTCTCTTCTCTCTCCTCCATAGCCTTCTCATTGCCTATCTTCCCTACTTGTCCAGGAAATGATGACATGTTTCATCACCATAATTAATCCATTTCAAATGGCCTTTATGCCAAATGATTTTATTATATACTCTTTCTGTGCCATGCCTTGTTTTCCAAATTTACCACAGTACAAATTTTACAATTAGTTTTCCATTACTGAATTAGTACCAATCTCTGTCTTAAAAAATAAATACAGTAAAAAATGATAACGAATTTATTTCTTCTTATAATACTATCACTGGTGCATGGTTAGAATAAATTAATCTTAGGATGATATAAGCATTTCTCCAAATAGTCTTCAAATTCATTGATTTTTTTGTGATTTCAATTTCCATATTTATTGTTCCTGTTGCAATTTTTTCAGATTTTATATGTATTAACTCAGAACACACACCTCTTATCACACATATTTTTTCATGTAATTTATCTAAATCTTATAGAAAAGGGTCCATTTGCATTTTCTCTTATTAGACTCCTGATTTCAAATAATATATTACTTATGAGTATTTTTCTGTGCTGTAGTTATTCATTCTTATAGATATGTAACATAATTCCTTTTGCAAAGGTAAAAATTGAGCTATCTCTTGTTGAGGATTTGTTGATCTCTGTCTAAAGTTTCAAAAATAAAGAACTTTAAAAGCAAAATGTAAATTCCTTTCAAGTTTTAGTAAAATTACTTCAAACTTAGTAGCTTAAACAATACAGATTTATTATGTTACAGTTCTGTAAGACAGAAATCTGACTTGATCACACCATGGTAAAACCAAGATACTGCCAGGGTTGGTTTTTTCTTGGGGGGGGTCTGTGGGAAGAGTTTGTTTCCTTTGGTTTTCCACAGCCCAGAGGCTGCTTGCATTCCTTTGATCACTGTCCCTTCCTCCATTTTTAAAATGAGGAATGGAGTCAGGGTGACTATGGTTAGCAATATTGTATTGTATATTTCAAAATAGCTAGAAGAGAGGATTTTTGAATTCTCTCACCGTAAAGATATCAAAGATGTATGAAGTGAAGAATATGTTGAATATCCTGATTCAATATTTAAACTATACATACACGTGTTGAAACATCACACTGTATCCCATAAATATGTACAATAATTATGTGTCATAAAACAAGATTTAAATTGTTTTAAAGGGCCAGCAATGGCAGTTTGTGAGTTCCCATCTCATCACTCTAACTTCTTCTGCCTCCTTCCACTTGTAAATGTCCTTCTGATTATTTTGGTCCCATCAGGATAATCCAGAATAACTTTCCTATCTTAATATCAACTGACGAACAACCTTAGTTTAGTCTACAATTTCAATTTTCCTTTGCCATGCAACTAACATATTCACAAATTCTGGGGACTAGAATGTGGACACCCATTGTATTAGTTTGTCCTCACACTGCTAATAAAGACACAGCTGAGACTGGGTAATTTATAAAAGAAAGAGGTTTAACTGACTTATAGTTCCACATGGCTGGTGAGCCCTCAAAATCATGGTGGAAAGCCAATGAGAAGCAATGTTGCATCCCACGTGGTGGCAGGCAAGAGAGCTTGTGCAGGAGAACTCCCGTTTATAAACCCAGCAGATCTCGTGAAACTTATTTACTACCACAAGAACAGCATGGGATAAACCGTCCCCATGATTAAATTCTCTCTACCTGACCCCATTCTTCACATGGAATTATTACAATTCAAGGTGAGATTTGGGTGGGGATACAGCCAAATCACATCATCTGTGGAGAGCTGTGATTCTGCCTACCACAAGTAAGATGTACAAAGCATGGAAGGAGCTACAGCCAGAAACAATTATACCATTGGGAATTTCTAGCAGAATAAATAGCAGTTATTAACTGATAAGTTAATAGATTAAGTAAACCTAAATAATTGCCTTCATTAGCAGCGAGGCTTTTGATGGTCCATGTATCACAGATATTTAAACACAAATACATTTTTCTCATTTATTCCAATAACAAAGTGTTTGTTTTGTTTTGTTTTGTTTTGTTTGTTTGGTTTGTTTTGTTTTGTTTTTGAAAGTTTGGTATGAGAGAGAAAGAGATGAGCTGATTTGACTACTCCAGGCTAGAGGATATGTAGCTGAGAGTCTATGGCTGAGTGGAGGAAAAAAAAAAAATCACAAGCCCTGTCCAGGATAACAGAGAGAGAAAGCTGTTTCTGTTGAGATTTGATGGCCCTCATCACACCAAATTTGGGCTTCTAGCTAGCCTCAGTTCTTCAGATAACTGACCTTCCTTCTTTCCTCCCTCTTGTAATAGTCTTTGTGTACTAGAAGTACCTTGAAATACTGGGTCAGAAAATGTGGCACAAAAGAGAAAAGCTGGCTCACTCCACATCTTGACCTGATCATTTCCTGAACATGATTGAGGTAGATGACTCTTTGCTCCTCTTTGGCTGACCTGCAGGAATAACATTGGGAATAAGCAAATCTCCTTTGGACTCCAGAGGGTGGTGGTCAGGAAGTGGGCCATTGAGAACCTAGGTGGAAATGCAGGCCAGATTATCGGAGTAGTTTGCTTTATAATGTTAAAATATTTATACACATGTTATGTGGGCCTCTATTTCCACTCTTATCTTAGAGCCCACACGTATTATGGAGGGTCTAGCAGTGTTTGTGGAGTTTTTGGTACTATACCTTTTTCAAGATAAAGTAAAAAACATTTATGGATAATTTAATTGTTTCCTATGTAGATTCCAGTGCCAAATTCCTTTCTTAGACACTGTTTCTAGTATAACATGTTAATATGTGACCCCTGTTTCACTTACAGATTTTTAGAGATCTATCCCAGGTTACTTAATTCAACTCCAAGACATACTTTTCTTTTAAATGCAGGGAATAAAGGGTCAGTTACTTAGTTACTCCGGTTTTATTTAATCCTACTGTCATCTGACAATATGGTACTGATACTATTTCCTATTTCTAGATGGTTGCTAGAAATATACTGTAATATTTATTCTTGATATATGTTTGTTACTTTAACGGGAATACATAGGCTATAAATAGTCCCCTTGCCTCTCACAAGTTAGACAGTCCTGCCCAGAATGCCCTGCTGAAGAGTTGTAGCAGATCACCCTGTTCCTCCTTAACCTCTCTGTTCCTCATATGCTCACCTGTAAAATAGTGATCATAGTAACACCCATCTTGTGATGATGTAGAGAGGTTTAAAGAAGCGAATTAGGGGAGGCCAGGCATGGTGGCTTATGTCTGTAATTCCAGCACTTTGGGAGTCCAATCACTTGAAGTCAGGAGTTCGAGACCAGCCTGGCCAACATGGTGAAACCCACTTCTACTAAAACAAACAAACAAACAAACAAAAAACACAAAAATTAACTGGGCATTGTGGCAGTTGCTTCTAATCCCAGCTACTTGGTTGGCTGAGGCAGGAGAATCCGTTGGACCCAGGAGGCGGAGGTTGCAGTGAGCCGAGGTCACACCACTGCACTCCAGCTTGGGTAACAGAGCAAGGTTTTGTCTCAAAAAAAAAAAAAAAGAAAGAAACCAATTAGGGTGGAAACACTTAGAACAGGGTGTTCATAAGTTGTCACCCTCTTGAAGCAATTGTTGGACACTATTTTAAAAATGTTTTACTTCTGAGTGAAATGTTGCATTTTATTTTACTGGAAGATTCTTATGTAGTTTAAGTACATTTTACGGTATTGTCAAAGAGCATGAGCAAAATATTTAGGAAAGATGAGACCATATTTCTTTTATTTATGACATTGCCACAAAAAATCAGGTAGATGAATTTGTATTAAGTTTTTGTACCAATTTCATATCTAAAATTTCAAAGAATTTTATTGCAACAAACTCTTTCTTACCATTAACTCAAAAAAATTCTGTTTTAAATTGACTTCATTCCATAAGTCTCTACACTACTAATTTGGCCAGAAGTTATTTTCAATCCTAATTGGGAACAACAAAGATCCACATGATATCCTTTCAATTTATGATGTTGAAGAAAGTTGAATTGTAATAATTTGAGTGTGCAGTCAAAGCAATTTTCAATACTATGTATCACTATAGAAACAAGGGAGAATGTCTTGGTTAACTATTTAAGTGGCTTGAGTATGGCAATTAAAATTTCATCTAAGCTCATTTTGATGAATCTTGAAGGTGACATTTATTTCTTATGCTCTGAACATCGTAAGTTCTGTTGATTTTTATGGGAAGTTTTCAAGGTCATTTTCAGAGATCTATGACAAAATGACATTATTTGAGAAAAAAAAGAAGAAATAGCTCGAAGTTTAAAGCATTATGGTATTCCCTAAGCCCAAAATTTTCTCCCTTTACAAAAACAAATGAAAGGCAAAATAGACAAACAAAGAAACCATCAAGAATACCTTGAATCACTGTTGGTGCGAATGAAAATTAGTTCGACCATTGTGGAAGACAGTGTGGAGATTCCTCATGGATCTAGAATCAGAAATCCCATGACCCAGTAGTCACATTACTTGGTATATACCCAAAGGAATATAAATCATTCTATTATGAAGACACATGCACACATATGTTTATTGCAGCAGCTATACTATTTATTATAGCAAAGACATGGAACCAACCCAAATGCCCATCAGTGATAGACTAGATAAAGAAAATGTGGTACATATACACCATGGAATACTATGCAGCCATCTAAAGAACCAGATCATATCCTTTGTAGGAACATGGAAACCACCATCCTCATCAAACTAACACAGGAACAGAAAACCAAACACCTCATGTTCTCACTCATAAGTGAGAGTTGATCAACGAGAACACATTGACACAGGGAGGGGAACAACACACAGTGGGGCCTGTTGGGGCGTGGGGGGAAAGGGGAGGGAGAGCATTAGGACTGATATCTAATGCATGCAGCTTAAAACCTAGATGATGGTTTGATAGGGGCAGCAAACCACCATGGCACATGTATACCTATGTAACAAACCTGCAAATTCTGCATATGTATCCCAGAAATTAAAGTAAAATAAAATAAAATAAAATAATAAAAACAACAACAAAATGTACCTTGAATCTCCAAAATAAGTTAAGACAAATAGTTAAAATTGAGCATGCTTTTATTAGAAGAAGAAAATGTCATTGAAAATATAACAGATAATTTATAGATGGGAACATACGTAAAAACGTATAAGTACTTAGATCTGCTAGATAAAGTGAGTCCCAAATGATAAGGTTACAAAAATAATGTTTTTTTTGTAGAATATGTGTTTTCAATGAGAAAGTGTTGCAAAAGTCAGTCATACAGATTGGTAACTTTTATGTTTATTTTTCAAAAGCAGCTCAAAATAGTTCTTTAGATTCTGTAACACCACGGTGTCCTAATTTTGCTCCTAAAATTTTGTCACAAAATTTTAAATTCACTTGCAAATTGATCTTCATTTAATCTTCCTCTAGGTGTGTAAGCTAAATCAGAGATCTGCATGAACTGCTTATTACTCTTTCATGCTATACATTCTCCCTAGGTAATTTTGATCACTGCAATCTTTTCCATCATCATTTCTACTTGAAGACTAACTAATATAGGTAGAACAAATTTCAACTTCTAGACCTATATGCTTTCCAGATATCTCAAATAAAAGATAAAATTTGGGGAGATATACCATGTTCATGATTTTGAAATAGTCAAGACTGTGTGATATTGTCCTCAAGAAAGACTAAATAGATCAACAGAACAGAATAGAAAATACAAAAACAGATTTACACATATAGTTAAAATCTTTTTTTTTAAATAGCAAGTCAATTCATCAGGGAAAGTATCAGCTTTGAAGAAATGGAAGAGTTTTCAAAGCAAGAAATGTAAAACAGTTGGGTATTTATAAGCAATAGAAAAACAAATTTGATTCATAGCTTGCAAAATATATAAACATTAATAAAAAGCCAACCTGAATGTATTGAAATCTTAGATATAAACATAAGATAAATCTTTGTGACCTTAGTTGAAACAAATAAATGCTGTATATGACATTAAACATTTAATTTGTAAAATAAAATATTAACTTGAACTTCTTCAAAAGTGAAAATTTTTACTCTTTTTTAAAAATTATTATACTTTAAGTTCTGGGAAACATGTGCAGAATGTGTAGGTTTGTTACATAGGTATATACATGCCATGGTGGTTTGCTGCACCCTTCAACCCATCATCTATTTTAGGTATTTCTCCTAATGCTATCCCTCCCCAAGCCCCCCACCCCCTGACAGGCCCCAGTGTGTGATGTTCCCTTCCCTGTGTCCATGTGCTCTAATTTTTCAGCTCCCAATTATGAGTGAGAACATGCGGTGTTTGGTTTTCTGTTCCTGTGTTAGTTTGCTGAGAATGATCGTTTCCAGCTTTATCCATGTCCCTGCAAAGGACATGAACTCATCCTTTTTTATGGCTGCATAGTGTTCCATAGTGTATATGTGCCACATTTTCTTTATCCAGTCTATGATTGATGGGCATTTGTGTTGGTTCCAAGTCTTTGCTATTGTGAACAGTGCTGCAATAAACCTACGTGTGCATGTGTCTTTATACTAGAATGATTCATAATCCTTTTTCTATTTAGTAATGGGATTGCTGGGTCAAACGGTATTTCTAGTTCTAGATCCTTGAAGAATCACCACACTGTCTTCCACAATGGTTGAACTAATTTACACTTTCACCAACAGTGTAAAAGTGTTCCTATTTCTCCACATCCTCTCCAGCATCTGTTGTTTTCTGACTTTTTAATGATCACCATTCTAACCAGAGTGAGATGGTATCTCATTGTGGTTTTGATTTGCATTTCCCTAATGACGAATGATGATGAGCTTTTTTTTCACATGTTTTTTGGCCGCATAAATGTCTTCTTTTGAGAAGTGTCTGTTCATATCCTTTGACCACTTTTCGATGGGGTTGTTTGTATTTTTTCTTGCAAATTTGTTTAAGTTCTTTGTAGATTCTGGATATTAGCCCTTTGTCAGATGGATAGATTGCAAAAATTTTCTCCCATTCTGTAGGTTGCCTGTTCACTCTGATGATAGTTTATTTTGCTGTGCAGAAGCTCTTTAGTTTAATTAGATCCCATTCATCAATTTTGGCTTTTGTTGCCAATGCATTTGCTGTTGTAGTCATGAAGTTTTTGTCCATGCCTATGTCCTGAATGGTATTGCCTAGGTGTTCTGCTAAGGTTTTTATAGTTTTAGGTCTTATGTTTAAGGCTTCAATCCATCTTGAGTGAATTTTTGTATAAGATGTAAGGAAGGGATCCAGTTTCAGTTTTCCACTACCCAGTTTTCCCAATACCATTTATTAAATAGGGAATCCTTTCCCCATTGCTTGTTTTTGTCAGGTTTGTCAAAGATCAGAGGGCTGTAGATGTGTGGCTTTATTTCTTAGGCCTCTGTTCTGTTCTGTTGGTCTACATAACTGTTTTGGTACCAGTACCATGCTGTTTTGGTTACTGTAGCCTTGCAGTATATTTTAAAGTCAGGTCACATGATACTTCCAGCTTTGTTCTTTTTGCTTAGGATTGTCTTGGCTATACAACCTCTTTTTTGGTTTTGTATGAAATTTAAAGTAGGTTTTTCTAATTCTGTGAAGAAAGTCAATGGTAGCTTGATGGGGATAGCATTGAATTTATAAATTACTTCAGCAGTATGGACATTTTCATATTGATTCTTCCTATCCATGAGCATGGAATAGTTTGCCATTTGTTTGTGTCCTCTCCTATTTCCTTGAACAGTGGTTTGTAGTTCTCCTTGAGGAGATCCTTCACATCCCTTGTAAGTTGTTTTCCTAGGTATTTTATTCTCTTTGTAGCAATTGTGAATGGGAGTTCACTCATGATTTGGCTCTCTGTTTGTCTGTTGTTGTTGTATAGGAATGCTTGTTATTTTTGCACATTGATTTTGAATCCTGAGATTTTGCTGAAGTTGCTTATCAGCTTAAGGAGATAAGCTGAGACGATGGGGTTTTCTAAATATACAATCTTGTCATCTGCAAACAGAGACAATTTGACTTCCTCTCTTCCTGTTTGAATACGCTTTATTGCTTTCTCTTGCCTGATTGCCTTGGCTAGAACTTTCAATACTATGCTTAATAGGAATGGAAAAGGGCATTTAAAAATAATTTTTTAAAAACTATGAACTGAGAAAACATTTGAATAGCATATATCTTATTGGCCAAGAAAGGTTTATCTCATCAGGACTAATGTTTGTCTTTAGAACTGGCACTTGGCTGGCTTTTGGAAGATAACCTGTGGGCCCTTAATATATTCTGCCTGTTGACAGTGTTTCTATACATCTTTGGCTTTAGAGTACAGTGCACAAGTGGTTTTCAGCGTCTGAGGCCTTGGACCATGCTGTGCTCATTTGAACAGATAAGCTTATCCTAACAATATAATTTAGAGTCAATGGCTATATTTTCTCTGACAGATGCTGTAGTCTGAGTAGCTGAAATCACTCATATAGGCACCACCTTACATGACTGATGCCCAAGTAAAAGCCCTGGAGACCAAAACTTAAATGAGCTTCTCTGATTGACAACACTTCAATATGCTGTCAAATATTGTTGCTGGGAGAATTACGTGTGTTCTTATGGGATTCCACTGGGAGAGGACACCTGAAAGCTTGTACCTGATATCTTCTACATTTCTCCCCATGGGCTTTTTTTCTTTGTTGATTTTAATCTGTATCTTTTCATTGTAGTAAACTGTAACTATGAATGTAACGTGTTTTCTAAGACCTGTGAATCATTATAGTTAATCTTTGAGCCTAAGGGTGGTCATAAGGAGCCCCAACACATTAATAAATTACTTTCATAAAGAATATATAAAAGCTGTCAAAAATCAAAAATAAAACAAATCACCCAATTTTTTAAAAGGCAAAAGATTGAAAAAGATGTCATGATAGAAGACATGGATGACAAATAAGTATATCAAAAAATTTTAACATCTGTAGTCATTAAAGAATTGAAAACCACAAAGAAATACTACTGATAGTTATTACAATGTCCAAAGTGAAAAAAAATATTGACCCTACCAGGTATATGCAACAAAATGGAGGAACTGAAACTTTAATATACTTTTGATTGACAACCACTTTGAAAAATAGATAGATTGACAGCTTCTTAAAAAAGTAAACCTACGCTTACCACTTAATCTAGTCATTTATCTTCTAGATATTTCCCCCTCGAAAAATGAAAAAGAAATTGTTGTATATAAATATTCATAGGCATTTTCTCTTTAATAGCTAAAAAGTGGTCATGACCCACATATTCATTAACAAGTAATTGGTGATATATACATACAGCAAAATTCTGCTCAGCAATAAAAAGGTTCGACTACTGACACATGCAACAACATGAATGAATTTCAAAAGAATTTTGCTGTAAAGCAAAAATGCCAGCCAAAAAATAGTGCACCTTATATGATTCCATTTATATAAAACTTCTGGATGCACCAATATACAATATACAGTAATATACAATACTGAAAGATGGTCAGCAGTTGTCTAGCTAAGATGCTTATTAGGAGAGACAATAATTGCAAAAGGGGATTATTAAAAGTAGTCATGAGGAAACATTTTGTGGATTTATATGTTCACTATCTTGACAATAATGATGATCTCACGGATGTATAAATATGTCAGAGCATATCTAATAATCTATCTTACATATTTTTGGCTTTTAATATGTTAATTATAGCTCAATAAATTTTTTAAAAACTCATTGGACTCTATCTGTAATGTGTGTATGTTTAGTTTTAAGTAGAGTGCAGCTAAATTTTTCTCCACCATTACAATTTTCAAACATACTTTCACTTACAGAATAGCATACTGAAAATTAACACATGCTTTTATAATTATAAATAAAATAGTAATATATCATTTCTGCTGAAATAAATGCAAACCAATTACAAGGAATTTATTAGTTTTTATTTTAGTTACTTCATATATATTAGCATCTAAGCCTCAAAGATTCACTATGTAATTGTGTAAATTAGTAGTAGGGTTACCTGAATCTGGCTTAATAGTGAATTAATCAGTATTTATCTTTAAACATTTTTTCCTTTATGAATTGTGTCACACTTTTAAAGAGCCCTTCCTACATTACAAGCATGTATAAAATATATTCTTATACTATTTTAGAATAATTTCAGAAGTTAGATTGTTTTCTAGATTTAGTGTTTTCATTGATACCAAATTTATTTTTATGTACATAAATGTATGATTTTAAGTTAGATTATTTCAAACTGGTATCCCTGCAATTATCTGAACAAAATTTTTAAGTAGTCACATTGACTTTTTTTTTCAAAAGTTAGTTTTAAGCTATTTGATAACATATGGATCTACTTCACTAAAGTTGTATTTTTGTGTGTAATTCTTTAACCCATCTGGAGATATTTTGGTTGTTTTTCGATCAGATAGCCAGTTAAACCAGAAAGAAAAATCTTACCAAAAAGTTTCCACTTAGAAAATTTAATAGCCAAAAAAACTAATATATGCAAGAATGAACAAAAACATATTGATAAAAGTTATACATCATATTTTTATTGAAATATTTCATAATGAAATGTTTCACATGGTTAAAGAACTACAAATTCATCCAGTGTAAATAAAAACTTCATGGGAAATGTATAATATATGAGGGATTATTTGATATCTGAAAAAATTAGATAGAAAATAAATGCTTAAAAACTTCTAGAAGGTAATCCAGTAGAATATTTATCAGCTTAGGCTAACAAATGATATAAACATGATTAAAGAAGAGCTAAACTTGAATAAAAATATTAAGTTGATGACAAGTGTAAAACACCATTCTTCAAAATATGCAATTACAAATAGGAAAGTGCTAATAGGAGAAAAAATAAGATGTTTATAATGCAAAAAGTATTAACATTCAAAACTGTTGATAATATAAAGAAAGATATTATAAGGAAAAGTATTCCAGTAGTAGAGTAACCTAAATATAAGGCAATTTGAAGAAAGAAAAGAGGAATCATGAATAGGTTTATCAATCCTGATTCCATCTCACCAGTGATTAGACTGGTAAATAAGAAAATGTGTGATAATACCAAGGGTAATAAAGATATATTTCATTTACATTTACAGTGCTGGTAAACATACACTGTACAACCACTTTGGAGAAAACTTGGAAGTACCTAAAATGTGAAAATGTACAGTTGCTCTTGATCCAGCAAGGGTACCTCTGAGTATATATTGTGGAAAAATTCTCACACATGCATACACAGTGAAACATGTATGAGTGCTTATAGCAGCATTGTTGGGATTTTCTTTAAACCCTAGATTTGACCTATATATCTATCAGTAGAGAATCAAAATATAATTCAAGCTATTGTTATACAGTGGGATATAGTACATCACTGATAATTAATACAAATTAATATTATGAACCACTCAAGTTTCAATCAAATATTAGGTCATGGTATAATGAAATTATAAAACTATTTAGAGTTAAAAACAGGCAAAAATGTCATATTTATTTTAGAATTCATAATTGAATAGTAGAAGAAAGTAAAAATGCATAGGAATCATCAACATGAAACACAGGAAAAATAAATGAAACATAGGCAGGTGATTGTCTGCAGAGCAAGAAAGTAGAGTTTATTAAGGAGGGCAGTATGAGAACTATCTAAGATATTTTAGGATAAGAAGCAGTTTTGTGAATTTGAATTCATTAAATAACGCTTTCTATTTTGTTTTGTTATTCATCATTTAACTTTTTTTAAAAATATAAAGAATTCTCATAAGTATTTTTAAACTAGAAGACAAATAAGTGGAATGAAACATCTAAATGTCAAATTTTGGTGTGTACTTCCTATTAATTTCTAAGCAGGGACACCTGGCAAACAGAAATAACTCTGAGGACATGTGGGATTTTGAATTTTTGGACACCTCTGTAAAGTTATTTGGCAAGCAATAATAATAGCTACCACTTATTTATCAAGTGTTTACTAATGTACTAAGCATTGCCATATATGGTTTATTACTTCTATCCTATTTAGTATTCAAATCAATATGATGTCTATTTTTGTTCTGTTTTAAAAATAAAGAAGCTAACATGTCCAAGCCACATATTTAGTAAGTATTGGAACTACATCAAAACAAGAAAGAAACATTTCAATGGTTTATCCTACTGTCTACTTCCTAAAGGAAAATTATAAATTTACAGTAACTGATCCAAATACATTTCCAGAGTTACTTTGGCTTTCACAGTGTTGGCCAGCACAATGTGTTTTTTGTTTGTTTGTTTGCTTGCTTCCTTGTTTTTAAATTGAGAACATTCCCATAGTTGACTATTTCAATATTTAATTCTCCAATCTTGTATTTTTGGTTTATCTTGATAAACATCAAATAAGGTGGAGGCAGTTTACACTGAATAGACTTAAGAAGCTGATCTTCACAAGAAAGTTCAGATGCTTCATTTTACCACAATTTCTCCACTGCTTAGTTTTATTACACCTAGTCCATATCACGCATTTGGGTTACTTGCCTGGCTCATCTATGACAGAAAAGAAGGAAAGGAGAAAGGAAGCAAAAGAGAATAAAGAACCTAAATAAGTGCTATTCATCTATTCAGAGCTATTTCAAAAAATTAAGTGAATGTTTTCTTCAGTATTCTCAGTCAAATCTTGCTTCATACTTATTATAAATACCCTGAAGGAGTCATACCAATGTGTTCTCTGTAAATGCCATGAACAACACTTTGTTTTTGTATAACGGTTTTCATGACTATTGTATTAATAGCACATTTAATAATATTTCAATAGGTCAAAATTATGTCATATGTTTTCTTACAAATTTTTGTCATTTTTTAGAATTAATGCTACAGCCCAGAAAATAAATATTATTATGAAAGCTTGTTTGTAAAAAATTTCAGTAATTTTATATCTTTTTGGTAAGATTAGTGGCTTCTATTGTATATATTTACAATGGATATCAATGTTGATATTGAGTTATCCAATCTAATATTCTTAATAGCTCTAGCTTGAACTATGAATGGTAGATGACTATGTTCTGTACGTATACCAATATGAGTATTTTTCTATGTTAAAGATTTTACTAGAATCCTTAAATAAACCATAATCATCTAATATGATTTTCTGCTGGAATTTATATAATTTATTATCATAAAAAGATATTGAATTGCTCAGATAAAAATTTTAACTTCTATAAATCTTAATATATAAAAATATGGTCTTCTTCAACAAATTGACATTGCAAATTGGTTTAGAATATCCTTAAATAATTATAGCTTTACTTTCAAATAAGCTACTTTTGCAAATTGTTATCATTTTTAACTTAACTTTTGTGTTTTGTTTTTTGTTTGTATTTATGTCTTCCCCAAATGTCCTCTTTTTTTATGCAAACGTAGAGAAGGCAGACACCTAGAATTCCATCCTAGAATTAAGACGTGACAATAAACTTTGATTTTGTAAGTGCATTGTACGCTGACCTAATAGAAGATGAAAAGTGGAAAAATTTGCACAATGAGTTCAAGAACTCTGAGGAAAAGTATTCAAACAGTCTGGTTATGAAAACCTTATTAAGTGGAAATTTCATACCAAACAAGGCTGCACAGCTTGGAAAAGCCCTGCACTTAAAATTAACTTCAGCCGGTGATGTGCTGAGGCTCTTGACTCAAGTACAGGCACACGGGCTGGCTATGATTTGGAGAAACATGGTAAGTCATATGAATGTTAGTTGATAACTAATTTTATTGTTCATGTGCGGAGGACATAGGGTCAAATGTGCCCCAAGAAGACCTCGAGAAAATATATGTGGCTCTGGATACAGACCTCATGTGACAAAAGGAAGCAATAACCAGGAAAAACTGATTCTCTCTGCTTATCATTTAGAACAATCAAAATAAGTTTGAAATGAAAAAAACTCTAGGGGTTTTGAAATTGTTAAACTGGCATGTACATACTAAAAGGGAGCCAATAAGGAAATTACTACTAATAGGGCATGGGGGAAAGCAGATCCAAAGTTCTAATTAATGTTTTAAAATGATGGTATCCATTTGCCGATTTTAAGATAAGTCCATACTGCTGAAAATTGCTCTATGTTTCTTATCACATTTATCTATGTCAGCATTTATTTTACTTCTAAATTTAATTACAATTTTTAAATTCCATTATACAAGTTATCTCACATTTAACTATTTGTTACCTTTCCTTCTCATCTTACAATATTACTTCTCTACCTGTCAAACTATATACAGTCCAGTTCCTATTCCAATTATGGCTATAATTGCAGTACAATTAATCAATTAATTAACAAAGCATAGCAAAAAATCAAAAGAACTTTAAAAAATTATGTATAATTGTGATCAATATGGATGTTTTTAAATATGTTCAACTATTTATACTATTTTCCTTCTCAAAGAATCATCAGAATGCTGAACACATAAAATAAACATTGGATAAATTAAAAATAATTTTTCATTCTAAACAATCTAATTTAAGTATAGTTCCTATTTAGACTTAACCATAACACTTTGAAAAACTTGAAAGAATTCACTGATTTTTTATAAAATTTAAAATTAATACATATTACACAATTTGTAATATATATTTTTACTTTGAACATGAGGGCATTTTAAATGGAGCTTCTTTGAAATATAATTCACATATAAAAATTTCAGAAAATTTTAAGGACCTTTTTCTTTTTACTAATGCTTTGATTAGGATTTCAGTCTGCATACAAATTTGTCAAGATTTTAGCTGATACTCATTCAGGAAACTATTTTAATAGATCATTACCTTTCCTTATCTCTCAATGTCATTAGATATGTACATTTTAATCTTAATTTCTAGGACAAATATACTTATCTTTTTCTGATTATGTGCCTCTAAGTTTGATAAAAAGTTCTTGATGCAACCAGTGGACTCAACACTTCTCCTTACTTTGCATTTATAATAATAGGCTTATAGCAGTTTTTTTCTCCAAATTAAAGTATAAATATTTAATTTTTACTTTTAATTTTTAAACGTTACTCAATAGTATGTTTATAAAATGACTTCTGGAAAAACATGTCTATTTTCTATCATTTATCATGTCATAATTGAGAGAAGCAAGGACCCAAATTCATTTAATTATAACACATAAAACTGAATAAATATAGATGACAGATATGTGTTCTTTGTTTTTACATATCTGTTGTAAACCATATTACTCAGATTATCTCACTTCTTTCAACTTTTCTAATAAAAGCAATTACCATACCTATGTGGAATGTATTTTAATAGTAATTCATTTTAATAAAAGTTATATATTTTTAGGAGGTCAAAATAGAAATTTCAATTTATGAAATGTTGACTTTTTAATCTTATTGACATATTTTCTGGAGGCAAATTGTAGAACTATTTGAATAGCAACAGAAATTTCCAGTGGAGAGACAGTCAGATACGAAACTTCCGTGAGAAAACTGTATTTATCAGTGACTGAAAATCCTTGGATTAGGACCTAACTCCCACCTACTTGTTCTTGTAGATACTCTGTCTAAATACAGATATAGATAGATACAGATACAGATACAGATATAGACATAGATACAAGTACAGTTACATAGAAAAATAATATTATAAGATATCCTGAAATATATATAATATGTTAGTTTCTAACATTGTTTTAAAAGTTAGTTGTTTAACCAATCAAAGCAGAAACAACTTAAACAGACTTTACAAAAATTCATCAGATTTAATAAAGTTGTCTATTCGAAGATAGGGACTTTTTTCTTTTTTAAAAATTAAATGAGAAAGCAACAATTGGTAAATTCAAATTCCTTTCTTATCAAAACACGTATTTTGAATTTTTATTGTTTAAAACAATATAGAATTTGAATTAATAGCTATCTTAGTAAGGAAATATCTTTCCTCAAGACTGCAATGTGCTATCTTGCATACAAAATTACCAAATAAACACAGTGACTGCTGATAAATTTCTACCTAATTATTTAATATGGTTCCCTTGAAAAATGAATGATTAAATGAATTAAACAACAGTTAAACAATTAGATTCAGTATGATATTATGTGCATACTGTACATACTTTTGTATTTTCAAGGTCAATCATTGCATAGAAAGAAATTAATTTTTTTAAGAAGTTAAAAATATAGTACTTAATCTTGAATAAATTTGTTAATAACTAGGGCACATTAAAATATGCCTCAAACGTAGTAAAATTACATTTTAACATTTATACAAGAGGTTGTCTAGAATATCACAAAAGAAAAATAACCTAAAAATAAAAACTTTCCCAAAACAAAGACTCAAAAGCAGCCCAAAACTGTTACAACAATAAAAATAATGCCACAATATTTGTTTCTATTTTAATTGAAAAAAGGAAAAGCAGATTTAGTTATTACTCTAAATAGATACTTTATTGTTGATTTTTCTAGATTTAATAGATTCAATAGTTTGAACTTAAAACCGTATTTCTCAATTTTACTCTAATTTTCTAACCTCAAACTTAAAACACATCATTTCCCTCTTTATTTTCCCACCAACCACACACACTAGCCATGTCATTCTATTTGTATTTACCTCATTCTTTTTCACATACTCTTTGTGTGTGATTCTGCTTTACCATCTTTTAGAATATCTTTTCTCAATTTTTCACCTATATCAAATATTGTTTTAATATATAGCATATTAATAGAAAAGCTAAGGTATAGTAAGGTAAACAGATCGGAAGACAATTGCCATTGAAAAGATACTCAGAATTTCCAAGAGAAGGGAGCATGTCACGCCAGGGGAGACTACAGGGAAGAACTCAGGTCCATCAGGAAACAGAGAGAGGGAGGAATTCACGAGCAAGACCCTAGACTGTGGTGTTTGCAGGAAGAAACCAAGCAGGGTAAACAAGCTTAGGACCGGCTCGTTTGAATAATTTCAGTGGGCTCTGGGGCATAAGAGCTGTCCCTGGTTCTCTGGTTTTTGGCCCTAGCGTGATTAGGACAGAAGCACAGTGGCCTGGAGTGTGACAGCCCTATAGAGTATTTGTTTGGGAATTGGTTAGTTTGTATTTGTAAAGCCCATCTTCATGCGGAGTTCAGGGGAGACTTCGTAGCCAGAAGCTGAGGCAGGGTGACTCCAGCATACTATCCATCTTCAAGAACAAGATGTGTCTGAATTGCTGTATGTTATAAAGTTTCGATGTCTAATAGAGCAAATCTTTCATCCTGTTGGTTCTCTTTGATTTAATTTGCTTTTTTTTCTCTCTAAGTACTGTTCTCGGAATAAGCCAATCTGATATGTGTGTCACTATTCCAAGGAATGAGTAGATCACACTTTATTTTTCTGCTTCTTGTGAACATTAATTAGTTCAGTTTTCTGAAATTTTCAATGCTATTGTGATTTTTTAAAATTAACAATGCTACTTTGCTTATTGTGTACTTGTCACCAGAAATGCAAGAGCTAAGATGTCTCTGGAAATGGAATTCCTGGGTCACAGGGTTGGCACATGATCAACATTATTAGATAATGTTAAATTGTTGTACAATGTAATCACATTAATTTGTATGCCAATAGTAGTATATAAAAGTTTGAATTGCCCTACATCCAAACTCACACAAAAATAAATGCAGTCTAAAAATTTATAATGTGATGTATATGAAATTATATTTTGGGCTGGGCGCAGTGGTTCGTGCCTGTAATCCCAACACTTTGGGAGGCCAAGGTGGGCGGATCAACAGAGGTGAGGAGTTCAAGACCAGCCTGGACAACGTGGGGAAACCCCGTCTCTACTAAAAATACAAAAATTAGCTGGGCATGGTGGTGCGTGCCTGTAATCCCAGCTACTTGAGAGGCTGAGGCAGGAGAATAGCTTGAATCCAGGAGGTGGATGTTGCAATGAGCTGGGATCATGCCACTGCACTCCAGCCTGAGTGACAGAGTGAGACTCCCTCTCAAAAAAAAAAAAAAAAATTGTATTTTGTTGTTTTATAGTTTTAATTTGAATTAATAATAAGCTTTGGTACCATTTCATATATTTTAACTTTTTTATTATTTAAAAAGTCTGCTTATGTATTTTCCTATTTTAATTTTTATGTCTTTTTCTAAATCCTTAACAGAAATTAATTGTATCATGAATTTTAATAGATTGTTATGTACTTGCAAATGTTGCCATGCTGTTTATGATGATTTTTCATTTTACCAATGGTGATTTAGAAGGAACAGATACTCTTGATATAAGTGGGACCAAACTTACAAATCATCTTGCTCCAGTCAGTTTTTGTGCTGGTTTGAAAATTTTTTTCATACTCTGAGATTCAGGCTAAATTGCTTTTAAAATTTTAAAGCTTTGTGTTTCAAATTTATATTCTTGATGAGATGTATAGAGTGAGAATGAGATACATTGTCTTTTTATTATAAACAATCTTGCTTTAGTAGCTACTGAAGTTTACTTTTGAAATTGTATTTCTTAAATATTTCTGTTAATTATAGAAAATTGATTTTGTATTCTATTTTATATCCATTAACTTTGCTCATTTAGTAATTCTAATAATCCTAGGCATTCTCCACAATGCATTGTAAGATAATGTATACATTTCATAGGATGACAATTTTTAGGTACACTTAATGGTATGGGACTATAGATTATTGGAATTTTCTTTGGTTTAAAATTGGCAAACTATTTTTAAGGGGAAGTTGTTAACAATCACTTTCTACAATATGTGACTCTCTCTTCAAAGAGTAAATCAGAGACAAATCTTTTTTTTCAAATTTCTTTTTTTGAAAATCAATAATAATGACCCTATTTTTTAGTTTGAATGGATTCTCATTAATTTAAAATGCAAATATTTTGGACTAAATGTTTGTGTCCCTCCCACCCCAAATTTAAATTTTGAAGCCCTAATCCCCAGTATTATGGTTTTGGAGATGTGGGCCTTTGGAGGTCAAAAGGTTGAGATGAAACCATGAGGATGGAGTCCTCATGATGGAATTAGTGAATTTATTATAAAAGACACAGAAGAGCACTTTCTTGTATACTTCCTTTGTCTCTGTCTCTCTGTGTGTTTCTCTATCTCTCTTCCCTTTGGGAACACAACAAAAGGTATCTGTGTGACAAGCATGAAGAATACCCTCAGCAGAAACTGACTATGTGTATGCTGATCGTGTACTTCTTAGCCTCCAAACTATGCGGAAAAAATTTTGTTGTACAAGACACCAAGTTTATTGCATTTTGTTACGGCAGCCTGAGCAGTCTAACAAGAAAGCAATAAAAAGTATAAGTAATTAAGATGAAACTAAATTTATCATCCAAATTCTCACCATAAAGAAATAACCATTTTCAAAATATGTAGAACAAGATTTTACATATTTTCCTAAAGTTTATAGACAGAGATAATTGATAAAGATTTTATACAAACTGACTATTAAGAAATGATTGTATTTAATTATAACAGAAGATAAAAATAATTTTGTATAGAGAAACTGATTAACGTTTATGCATATTTGTTCTTAAAGTACATTCAAAGTTAAGAGAACAGATTATAAAATCATAAGTTAGAGTTCTTATAGTATAGGTTTCTTACAAGAAGGGAAGAAAGCAAAATAAATTTAACACAACTAAAGCAGATCTTGCAGAATGTGATTCATATATGGACATGAGTCAGCTTCCTAAACCTGAATCTCAGTGTTATATAGATGAACCCACTCAGACAGAAACAACATTGAACTAGAACAGAACTCCTTTGACAGGCAATGCACATGTTTTTAGGAGAGCAGACTGTAAGCTTTCTCTGAGCCTCAGAGAGGCAGAAGGTAAGAATGATTCTGGGTTATGCATCCTCAAGTTTTTGTTTAAACTCTCTGAATAAGTACCTCATTCCATTTTGCCGGGGCAAAGTGAGTGGATGGGGAAAGTAGGCCAAGGGCATTATGTGAATGGGTCACTTCAAAGGGAAAAACATATCTGAAACATGGTAGAAGCACCCCATAACTACTTTTTCATGCCTTTGGCCTATTGGACTTAACCATTATAGCAATGATGACTCAAAAACTACACTAAAGCAGTGTTAAGAGGAACATTGACGGTGCTAAATGCATTCATCAGGGGGACAAAAAGGTCTCAAGTTAATGACCTAACATAGCAACTAGGGGAATTAGAAAAAAAGCAACAGAAAAGACCCAACCCCAAAGCTAGTAGAAGAAAAAAAATAACTGAAGTCAGAGAACTGAAAAAAAATTGTTATCTAAAAGTCCACACAAAAGATGAAGCCAAGAGTTTTTTTAATAAACAATACTGATAGATCATTAGCTAGATTAGCAAAGAAAAAGAGAAGATCCAAATAAGTATAATCAGAAATTATAAAGATTATATTAAAATTGATCCCATGAAAATACAAAAGATATGCAGAGACTATTATGAGCACCTCTCTGCACACAAATCTAGAGGAAATGAATAAATTCCTGGAAACACACAATCTCCCAAGATTGAATCAGGAAGAAAGTGAAAACCTGAACGGACCAATAAGAAGTTTGGAAATGGAATTAGTAATAAAAACCTACGAAAAAAAATAAAATAAAAGCCCTGTAACAGATGGATTCACAGCTGAGTTCTATCAGAGGGGCAAGGGAGAAATGATACCAATCCTACTGAAATGTCTCCAAAAAATCAAGGAGGAGGGGCTTCTATCTAACTCATACTACAAAGCCAGCATTACCCTGTTACCAAATCTGGCATAGACCACGGAAAAAGAAAAAAGAAAACTACAGATCAATATCTCTGATGAAAATACAAGCAAAAATTGTCAAACCAAATCCAGCAGCACATCAAAAAGTTCATTCACTATGACTAAGTAGGGTTTATTCCTGGGATATAAAGTTGATTCAACATATGCAAATTGATAAATGTGATTCACCACATAAACAGAATCAAAAACAAAAAACATAGGATCATCTCAATAGATACAGAACAAGCCATCAATAAAATTCAACATTCCAGCCAGGCGCGGTGGCTCACGCCTGTAATCCCAGCACTTCGGGAGGCCGAGACGGGCGGATCATGAGGTCAGGAGATCGAGACCACGGTGAAACCCCGTCTCTACTAAAAATACAAAAAATTAGCCGGGCATGGTGGCGGGCGCCTGTAGTCCCAGCTACTCGGGAGGCTGAGGCAGGAGAATGGCGTGAACCCGGGAGGTGGAGCTTGCAGTGAGCTGAGATCTCGCCACTGTGCTCCAGCCTGGGCAACAGAGTGAGACTCCATCTCAAAAATAAATAAATAAATAAATAAATAAATGAAATTCAACGTTCCTTTTATGATAAAAACCCTCAACAGATTAGGCATTGAAGGAACATACCTCAAAATAATAAAACTATCTATGACAAACCCACAGTCGCCATCAAACTGAACAGCAAAAGCTGGAACCACACCCCTGGAGAACTGAGACACGACACAGATGCCCACTTTTACCACTTCTATTCAGCATAGCACTGAAAGTCCTAGTGAGAGCAAACAGGCAAGAGAAAGAAACAAAAGCCATCCAAATAGGAAAAGAAATTAAACAATCTCTCTTTGCCAATGCTGTGATTCTACACATAGAAAACCCTAAAGTTTCCATCAGAAGGCTCTTTGAACTGACAAGTGAATTCAGTAAAGTTTCAAGAAATAAAAACATTGTAGGAAAATAAGTAGCATTTTTATGAACCAAAATCATTGCAGCTAATAACCAAATCAAGAACACAATCCAATTTACAATAGCCACAAAGAAAATGAAATACCTAGGAATTCATCCAACCAAGGGGGTCAAAGACCACTACAAGGAGAAGTACAAGACACTGTTGAAAGAAATCAGAGATGACACATAAATGGAAAAATATCCATGCTCATGGATTGGAAGAATCAATATTGTTAAAATGGATATACTGCCTAAAGCAATTTACAGATTCAATGCTATTCCTATCAAAATACCAATGTCATTTTTTAAATAATTAGAATGAAACCTATTATAAAATTCATCTGGAACCACAAAAGAGCTTGAATAGCCAAAGCAATCCTAAGCAAAAAGAAAAGCCAGAGGTATCACATTGCCAGACTTCAAACTGTACTATAAGGCTACAGTGATCAAAACAGCATGGTACTGATACAAAAACAGACACACAGACCAGTGGAAGAGAATACAGTACCCAGAACTAAATTTGCCCACTTACAACTATGTGACCTTTGAAGAAGCTGACAAAAACAAGCAATGGAAAAAAAATCCCTATTCAATAAATTGTGCTGTGGTAACTGGCTAGCCATATACAGAAGATTGAAATTGGACCCCTGCCTCTCAACATAGATGAAAATTAACTCAAGATAGATTAAAGATTTACGAGTAAGACCTAAAACTATAATAATACTAGAAGAAAATCTAAGAAGTACCCTTTTTGATATAGGCTTTGGCAAATGGATGACTGAGTTCCCGAAAGCACTTGCAACAAAAACAAAAATTGACAGGTGGGATCTAATTAAACTAAAGAGCTTCTGCCTACCAAAGGAAACTATCAACAGAGTAAACAGACAACTTAAAGAATGGGAGAAAATATTTGCAAAGTATGCTTCTCATTAAGGTCTAATATCCAGCATCTGTAAGGAATTTAAACAAATCTACAAGCAAAAAATCCAAAAAATCCACCTAAAAAATGGGCAAAGGACATGAACAGACATTTCTCAAAAGGTGTCGTAACAAGCAGACAAGAAACATTAAAAATTGCTAAACTTCACTAATCATCACATAAATTCAAATGCAAAAACCACAATGAAATACCGTCTCACACCAGTCAGAATGGCAATTATTAAAACTTACAAAAAACAACAGATGTTGAGAAGTCTGTGGAGAAATGGGAACGCTTATACATTGTAGGTGGGAATGCAAACTAGTTCAGCCACTGTGGAGAGAAGTTTTGAGATTCTTCAAATAACTTAAAATAGAACTACCATTTGACCCAGCAATCCCACTATTGAGTATATATACCCAAGGGAAAATAATTTATTTTATCTAAGAGACACATGCACCCGTATGTTCATTGCAGCACTATTCACAATACCAAAGCAATAGAATTAACCTAAGTGTCCATCAATAGAGAATTGGGTAAAGAAAATATGGTATGTATACATCACAAAAAACAATGCAGCCATAAAAATGAACAAAGTCATGTTCTTTGTGGCAACATGAATGGAGCTGGAGACCATTATCCTAAGTGACCTAATAGAAGAACAGAAAGCCACATACCACATCTTCTCACTTATAGATGGTAGCTAAACATTGAATACACATGTTAAGATGGGAACAATAGACATTGGGGACCACTAGATTGGGGAGGAAAGGTAGGGGTTGTGGGCTGAAGAACTACCTGTTGGGTACTGTGTTACTGCCTGGGTGGTAGGATCACTGGGACTCCAAGCCTCAGCATCACACAATTACTCATGTAACAGTCTTTCATTAACCTATAATAAAAGTTGAAATTAATTAAAAAAACAAAACAACTACATTGTTTCATTGCTCTAGATTTCTTTTTGTCTCCATTTAATTATGGAGAGACTTGCAGAGACAGAAATGACTGTCATGTGTTCTTATACACATAAAGCCCTAGAAACAGGAGCCACAGCACATCATGCACTGGGGCCATATGGGGAAGTACCAGAGTCAGTGAAGGCAAAAGGAGCAAGACTAAAGCATGAGCCAGAGCCTTTAATATGGTTTTCCTTGGAAGGAATGAGTGAGACAGTGTAAGCAGCTGAGCAGGTTTAAGACTGGGTAGTGTGAGTACTTTTTGTGTAATTTAGTCCCTAGTGTTCCAGCACCTGATTCTGGGGTGACGAAAGCAGAGGGATAATGTCCCAGACCACAGGAGCCATATAATAAGAGTCAAGTGAGGGTGTGGATTCTGGATTGGTTGGTTTGCATATAAATAACATGATCATAGGCAAGTTGTTTAGTATTTCTAGAAATTAGCTAACCCTAGGAGGAGCACTCTGCCTTGAAACCCATATGGTCTCAAGATGTCAAAGCAAAACAAAAACAATAACCATGATTAATACAGCAAGATGGAATAAGCTATATATTGCCTTAAGGAAGAAGTTACTTGGCTCTCTATGGCTGATCGTCATAACCTGAAAGATTTGTTCTCTTGACTTGAGTTGGACAACTGGGGTTTTATTTCTGAAGCATTTTATAGGAACTACTCATTGTTCTTGTTTTTGTCATAGTAGTCATGATGCTGGCCAATTGCATTCAACTCAGTCTTAACTTCCTTTTTATAGCAGCCCTCTCACCAGAAGATCGCCCTTACTACAAAACTGCAAAAAGTTCAAGAACATCTCATAATATGGTTGACAATAGAGACAACTAAACAGTCTCTAAGTCGTGAAGATTTGAATCTCTAAACTTCCCTGAATTGGCTTGGTCAATGCCTCACAAGCTAGTTAATGACAAAATGGGAGGAGGGGTAGCCAGACCATATATAAGAATAGAGTTCTGACCCACATCTTTGTAGCAACCAGCCTGGGAAGCCAAACCACAGCCTCTGCATCAACCAGCCCCAAATGAATAGGATTTAGTTAATGATTGCCAGGTTCCCTATTTTTGCCCCCGCTGCCAACTCAGGACCCATCAGAGAAAGTCAAGTATGCTTTCTGACTGATCACATAAGATGCTCCATTTCCCCTTATTTATTTAGTCCATCTTCAGCTTCCCCATACAACCTTAAGGCAGAGCATATCCAAAAGCTTTCCTTTTCCAAGTACAAAACTTTCCTATTCCTCAGCCTTTCTTTGAGTCTCTGCAAAACATATATGATGACAGCTGACTTTCTTGTTATAAAAAGTCTGAATAAATATAGATTCTCTCTGTTATTATTAGGTGTTATTTATTTCCACAATCTACAAAAAATCTTCAGGCAGGGTACTATTTAAAAGTGCAATATTGAAAAATTCCACATAAAATCAGGAAAAAAGAAATAATGTTCATCTCACTACTGTTCTTCTACACATTACTGTAAGCACTAACCATTATAAAAAGAAGAAAAATAAAGGGCATAATGATTGAATAGGAAAAACAAAATTGTCTTTACTTGAAAATGAGATGATTATGGAAAAAAACCTAAGGAATACATTTCAAAAGCTACTAGAACTAAATTATATATATATATATATATATATATATATATATATATATATATATATATATGAAATTTATAGCAAACAAGGTTAATATATGAAAGTGCATGTTGAGTGTTCCTTATCCAGATATCTGAAATCTGAAATGCTCTAAAAGCTGAAACTTTTTGAGAGCTGACGTGATGCTCAAGGAAATGTTCACTTAAGCATTACAGATTTTGGATTTCTGGATTAGCACTACTGAATTTGTAAGTATAATGTAAATATTCTGAAATCTGAAAATGATTTGAAATCTGAAATACCTCTGGTCCCAAGCATTTTTTAACTCACTATATGTGCTCATTTTTTTTTTTAACAAATACCTATTAAGCAGACACTATGAACAAAAACTGTGCAAACATTGGAAATACATAAGTAAGCAAGGCAGAAGGGCCTCTTGTATTAAAAATAAACGAAGGAGGACACTAGTTAAAGTGGTAAGGACAGATTTTAATCAGTAATAATGATTGCAACAGGGAAAAGAGTGCAGCATGAGTTGAATTCAACTTCAATTTGTATATTGGCAACTGATTGTTTTATTTTATTTTAGATTCTAGGGGTACATCTGAACGTTTGTCACATGGGTATACTGTGTGATGCTGAATATTGGACTTCTAATGATCTCATCACCCATGTGGTGGACATAAGACCCAATAGATAGTTTTTCAACAGTTGGCCAGCTCCCTCTCTCTTCCCTTTTGGAATCTCCAGTGTTTATGGTTCCCATCTTTGTGTTTTGGGGTACCAAATGTTTACCTCCTACTTATAAGTGAAAACGTGGTATTTAGTTTGCTGTTTTTGCATTAATTCGACAAGCATTTTGGATAAGCAGTTCTTAACCGGTAAAATGTGTTGTTGCATACTAATAATGAATCACTAAAACATAATAATAAATTCTATTCACAATAGAATAATCACAAGCATATAATTCTTAGGAATAAAGGCAACAAAATATGCGTAGTTCTTTTATCTAGAAGCTAAAAAATATTATTGAGAAATTTTAAGAAAAAATAGAAAACGTAGATCTATACATGTTCTTATTGATATGTTATTTATATTAAGATATCCATCCACCTTATATTGATCTACAAATGTATTTCAACTCTGATGAAAATCACATCAGATTTTACTGCAAAATAAAAATAAACAATGTGATGTCAAGATGTATATAAATATGCAGAAATACAAAGGAACATAGGTAACTTAGCCAATCTTGGAAAAGAATATAATCAAAGAAGTAACATTAAATTATTTTAAGATTTTTAAAGCTGCATGTTAAAAAATGGAGCATCCATAAATATGTTTATGTTTAACATAGATGATGAACTGATTTTCTATGAAGACAAAGGACAATAGAAAACACATATTTTTACAACATATCTGAAACAACTAGATAAATTTATGAAAATCAAATTAATTTTTTTATTTCTAACTTTTTCTGTTGCCCAGGCTGGAGTGGTGCAATCATAGCTCACTGCAGCCTCGAACTCCTGGGCTCAAGAAATCCTCCTTCTTCAGTCTCCTAATGCACTGGGGTTACAAATGTGAGTCATCATGCTTAGCCTAACGTCAATGTTTATCCCATATCATTTACAAATTTGCGATGAATCCAATTTGAGATGCTCATAAACATAAATATGAAACATAAATATAAAAACTAATACTATAAAGCATATAAGAGAACAATCTTGCATCTTAGGGAGGCAAAATATTACATCTTTAGGGAGGCAAAAATATTTCAGACAAAACAAACAGAAAATGTAGCCATAAAGGAAAAAATTATATAAATAGGGCTTCCTCAAAATAAGATTTTCTACTCATCAAGAGAAAGCATTGAAAAAAATTAAAAGGCAGGACACAGAATCAGAGGAATTATTTTTAATACATACAAATGACTTAGAAGATCTTAATAAGTAGTACTATTCAGTAATAAAATGTCTAACAGCCTCTCCCCAAATAGGCATGGGTCTTGAATATCTTACAAAGGAAGATATGCAATGTCACATGAACAGGCACTGGACATCATTATTCATTAGGAATATGCAAATATACATGACAATGACAGCCATTGCACATTCACTAGAAATTATTTAAAGAAATTTTAAAATACTGACAATACCAAAAATTATAGATATGTAGCAACTGGAAGTCTTTTTGTTTCTTAAGAGTGTAAAATGGGGCAAACACTCCAGAGAACAGTTAATTATTTTCTTATAAAGTTTAAAATATATTTTTCTTTGACCCAGTAAGTTTTTTCTCTGTTACGTATACAAAAGAAATAATAACTGATGCCACGATAAAGATTTATTCAAAACTTATTAGAACAGTTTTATTCTTAAAACTAAACCTTGAAACAACCCAAACAACCTTCAATAAAGGAATGGATACACGAATTGTATATATTCATACAGTGGACACTACAGTACTCAGAATTAACAACAACAACAACAAATCAGATATTGACGTGTAACAAAATGTCTGGGCCTCTATAAAATATTATATTGAATGAAATAAAAAAGTTGAATATCTATTCTTATTATGTTGAACAAATTAAAAAAAATTACATGGCATAAAGTTCCATTTATATGACATTCCAGAAGAGGCAAAACTAATCCATGGTTATGAAAATAAGAATGGATTAAAGATTTGATGTGTGAGTGAGATTTAAGTGGAAAGGCATGAAGGAATTTTTGAGGTGAGGAAAATGCCTGTAGCTTGAATCGGTATTGATTATATGGGTCTTTGTATTTGTCCAAAGTTATTGAATTGTAAACTTTAGATCTGTGCATTTCACAGTTTAAAAAAATTTGCCTCACCAGTGAAACTCTGTCTACCTAAAGTCTGCAGAAAGCATAACTCAAGAATTTAACATAAGGTCCCCTAATCACATGAAGGTAAGAAACAGCCATCTTTTAAACATTTAAAAAGTCAGGGGAATAAAAAATCCAGGAGTTTTTTTTTTTTTAATAACTATTAAACTTATGCCAGTGAAAGAAAATAAAATTAATTTTCACAAAAGTTGATACACATGACTGAGGATAAATCTATATTGATATTGTTGAGATTAAAATACAACGCAATTTTAATAAACATTTAAAACACGGACATGGTGTCCCTAACAATTTGTTGATAGGGGAGAGGATAATATAAAAATTAATTTTATGAATCCCACATAAGTACTTGTTAAAAACATATGCCTCTGTTCTTTTTATTTAGGAATCACTCACAGAAAGCACACATTCTTTGCTTCTGCACTAACTCTGGAATTCAATATTAGAAGGCTCAACTGCCATGAATATAAATCAAATTCATCTGCATCCCCTATATCAGACTAAATGTGTTTGTTTCTCAGTATTCTGCTATGTTCCTTGTATTAATTTTAATAGAATCAAAACTGAGATATGGAAGAGGATGTTATATATTGAACACCTTTTCTTCCATCTAGCATACCCAATATTTGCCGCATGGGCCAGAAATATGAGAATTAGAAATGCGTCTTTATTTGGGGTCCTTACTTCATTCACAATTCTAGATAGTCTTCCAGTTATGACAAAGTCTAAGAATTTTATTTTTAAATAAATTATTATCATATTTTTCTGTTACCATTTTTTGGTTGGTTTTCCATGCAGTTTGTGCCTACTTCCAGGAGGAAGACACCTACACACATTTACTCTTCTCTGCTTTCTTTACAAATTTGAATATGAAAAAGAGAGCCAGGAACTGCCAAAAGCTGGTTACTCCAAGACCCTAGGCATTCTGTCAAAATCTAACTTGGATGATCATGTAAAATACTTATCATTTTATTAATATCAGTATGTTCATTCAAATGGTAACAAGATTTTCACTTGATTTCTAAATCACTGATCTTAAGTGAAAAATATCAAAATAGAGGACTTCACAAATATTATCATTTAGAACATCCTCACTTTAAACAACCTAAAGTTATTTTTAATGTTGAATCAATCATACTCTGACCTTCTCCATAGGAAAGGAAAATGTAAATATCCCAGACAGCAGAGAGCAAACTGTCATAAAAATAAAACTGTACTTTCAAATAGCTGTAGTCCACAGCACAGCTCTAACCCAAATTGTCATTTCAACTGCTTCACATTATTAGAAAATACTTACCTTCTAGCTTTGAACATGAAAGAAAAGTACTCTTAGTCTATCAGTTTCCCTAACTAGGAGATTCATGTATTTGTTGGGGTCATATAAAGAAACTGATAGTGCAATTTAATAAGGATAATGCAGAGAGGATTTGGAGACTCTTTGCAAAGCTGTTGAAGGGATGAGAAAGAACACAAGAGACTGCAGTAACCTTTGGTTAGAGTGATTTTTATCACCCCTAGTTTGAAAGGGCCAGTGGCAAAGCAAGTTTACTAACTTTAGGATAAAGTAGACTCATCAGGAAAAGAGCAACCACCTAAGCTTAAGGGACAAAGCCAATCACCCCTGGGAAGCCAGTGTTAAAAATACTTGATCTTGCTCTCTGCTTTCCTGAGAATACAAATCATTCACTTTAACTCATTGAATTCACTCAGCAGTCAGAAGAAAAGGAAGCCTCTTGTTGGAATTCATACTAAGAAGATCAGAAAGTGTAGTGGAAAAGAGAGGACTAAAACTGCAGGTGCAAGTAGAAGTCAGTGACCAAAAAGAAGTGTATTTGTATTGTTCATTTGACCTCATTTATTTTAGTATGCAAGCGTATGCTTAAAAATATTTCAGCCTTCTTTTTACTATATATGCAATTCGTCATTATTTATTGAGAGATTATATATTCATCATTACTTCAATGATCTCATTTTTAGCTTTCCTCTTCTTTATTAATGGATGCAGTAACTTCTGGCATTCCCCTGAGAATATTAATTCTACTTATTTGGAAGTACTCTTTTTATTGCTCTCTGCTGTCTTTCTTTTGTATTTGATACATCTTTCATTTGCTTTATGTTATTTTAATCTTACCCTATGCACTTACAATGATGGCACTTCTCCGAATGACTGTTGATTTTCTTCCTTTCTTTCTTTTTTTCATGTTGTCTACATTTTTTTTTCAAGGTGAGTTTCTGCTAGACTGTTATTACTGAGCAATCCTTTGGTGGAGAAGGAGGTTCATGCTGCTACAGGCCACAATTTGCCTCATTTGCAGTCAGATCAGGCTTTTTGTCAGAGAGAGGACATGCCCATTAGGCAATATGTATTCAGATACTTCCAACTGATCGTTGCCTTTTCTTTCTGATTCAAATTCCCATTCTCAATATATTTACCTAATGTATGCCTCCATTTTGCCTTTTTAAGCAAGACTAAAAAATCAATACCCTTGAAAAAAATTGATTAATTTGGCTAACTTAAATTTAAAGTCTTCACTTCTAGCAAAATAGTTTTACTACATATTTTTTACTATGAGAAAATATGTAAACTATGTATATGAAAGCAAATCTATAAATAATTTAGAAAAATAAAAATATTTCAATAGAAAAGTGGGAAAATGTAAAAATAGGTACTTACTGGAAGAATCAAGAGATTAGTTCTAAAGACCTTAATTATTTATTTAAACTAATTTAATTAAAATTTTAAAAATAATTAAATTTTTCAATAATCAAGTAAAACAAATTAAACTTAAACAATAGAACCTTTTATTTTGAGATGCAAAAGCATGAATCAAAGACATCTGTAAAGCTTAAACGTATTCAGATTGTAAAGCTAACCCATGTAAACCAAACTAGGCCAGGAATTAGACTATATTAGCGCCCCAGACTCCCCCAAGTGTCCCTTCCTAAAAGAAGCTCCTCTCACCCTAAGTTTTATGTATAATTTTTTTGCTGTGCTTCAAAAAGGTATAGCATGTATGCATCTCTGAACAACATACCTTAGTGTTTTTTGGCCTGCTTTGATAATTACTATGAAATCCTCTTTCTGTATTATTTTGTGCCACACTCCTTTTGTTCAACATATGTTTATGAGTGACAGCCCTGTTGTTGCAAGCAGTTGTAATTTATTTATTTTCACTGCTCTATAATATTTGATTGTTTATATAGATGAGAATTTTCTATTTTATTCCTTATATACATTTGTGTTATTTTAAAGTTTGGTTGCTTAGGAGCAAAGTCAATATGAAAATACTTGGACATATGCTCTCAGAATTATATGCATAAGTTTATCTACAACATATAACTATCCAAGGAATTTTAGGAGCAAACATATGTGGATACTTATTTAATCACAGACTAACTTTTTTTCAAATCAGTTGTATCAATTTATACTTCTTCCTGTGGTACCTAAGATTTCATAAAATTATACTTTCAATCCATGGGTTTAGCAAAATAATTCAAAGTTTAATAATATCAAATTGACATCTGTAATTTAAGACCACTTTAGATGAAAATTTTTGATATCTATTAAATTTTACAACGTGAATAACTTATAAGCACAATTTTCCTTAACTCATCATCTGTCTTATGAAATACTAACATATGTGCAATAAAATGCAATAGGATGTCAATTACAGCTTTTTAAAAATAGTCAAAAGCCCATTAAATAGATTAAATGTCCACCAATAGAGAAATGGCTAAGTAAATATGACATATCTAAGAGTTAAAGAAATGATAAAGATTAACGTGTGTTGAATCACTAAGATTTCCAATACATATTAAATTGAAAAATAAAAACACATTATTGTGGTTAAAAATACACAAAGTATTAGATTATCAAATCAGACTCACATGCATCGGAGATCTTATGCAAACTTAACTAATAATTTTATGGATAAAAATTATTGTGAGGTACAGGTGGAGCAAGGTAAGGTCAGATAGCACTGTGAGAATCCCACATCAGGTATGCTTTGAACAAGGATAATAGATGATGATTCTGAGTAAGATGTGCGGTCATCTCACTTACACAGAGGAGATATTTAGATCACAAAATATCTCATTTTGTCTTTAGATGGTCCAGGAAACTACGCCCCATGAGTCAAAGAGATTTAGGTTTTATTATAAACAACCCTAGAAAAGAAATCACAGCACATGCATTCTTCTAAAAGCATTCTGTAGGTAAGATATTCCTTCCTGGAAACTTCTTAGTTTGTTTGCCAAGAGGTTAGCCAGTTATATGGTTACCAAAAAACCTGCCTTCTTTGTCTCCAGCATGTTTCTTATTAAAGAGAATGAATGAATTGCAGAACTATTGTTTGCACATTTACTTTTAAATGGTTTATCAGTAAAATATGTGAGAATACATTTTTAAAATAAACTTATGTGATTGCTTTGGAAAATGTCTGGAAATACGCAAACCACACTGATAATAATGGCCTTCTGGGGATGAACCAACACACAATAGATTTACTGGTAATCGTTTGATTTTTTCAAAAGTACTACATTCCTGTATAATTTGCATGATTAAAATGTATTTAATATAATTTCCACCTGTGATAATTTTCTTGTGTATAAATAGGACATTGCTCTTGCTATTAGCAGCTATATACTGTAATATTTATAGTTGAACCACAGGGTTTAGCAGACTTCAGCCCATACACTGAACCTGTCCTATTGCCTGTTTTTGTACAACCTGCAGCTAAGAATGTTTTTATATTTTTTGAATAATACAAAAATATCAACAGAATAATAGTTCGTAAAACAAAATTAACAAAATTTAACATTTGTGTCTATGAATAAAGTTGATAATATTGTAACCACAGCCATTTGTTTGCATTTTGTCTACTTTCTTGTTACAACAGGGTTTAGCAGTTGTGACAGAAACTTCTACAATGTTCCCAAAGCCTAAAATATTTACTGTCTTACCCTTTATAGAAATAAATACTTTGCTGACACTGTGACTCATAATAATGTTTGCAACTACTTTTTGAATAAGCTCAAAAGTTTACAGACACACACTCCTAAAATATTTGTTATATTGCTCTTTATAGAAATAATTTGCTTATCCCTGTGAATTATAGTGATGTATACAACTGATTTTTGAATAAGTTAAAAAATTTAGCTGGGGCGGTGGCTCACACCTGTAATCCCAGCACTTTGGGAGGCTGAGGCGGGCAGATCACCTGAGGTCGGGAGTTCAAGACCAGCCTGACCAATGTGGAGAAACCCAGTCTCTACTAAAAATACAAAATTAGCTGGGTGTGGTGGCGCATGCCTGTAATCTCAGCTACTCGGGAGGCTGAGGCAGGAGAATCACTTGAACCTGGGAGGCGGAGGTTACAGTGAGCCGAGATTGCACCATTGCACTCCAGCCTGGGCAACAAGAGCGAAACTCAGTCTCAAAAAAAAAAAAAACTTTACACACACACACAAACATGGATTATGGATTGAGTTGCATGTATTTGAATATTAGTTTTGTTATTCTTGCAACTTATTAGGGGGTTTGACACTTTTTCTAAATTACAATTGGGTGAAATTTTTGCAATTGATAAATTGCTAGATAACATAATCTAGCTCATATGATAACTTTAGATGTTAAATCAGTAATAAACCTTATGAAGATCTATGTTTCTAGGAAATAATTACTTCAACAAGAAGGGAAAGTAAAGACAGAAGGTAAAACAAAATATAAGACGAAATAAAATAAAGATGGGAATTGAATGCCATAGAAGTGTGGAAGTTGGAGGGAAAGTTTCTAAAATTATTTGGATAAAAAGGAAGCCATATATTTTACTGAATCTTCTAGATGGGTTTTAATTCTGTATCCTTTCATACTCACGTACTATGCCATTTTTTTCAACTTTTCATTCCACTTGCACTTCCTAACTTATGATGAATTTACCTATATAGAGTCGTTTTATCATTTAGACTAAAATTGTATTTATTTGAAGGTAAGAACGGTCATATACTTCTTAGTTGTTTTCAGAATTGAAAACATGGTTGAGGCCAGGCACGGTGTCTCTCATCTGTAATCCTAGCACTTTGAGAGGCCGAGGCGGGGGGACTACGAGATCAGGAGTTCAATACCAGCCTGACCAACATGGAGAAACGCGGTCTCTACTAAAATTACAAAATTAGCTGGGTATGGTAGTGCACACCTGTAATCCCAGCTATTTGGGAGGCTGAGTAAGGAGAATCGCTTGAACCCTGGAGGCAGAGGTTGCAGTGAGCCGAGATCACGCCATTGCACTCCAGCCTAGGCAACAAGAGCAAAACTCATCTCAAAAGAAAAAAAAAAAAAAAGAAAAAAGAAAACATGGTTGAAAGTCAATATCCATGTGATAAATTGAGTTAGAAAGCCAATGAGAGCTTAGCTAATATAAAGGTGATGGAATTCACTATCAAAACTTCTCAGAGACTTAGAAAAAATATGGAAAATTAGTGAAAATGTAAGAGAATGAGGCTCGAAATCAAGATAATTAAACTGCAAACCTTAAGAAGGCAGGAAAGATATCCTTTACTTAGTTTGTCTTGTCCAACTAATGGTTAGTTGAATGCCATGCACATAACACATCCCTCTGAGTACTTATTGAATAAATGTAGAATGTCATTCTGGAATAAATTGAGGCAAGAAACTAGAGGGATAGCAGTGTGAAAAGTGAGATTAATTTATTTGGTATAGAGTCAGTAAATTTAAGTGGGCCATTTGAAACAACAAGCTTAAAAGAAAACCAAATAAGCATTTTCAATGCATAGAAATGCAACCATTTTTCTCCTTCTGTACTTTATCCATTCAAACATTGCTTGAAAAAAAATATAACTTTCAGTCTTGCTTTTTTATCTCCACCAAACTCAGATAATTTTGGTCGTTGATGACCTTTCTAAGCTAATTCCTATTTTAGAATGCTATGGACGAATGAATCTCAAAACTTCTTTTAACCAATTTATTTTATTCCATTTCCTAAGGAATAGAAACTTTTTACCTCCAACCCAGGGGAGCTATGAAACAAACTCCCCATTTATTTCCAATCCAAACACATTTGATAAAACAGGCAGAGGAATTTTTTATCAGATCTGTATTTTAAATTTTCATGACTGTTGTTCAAGAGTTTCCATTCTTGTTCATAAATATGTAGAGGCTTAAAATTCTTTTCTGAAAAATAAACTGCTACTTTAAATGATTTTAACTCATTTTTATAATACTTTTTTTATTCTCTGATGATCTCTTGCTGTTTTTCTTTCTCTAGAAATGTTCTAAGAATAAATTAGCTGATATAGTAAGAAAGGTTCACAAAATGAGTCCTTCACCTATACAGCACCTCTTCTAAATAACAGAGAGATTACAAATCCAATGTATTTAAACTCTGAGTTGTCTATATGTGTAGTGTTATAAAATGTAGCTGTCAGTTTTAACAGCTTTTCCCCCTGAGATTTCAGTGGCTAGCTAATGATCTTTTTTAAGAATTAGGACATTTTCTAGATAGCGAAATGGCAGGAAAACATATCAAATACATATTTTTCCATTATAGTATTCTGAGGACTGTAAAGTCTTACTCAATGTATATCACTTTTAATTTTTAGGATACATAGAAATATTTGCTAGTAGAAATAAATGGCAAGTGTTTACTTGAAGATGGTTTAGAAAGATGCTTTTCTCTTTTAATTTGAATTGCTACTGTAAATGTCATCACATGTATTTCAGTATTGTCTATGCCAACTTTGTACCTGAAAAACAGTATTATGAATTGGGCATTATATTCCATCTTCATAAATTAAAAAAGAAACATAATAACTAGCGAAGTGGAATGAGGAAGGTGTGGGGAGACACAGAAATTTTCAAAAGTAGTAACAAATTCAAGCATGTGTTAGCTTAATATATCATAACTTAAATGATTTAAATTAGGTATATGTTTATACCAATAAGTTTTAAATTCTTAATTCTTACCTCATCAAGTACCAACAAAGAATGCCCTTCCATATTAATACACTTTGGGAATTAAGATAAAGTATATGTAATTAAATCATCAAACTCCTTTTGCTGTTTAGCAGGTAGTTTGATATAATAAGAGAAATTGTGTTCTCATTATATATTTGTCACAATGAATGAATGTAAAACCTTAATCAGGCTATCTGACTTCTTTTAGTGACATTACCCTTTTTGCAACCAACACATCAAATTAGTAATATTTATCCTACAAAAATAATGTGAAGATAAATGAGATAAGATATATAATAGTCACAAATACTTATTGAATAAAGCTGTTTTTATTTATATATTTCTATGTACTTACTAGATATGTTCTTATTAAATATTTTATTATGGTATATGTCAAGTCTTTTACTTCTTTTTTTATACTTAGTGTATTATAGAACTCACCATCCAATAAAATTGTAATACAATTTTCTTGATTTACTAATCCTAGGTGAAAAAAAAAAATATATATATATATATATGTTGTTTTCTGTTTGAATTATGCTTAGTTGATGGCATTTTCAATAATCTCTCTGATTCTTCCTTTTCCTGTTTAAACTACTCTCATTCTCATTGTGGCCTAGAGTTCTTTTTCCCTAATATTGCCTTCAGAAGGCTAAGTTTCTAATATAATAACAATTTGAGTCTTTACCACTTCTCTCTAGAATCGTGATTTAGACTAGGTTATTAGAGTAAACAATATGATTCCAAATTTTGTCCTTTTTTTAATGGGCTAGCATCCAAAAAGCATAAGAATTCTGGGGGGAAATGACATAATTAAGCTAGATTATTTTAATTTAAATTCAGAATTAAAAATGATTTTCAATAGCTTCTTTGTCTTAATTTAATAAGCTTTTGTTGAACATTGATTATATTTTGAATTCTATTTTTTCTTTTGTTTTTAGTTGGCACATAATTATACGTATTTATGGGATACAGAGTGATATTTTGATACATGTATACAATATGAAATATTCTAATCAGAGTAATTAGCATACTATCACCTTGTACATTTGTCATTTCCTTGTGATGTGAATATTCAGAATTCTATCTGGTAGGTTTTTAAAAAAATTCACTAAATTATTGTTAACTTAATTCACCCTGCAGTGCTACAGAACGCTAGAGCTATTCCTCCCTTCTAGCTACAACTTTGTTACAAAGTTAACTTTGCTTACCAACCTCTTTCCATCCTCTTCTTATTCCCATCCTTTCCAGCCTCTGATAACTACAATTCTACTTGTTACTTTTATAAGCCCATTTTTAGCTCCCACATATAAGTGAGAACATGTGGTTTTTCTCTCTCTGTGCCTGTCTTATTTCACTTAACATAATGTCCTCCAGGCTCATCTACGTTGTAACTAATAACATGATTTCAATTCATTACAAAACTTAAAAGGATACTCAACAGTGCCAAACATTCTATTTTAGTTTCCCAATGCATTCACTCCCACAGCATTCATAACAATAACCTTCTACAAAGTTACCACATGTCTTATGCTAAATTGATGAGATCTCCCAATATTAAGTAAATTCTGTCCCTTAGCTCTCCCTCTCATTTTAGTATTATCATTCTCATTAATGAATAATTCCCTTTTTGTTAAAAGTTTACATTGACCTACCGTTGTCCTTCAGTTATCAACTTACTTTGTATTCTTTCTTTGAAAGAAATCAATCAAACAATAGACAGTCTCCTTCAATATTTCCTGTACTGTCTTCAACCCACTTAGCTGAGTACTTTCTTTTTTCTCTACTTACTCACTTTTTCCCCTGAGTGTTCTCAAGCATTTTCATGAGTTTAAAGGCCAGTTACATGATAGCATCTCAGAATATTTCCAATTTTGGTATCTTCTCTGAGTTAGAGCTTTGCATAGTCATCTACTTACTTAATATCAAATGTGGATTGTTTTATAGACAACTGAAATTCATAATGTTTTAAGTAGAGTTTTGTTATTTTCTCTGCTTCCCAGTTTGTGTGTGTATGCTTGTTTGTTTACTTCAGCTGGTGTTCCCATTGATTTTATCTTATCTAATACACCAAAACCCTATCAGTAGCTCTTTTCTTCAAACTTGCACATATATTAAATATGTATTTCATTATTTTGAACAAGGTCTCCACCTTCTTGTCCTTTCACTTTAATAGTTTTCTAATTCATTTCCTTGTGTTTATTCTTGTCCCTGTAAAAATTATTCTTGGTTTAAGAGGCAGAGATATATATGTATTATAAACACAGGGAAACAAATTAGATATAAACCAATTACTATAAACCAATGTAATAATAATAATATATATTACATTTTTTTCTATTTTTTTATTTCTTCTTTTTCTTTTTTATTTTTTGTAATGTAAGCAAGATTCTTTCCCTCCTCTGCCTTAAATCCTTTAGTTACTTGTGGAGTACAATTACAAATCTCCAGGATGCTAAAGCTCTGCTCTGCTGTCTACAACCACAGGCACCATTCAAGACCCTCACTCCTAATGAGACAGGGCTCTTTCCACTCTTGAAACACAGTTTTTCCCCAAGTCAGGGTTTTGCACAAGGTAACATCCTGTCTTTGAAGCTTCATAGTTTGGCTTTTTAATCAAATGGTTCCTTTTCCATATTTAAGTCATCACTTTACATTTCATTTTCTTGGAGAGGTCTTCGCATGACTCCAAGCTATCACCAGTTATGTGCTATCGTAGAACATGGTTTATCCAGAAATAGTGATAACTTTCATCACTATTGATCATTCTTTGGTTTTCTTTACATTTATTTTATATCTTAAACACTGTAATATAAAAGACCTCAGGGATGGACCATGAATTTCATATTTAGCACAATACTTCAGAAGATCCATCCTATCCTTTTTCTTTTTTATTCATTTTATTTTAAAATTTTCATTTTGAACTACTTTAAAGCTTACAAAAATATATTTAAAAAAATCAAGAATTCCTATATATTCTTCACCCAGCTTCTTGACTGCTAACACCATATCTAAGAGTACAGTTACTCACATTAGGAAATTGATACAGAATTAGTTACTTACCTACAGACCTTATTTACATATTTTGTTCATGGTTCCACTAATGTTTTTTAACTAGGATCAAAATCAGGGTCACATATTGCATTTATCTGCTACATTTCTTTAGTTTTCTTTATTCGGGTGCGGAGGCTCATGCCTGTAATCCCAGCACTTTGGGAGGCCGAGGCGGGCGGATCATGAGAACAGGAGATGGAGACCATCCTAGCTAAAACGGTGAAACCCCGTCTCTACTAAAAATACAAAAAATTAGCTGGCGTGGTGGCGGGCACCTGTAGTCCCAGCTACTTGGGAGGCTGAGGCAGGAAAATGGCGTGAACCCAGGCGGCGGAGCTTTCAGTGAGCAGAGATCACGCCTCTGCACTCCAGCCTTGGCAACAGTGCAAGACTCCATCTCAAAAAAAAAAAAAAGTTAAAAAAGAAAATTCAGCTTTTCTTTTTGTCTTTCATGCCCTTGATACTTGTTTTTTGTAGATTATTTTGAAGTTTGATTTTTTTCTAATATTTCTTCATGGTTAAATTCACATAATATATTTTGGCAAGAATGCCACAATGCCGAGGTTGTCCTTCTCAGTGCATCATATCAGGAGGCACATGATATTATTGTGTCCTAATATTGTTGACGTTAACTCTGATCACTTGAATAAGACATTGTCTGCCACATTTCTCCACTTCAAAGTTACCATTTTTAAAATCAGTATTTTGTTGAGAGATACTTGGAGATTATGTAAATATCTTGTTTCTCATAATTGTATCCACTAATTTTAGCAGACTTGTCTGCAACAATTATGTGGTATTTGCCAAGAAATGAGAATCTATTTCCACTATTCTTTCTATATTTATTGATTAGAATTCTACTGTATGGAAAAGCTTTCCTTTGTCCCACTTTTCTTATTTATCCAATTATTTATTTATATTAGTGTGGATTCATGTGTATTTGGTTTAATTAATCTGAATAATCTATTGCCATCATTATTTATTCCCTTGTTCAATTTATCTCAGTTTGGGTCACTGAGAGCCACTTCTAGTTAGCTCCTATGTTCTTTGGCATGTCTCAATCATTAGTTGAGACTTCCTTATTTTCTTAACAACAACAGATGTCTCAGACCCATTTTGTTCTTTCTGCCGCATGCACCTAGAATCAGGCATTGATCCAAGGAGCTCTGTATCCTTTTAAAGAAGAAAAAAGTGAATCCAAGATTTGAATGCTAGATGTGCTGATTGCTATTAAAATGTTATTGCTTCTAGTCTTAGTGGTTAAAATTAAGAAATATACACACATTCAGCCGGGCGCTATGGCTCACACCTGTAATCCCAGCACTTTGGAAGGCTGAGATGGGCGGATTATGAGGTCAGAAGATCAAGACCATCCTGGCTAACACGGTGAAACCCCGTCTCTATTAAAAATACAAAAAAATTAGCTGGGCGTGGTGGCAGGTGCCTGTAGTCCCAGCTACTTGGGAGACTGAGGCAGGAGAATGGCATGAATCCAGGAGGCAGAGCTTGCAGTGAGCCGAGATCGGGCCACTGCACTCCAAGCTGGGCAACAGAGAAAGACTCCATCTCAAAAAAAAAAAAAATATATATATATATATATATATATATATATACACATTCACACACAAACGTGCGTCTAGGTCTATTTATATATCTACACATTCTTTTCAATTTCTATCTAATGTAGAAAAAAAGTAAACTTAAGTATATATTGATAGTTTTGATTCTGATTGAACACCATAAGTGTTATTCTAGTCTCCACTCCCCCTCATTTCTAAATTCTTTTTCTAAAACGGAATCAGTTTTGTTTTAGTTAATATACTTAATATAATTATTTGCTTTTTATTTTTTTTTTTAATTTCAACTTTTAGATTTGAGGATATATGTGAGTGTTTGTTACAGAGTATACTGCATGATGCTGAGGTTTGGGTATGACTGAACCCATCATCCAGGTAGTGAGCATAGAACCCAAGAGGTATTTTCTATGGCACTTTACACATTCTAGAAAACTGGTTGTTAATTAACACAAGCACCTATAATAGTGCCTGATATATTTAGTACTCAAAATATATGTTAAATTAAAAACAAATGTATAAATTAATGGTTGAATATCATAATAATTACTCAAAATGTAACATAATTCCAAAGGAGAAAACTTTTTTCTAAAAAGGCTCTCTCAATTGCTCTTTCTGATTTACTATTTTCCCCAATCTGTAGTTGCTTCATTATTGTTTGGAATTTTGCATTAGTTGTCAATAAACAAAAAATATGGATCATATCACAGCTCTTTCATTGCTTTCATTTCTTGAGATATATGAATGTATGTGATATATTTGATGTCCTGTATTTTATCTTTATTGCTTTTTGATACTTAAGAACATCTAGAAAAGAAGATAAATATTAATCATGTCAGAAATTATCAAAGGTTGATTACAATAAAAATTTCTCTAATGTGATAACCACTCAAAAACTTCCTTCTTCATCAAAACACAGTATTTTTAAAAAAATGCAGTGCTGCATTTTTATTTCACAGAAAATAATCAAATGGTAGCCAGAATATTTTGAACTAGAGTCACATAGGATATTCTAATAATACTGCTTGTGAAAGAAGTATTGAGGAGGTCTTAGGACCAAAGAATATTTGTTTAATAGTGTCAGAATTCATTTTAACACCATAAAAAGGATATGTATTTGTTCAATTTTCACTCACTGCACAAAGAATTAGATAAAAGAAGATTTTCAGTAATAGCATTCATTTTGAGTCTTACCAATCCTTTCAGTTTTGGTATAACAAAAATGCTATTAGCTTTTACTCTGTTGTGTTGAATTTTGATGATTTCTGACAGTCTTCACTGAGATGCTCAAAGAGATGAGACTTGCCAGTCGAAAAACTTAAGATCTCATTAAATTTACCAGCAACATAAAAGCTATTTCTGCCTCTTAACTTTTTGATGTGTTGCCTTTTTCTAATCCTCTTCTCAGGACCTATTTAAAAGACAATAAAAATTTTGTTTTTGTGTGTTGAAAGATTTCTCCATTATCAAGAGAGTAGTCCTTAACTTTAGAATGACTGCATATATAGATATGAAAAATAAGGAAACAATTATTAGGAAAACTAATCAAATATTTTACTAACATTTAGTAATTTTAACAAAATTATTGTGCATTGTATTTTGTAGCATTTATGCAGAGGATATACTAACCTGTTTAAATTTTTAGACAAAAATAGTAGAAAATAGAACATCGTCATTTTCAGGAGCAAGGAAGTAACCTGTGAAAAAGTGAATGCCTTTCTTCAAATAATATGCTAATGAAAGGCTGAGATATTAATGTCTAAATATTATAAAACTTTCATTTTAATATAATGTTTTACTTTATATTTATATTATATTGTATAACAAAGAAATGTGAGTCTTGTTACACCTGAGAACTTGAACTGGCAATCTACATATTGTTGTTGAAACAATTTTAAGTTAAACATACAATGAGAGGGAAAAATGATTCTGTTGCCTCAATTTTAAAAGGAATATTTTGAAGAACTAATTTTCCATATAATAGCTTGTTATGATCTTGCCTTTTAGCCTCCCTGGATAAAGAAATGCATACTTATAATAATTGAAGGAAGACAATTTTCCTTGTTTTCTGCAAATTAGAAATATATTAGGCTATTAAATACATAATTCAAAATATACAGAATAAAGGTATTATAGAACCTAAGAATTATATAAAGAATTATATACATAAAGTAATGAATACATATACAAATAGTATAAAAATACTAAAAATAGTATTTGCTTATTGATTAATTACTATGGGTATTATATAACTCTTAGTTTCTACATTGCTTTTCTATTCTTAGTTATTATAATAGGTATATTATAATTACTAATATGCATAAACTACTTATAGTTTATATGAATGTGTTATATGTACATGTATATTATAATAACTAATACCTATAAACTATTTACAATTATATGTATTATAATAACTAATAAATATAAACTACTTATTGTCAAAACTGTTTTTAACTATTAAAAGATAAAGCACACAGATATGTTTTCTTTACTAGGTATTCCCAGAAGCACTCATAAAACTCGGGGTTTTCACATAGCAGTGATTACAGACTTGCTATTTTTATTATTCCCATTTTATAGATTAAGAGCACAAGACCCATATTAGTGTTATTTAGCCATGTCATAGAGCCAATTCCCAGATATTTTTTCCACTTGTTTTGTCATGAAGAATGAGAAGTAGAATCAGCATCAAGTTTGTGCTAAACAAGTACAATAATAAGAAGCACAGCAAATGCTGACTAGACTGTAAGAATATTTTTGCTTTTAGGCCACCCGAAAAAGATAAGATATATGAGGTGATCAAAGTGAATAATTATATAAACAAGAGGAATTAGAATATGAATAAGCCAGGAAAAATAGGAATAGGCCAAGAAAACACACACACCCATTTCTTATTTAAACCTAAAGGGAGACAAATTCATTCAATCTATACATATTTATTTTGCTACCTCAATAGAGATAAATATCTTCTCTAAGAAAAATCCCACTTTACTTAATATGTATCACATTTACCTAATAAATAACATATTACTAAAACAGAGAGCAACCAGTGTTTTACTCTTTTTTTTTCAGAGATTTTTTGCTCTTGTTGCCCAAGTTGGAGTGCAATGGCATGATCCCAACTCACTGCAACCTCCACCTCCCAGGTTCAAGCAATTCTCCTGCCTCAGCCTGCCAAGCAGCTGGGCTTACAGGCATGCACCAACACGCCTGGCTAATTTTTGTGGTTTTTTTTAGTAGACACGGGATTTCACCATGTCGGTCAGGCTAGTCTCGAACACCTGACCTCAAGTGATCCACCCGCCTCGGCCTCCCAAAGTGCTGGGATTATAGGCATGAGCCTTTGCGCCTGACCTCATTTATTTTCATATAAAATATAGGGTCAAGTATGTTGAGATATTAGTTACGTTGTATTTTGCTCAGTATTGCCTGAGAGTTGGATTATTTTATCATTGTAGAGAATAGCTTCTAGATTATGAGAATATTAAATAAAATAAACTGGAGAGACTCTCAGCAGCAAACTATGGTATGTAAGTTCATATGTAAATATGTATCTATCTATCTATTTATCTATCTAATCTATCCTATCTATCTATCTATCATCTATCTATCCATCTATCTATCTCCTTTTCTTTCATTTATGTCTGGATCTGTACCAAACACCAGGCAGAGGAGTTAGGAGAAGTAACTGAAAAACCCATGGGTGACATCACCAACTAAAACAGGTGACAAATAATCAGCATGAAACCCAGAATACAAGAGTAATTGTCCTAATCATTGGCAGCATAGGGCCAGTACCAGCTGGAGTTAATGGCAAAGATAAAATGAAGATAAAAGGAAGTATTGTAAGATCTTAATATCAATAAACTACAACAAGAAATCATCAATAATGCTCACTCGCAAAAGAAAAATACTTACCCTGAAGAAAAACAATTGGAACAAAATCAAAATTAATCAGAGAATCAGATAATCTGAGACAAGTAAGATAAATTTTAGAAAATAATTTTTAGAAAAAAATAATTTGAAGGTACATAAAATCAAATAGAAGTGGTACAAACTATAGTAAGAGATATAGAGTATAAAAATAAGAGTAAAAAACAGAAATTGAGAGATTAAAAATATCTAAAAATTTTCTAAACATAAAACTTAGGCAAAGAATAGTAATACCCATGTAATGGTTATTTCTAAGAACAAAAATTAAAATAAAAAATAATATTAATTATTTGAGCATGAAGGTAAAAGGATAAGAAGTTTATATTGATAATAGACTTCTTGATAGCAACATTTTATACAGGATGATAATCAAGAAATGGTTTAATGATTATGAAACAGATAACACAGTAGCGAGATGAGATTTTATTCATGCAAACTATGAATCATGTCTAAGGAATGTAGAACTTCATGAATATTTATGATTTTAAAAAACATTGTTCCTGTGATGGCTTTTTTAGAAATGTCCTACCTACTGACAAGAAGACAAACATCATGTGAAGCTTCTGGATAAGGACTAAATATGTTTAATTTTATAATTAAGAGCAAGTAATGGGGATTAAAGTGACAAAACATGATGCTATTAAGTGTGTTAAACATGAAGAAATAATGCAACTCAACAACAAACAGAAAAAAGGAGAAGAAAAAGAAAGTAGACGAATCTTAATGACTATCTCGGGAGTATCTAACTGCCATTAAAAAATATGGAATTAAAGTAAATAAATGTTAAGCAAAAAGAGAGAAGAAAGGAAAGAGAGTTTACTAGAGAACAGTATTACTACTCATTGAAGAAAACAATAGATAGTATTCAAACACACTAGAGGACTAGTATATTTTATTATAATATTATTATAAGATAATAATAAGAATAAACATAGAAACATTTATAAATACCAGATGAGTATATCCCGCGCCTCAAATTAAAGTGTAAATACAGGGCAAGATTTTATATAAATTATTTATATAGCAAAAACTTATATAACAGAACTTAACACCAGCATAACAGGTATATCAAAGACACAAATGGGCTTAACTCACCATTAAATGGCGTACTTTTAGATTGGCTAATGGAGCAGAATCCAATCTATTCTGTGTGCAAGAAACATATTGAACAAGGCAATTCAGAATGGTTTAATGTAAAAGGAAGAGCAAAGATAGATCTTGTATGATAGCAAGATCCTGAAATAGTTGTCAGAATTTTGCTATTGAGACAAGATAGAATTTAAGACAAAATAAATTTAACAGGATAAGGAAGGGAAATTTATTCTACAGAAGGATTCATGCTTCATTCTACATTAAAAATAAAATATATATTAATAACATACACAAAATTACAATTTTCATAAAGCAGAAATAACAGAAGTTGAAAGAAGAAATAGACATTAAAACTGGAGATTTTAACATAGCTTATTAATTGGTAAGTCCTTGAAGAATGCAAATAAGCCTCACTTTTAGTAATTAAAAAAAATTAACACAAATACTGACAAAGACTCTCTCCTTCACCAAACTTTAGTCAGATTTTTGAGCTCTCCTCTCAACTAGATCTTCACCTAGGCCCCTTGCCTAGTCTCCATAGCTCACTTTTAACAAGAATCCTTAAGTCCATATAGAGAGAATCTTGATATCTGATCACCCTGAGCTGCCTTCAGCAAGAATCCTGTTAATTTGGTTTAGCAAGAGTTCCCCTACTTTTGACGTCTCCTCTTAATAATTTTCCATCCACTGACCCCTTCACACTGCTCTTTTGCTATAAATTTCCATGTGTGCTTGTATTTGGAATTGAGCTCATTTCTCTACTAAAGTCTCTTTTCCTGTGTTGTAATAATTTCTGAATAAAATCTTTCTTTACTGCTTTAATTACCCTCTGGCTCTGGTTCTCTTTGACATTACTCTTTGAAGAATCACTTTAGGGGAAAAGAATAAATGCAAGAAGACAAAGTCAGAGACTATTATCCAAATATAGAATGGAGATAATGATATCATACTGAATGGGCAAAAACTGGAAGCATTCCCTTTGAAAACTGGCACAAGACAGGGATGCCCTCTCTCACCACTCATATTCAACATAGCATTGGAAGTTCTGGCCAGGGTAATTAGGCAGGGGAAGGAAATAAAGGGTATTCAATTAGGAAAAGAGGAAGTCAAATTGTCCCTGTTTGCAGACGACATGATTGTATATCTAGAAAACCCCATTGTCTCAGCCCAAAATCTCCTTAAGCTGATAAGCAACTTCAGCAAAGTCTCAGGATACAAAATCAATGTACAAAAATCACAAGCATTCTTATACACCAATAACAGACAGACAGAGAGCCAAATCATGAGTGAACTCCCGTTCACAATTGCTTCAAAGAGAATAAAATACCCAGGAATCCAACTTACAAGGGATGTGAAGGACCTCTTCAAGGAGAACTACAAACCACTGCTCAATGAAATAAAAGAGGATACAAACAAATGGAAGAACATTCCATGCTCATGGGTAGGAAGAATCAATATCGTGAAAATGGCCATACTGCCCAAGGTAATTTACAGATTCAATGCCATCCCCATCAAGCTACCAATGACTTTCTTCACAGAATTGGAAAAAACTACTTTAAAGTTCATATGAAACCAAAAAAGAGCCCGCATTGCCAAGTCAATCCTAAGCCAAAAGAACAAAGCTGGAGGCATCACACTACCTGACTTCAAACTATACTACAAGGCTACAGTAACCAAAACAGCATGGTACTGGTACCAAAACAGACATATAGATCAATGGAACAGAACAGAGACTTCAGAAATAACGCCACATATCTACAACTATCTGATCTTTGACAAACCTGAGAAAAACAAGCATTGGGGAAAGGATTCCCTATTTAATAAATGGTACTGGGAAAACTGGCTAGCCATATGTAGAGAGCTGAAACTGAATCTCTTCCTTACACCTTATACAAAAATTAAATCAAGATGGATTAAAGACTTAAACATTAGACCTAAAACCATAAAAACCCTAGAAGAAAACCTAGGCATTACCATTCAGGACATAGGCATGGGCAAGGACTTCATGTGTAAAACACCAAAAGCAATGGCAACAAAATCCAAAATTGACAAATGGGATCTAATTAAACTAAGGAGCTTCTGCACAGCAAAAGAAACTACCATCAGAGTGAACAGGCAACCTACAGAATGGGAGAAAATTTTCGCAACCTACTCATCTGTCAAAGGGCCAATATCCAGAATCTACAGTGAACTCAAACAAATTTACAAGAAAAAAACAAACAACCCCATCAAAAAGTGGGCAAAGGATATGAACAGACACTTCTCAAAAGAAGACATTTATGCAGCCAAAAAACACATGAAAAAATGTTCACCATCACTGGCCATCAGAGAAATGCAAATCAAAACCACAATGAGATACCATCTCACACCAGTTAGAATGGCAATCATTAAAAAGTCAGGAAACAACAGGTGCTGGAGAGGATGTGGAGAAATAGGGACACTTTTACACTGCTGGTGGGACTGTAAACTAGTTCAACCATTGTGGAAGTCAGTGTGGCGATTCCTCAGGGATCTAGAACTAGAAATACCATTTGACCCAGCCATCCCATTACTGGGTATATACCCAAAGAACTATAAATCATGCTGCTATGAAGACACATGCACACGTATGTTTATTGCGGCACTATTCACAATAGCAAAGACTTGGAACCAACCCAAATGTCCAACAATGATAGACTGGATTAAGAAAATGTGGCACATATACACCATGGAATACTATGCAGCCATAAAAAATGATGAGTTCATGTCCTTTGTAGGGACGTGGATGAAATTGGAAATCATCATTCTCAGTAAACTATCGCAAGAACAAAAAACCAAACACCGCATATTCTCACTTATAGGTGGGAACTGAACAATGAGAACACATGGACACAGGAAGGGGAACATCACACTCTGGGGACTGTTGTGGGGTGGGGGGAGGGGGGAGGGATAGCTTTAGGAGATACACCTAATGCTAATTGATGAGTTAATGGGTGCAGCACACCAGCATGGCACATGTATACATATGTAACTAACCTGTACATTGTGCACATGTACCCTAAAACATAAAGTATAATAATAATAAAAAAAAAGGAATGGAGATAATGATGACGGTGATGTTTTGGATAGTGATTGCAATGGACTGCATGGCTGTTGCCACCCTGTCTCTGAAACTTATAGGTGGAAATCCTAACCCTTAATATGATGGTATTAGGAGGTGGGACTTTCAGGAGGTGGTTACATCATGAGGTTGGAGCCCTTCTAAATGGAACTAGTTCCCCTATATAATAGACCCAAGAGAGTTCTCTCACTCTCTGACATGTGAGGATACAAGAAGAAAATGGTAGTCTGCAACTTAGAAGAGAGATATCACTGAAACCTGGTCACTCTGGTACCATGGTCTCAGACTTCTAGCCTTTAGAACTGTGAAAAAATTGATTTTTGTTATTTCTAAGCCACCTAGTCTATAGGTCTTTGTGATAGCAGTCAGAATTGACTAAAACAGTAATAGTAGCAATGGCAATGGAAAGAGTGAATGCATTTGATATATACTTTGAAGAAAGAAATAACAGGACTATCAGTCATGTGGACGTTTGGCATGAGAGAAATGCAAGATGGTAATTAAACAAATTTCTGTCTAAGTCTGAAGGTTGAAGAATAGTCACAGGTAAAAGTAAAGCTATGGGAGTTACCGACACTTATGAGCCTTTTAAAGGAATTATTTATTTTTATTGTTAAATCACCAAGGAAGGGTTGAAACAGACAATAGAAATTAACGCCAAATGAGCTGAAAAAAAAATGTGTTGCAATTGAGTTGGGAATAAAAAGCTGAGGTGGCAAGAAGAAAAGCAAGGTTGGCATATTTTTAAAGAACTCTATAATGAATAATGTTTTGAAGAGGAAGAAATTTTCAACAATTTGAAATGCTGCTGAGACTTTGGGAAATGTGAATGGTGCCCATGTAGAAGTTATTGACAGTCATTGAAACAACACTCCCTTTAGCATTATGTATAAGAAACTAGATTAGAATGAAACAAATGGATTCTTAATTCCAGAATTGTGGAGAAATAGAAAATCTAAAAACGTATTGGAAACACAAGAAATGCAACATGAACTATAATAACCATCCATTTCAATAAAATTAGAGGATTTCAGGTTCAGGCCATGATAAAGTAGCACAAACTCACACCCTGAAGTTGGCTATAAAAGCTGGGCAAAATATGTTAGACAACTGTTGGAAGACACTGGAGAAAAATCAATGTATACAGAGCTTGAGTGGGATTATTATTAAAAAGAAATAATTATAGACTATAAATTACATTCACTCAGACATTTTTCCTCTAATAACATTTCCCAAATACTGATGTGAAGAAAGAAAGCATACACAGAAAGTGAAATTTTACTGTGTTGAGGTGACAGAGATTAGAGTTCAGAGTATCTAGTGTGTATGGGGCTCACGAGACAAATTTCCAAGAAGGAAGTAACCACAGAGAGAGAGCCTGAATATCTGCATACAAATGCCCCTTAAGTGTGGCCAGTATCAAAGATATGTATGCACAAGGTGAGACGTCAAGAAGCCTAGCAGAAATCAATAAATGGGAGGTTGGAGTGCTGAGTTTAGATTTCAGCTAGTGGTTTAGAGAAGAAAGAGGTTGTGGTTCAAACACTGGTAATTATAGAGGATGAGATGGGAGTGAGAAACTATATGGCTAAATGTGGTCATTCTTCAGGTTTTAGCTTTTATGCAGGGTGCTATATGCTGGTTACTTCCAACCCTGTAAAAGTTATTATTTAATTACCTACATATAAAAGGTGACCATGAATAGGCATAAGATGAAAGTATGTCATTAATCAAAATGATGATTAATTCAATTCTCTATAATTGAGATTCAATTAAAAAGATTATTCATCACATTCACAGAGTAAATGAGAAAAATCACATAATTTCAGTAGATGCAGATACATAAGATCTGTATCCTAACAGATATTGATACAAAGAAGTATTTGATAAAATTCATCATTAATTTACTGTATATATATATGCTCTTATTAAACTAGGATTTAAAAGGCACTTCATTAAGTTGATAAAGTGTATCTTTTGAAATCCTATAAACAATATCTTATGACATAATAATGTGGGAATGTTAGAAGACTTGCTTTTAAACCTGGGAACAAGAAGAGATTCTCTGTTATTTTCCTATGCTGCTGTAACAAATTGCCACAAAATGGGTAGCTTAAAGCAACACAGACTTTTTCTCTTATAGTTCTGAAGGCCAAAAATTCATAATCAGTATCAGTGGTCTAAAACCAAGGTGTGATCAGCACCCTATTTTTTCCAGAGAACTCAGGGGAGAGTAATTCTAGAAATTATTCCAGAAACGCAGCTTCTAGAACTACATTTCTCGTCTCAAAGTCCCCTTCTTCTATCTTCAAAGATAGCAGCATATAATTTTCAAATATTTCTCCACTTTCATGATCACACAACCTAGATTCTATGTCAAATCTCCCTCTCCATCACTCTTATAAGGACACTTAAGATTGCATTTAGAGCCCACCAAGATAATTCATGATAATCTTCCATCACAAAATTCTTCACTTACTCACATCTGCAAGTCTCTTTGACATAAAGGTTACATTTACAGGTACTAAGGATTAAGACCTGACATCTCTTGAGACCATTATTCAGCCTAACACAGATGTCCTCTCTTGCTGCTTGTTTTACACATTGTACTTTTCTGAATACTTTTGAGAAAGTTTGCTCTAAAGAAGAAAAAAAAAGTAGTTCTATATTTGTGAGACATGTAGACTGAGGAGAATGACTATTTTTCTAATGTGATAAATAAAAGCACATTTATGTGACAATAGCAATAATAGAGAAGATAAATGAAAGTTATGCAGAAGGGAGAAGATTTGACAATAGCAAGCATGAAAGCCCTGCAGGAGAAAAGTTTGGATGGGATACTGAATAAAATTGTAATATTACTTTTTGATGCATACGTTCACACCATTTTTTCACAATGCTTCCTAGATTGCTGTGTATTTCTTTCCCATCTATATATATATACACACATATATATCCACATATATATATACACACATATATATACACATATATATACACACATATATATACACATATATATACACACATATATATACACATATATATACACATATATACACACATATATATACACATATATATACACACACATATATATACACATATATACACACATATATACACACATATATACACACATATATACACACATATATATACACACACACATATATATATACACATTTTGACTGAAAATGATTGGGATGAAAGAAAATGAGAAAGAAAAACGGAATAAGGAATTCTCAATTACATAAATAGAATATTATAATTAGTAAACCATGAATGAAAGAAGGCATATGGGCTGGGCGCGGTGGCTCACGCCTCTAATCCCAGCACTTTGGGCGGCCAAGGTGGGCGGTTATGAAGTCAGGAGATCGAGACCATTCTGGCTAACAGGGTGAAACCCCGTCTCTACTAAAAATAGGGAAAAGTTAGTCAGGCGTGGTGATGGGCACCTGTAGTGCCAGCTAGTCGGGAGGAGGCTGAGGCAGGAGAATGGTGTGAACCCAGGAGGCAGAGCTTGCAGTGAGCCGAGATCGCAGCACTGCACTCCAGCCTGGGTGACAGAGCGAGATTCCATCTCAGAAAAAAGAAAAAAAAAAAAAAGGAATACTTGATAAAAAAGTTATCCATATATCAGATAAGAAGATGTAAAATTTATGTGCTATCTACTTCTGGAATTTCCACCATAAGGGAATAATAATGATGTAGGGGTTCACTTGAAGGACAGAACTTGTACTTGGTTACTTATGTACACAATCTCTGCCTTACTCACTTTTGGTGGATCATATTGTGTCATTTCAATGTGGCCATTATTGTCTTTTATGAACATATACAACAAAGTAATATACCTTTACATAATGTCTACATCTCTACTGTAATTTAAACTTTAGTGGCTCAAAAATGCTAAATTACAAAATAGAGAAAGATGTGTGTTAAATGCAGATTAATATAATTTAAATAATATTATATATGATAAGGGTTTGTAAAACTTAACCATTAAGATGGATAGATGAGAAAGATAGAAACCTAGAATACAATACTAGCAAATCTGGAAACATAGTAGAGATGAGTTCAATAATTCGATTCTACATAAGAGGTCATCAAACTACAAAGCACAGAGCTAATCAGGCCACTGATGCATTTTGGTAAACAAAGTTTTATTAGAATAAAGTGACATCCTTTTATTTTACATATTGTTTACGGCTACTTATGCACTATGATGGCAAATACTGGTACTTGTGACAGAGATCACATGGCACATACATTCTAAAATACTTAATAGTTGGCCCTTCACGAAAGGTTTTGAGAGCTACTGCTCTAGGAAATCTCAGGTTCAATGTCAGTTATGAATCAGTGTTGCTTAGCATAGCCATGTTTGAAATCCTTTCCAATGACAATAATTGTTACTGCCTCTAGACAGAAGAGTCCAATTATTTTAAGGTTTCATTATTAGGAATGGTTCATTTAATTAAGCCATAGTTGTTACTTCAAGTATAATTAATTAGTGAAGGTATATTGCTTTTATGGGATATAATTAATAGGAAAATAGGTTACTGCTGTGTGGCATAGTTATAATTTAAATGCTGTGGCTTTATAGAATTTAAAGGTAGGGTCTGCTTATTATGAATTATGCCTCCCATCATCTAGCTCATGTGAGGTAGTTATGGAATAGCACAATATTTATGTTTGCTGATAATTTATTTTAGATATAATGGTTGGTTAGGAAGGAGTTCATGGTGAAGAAGGTATATGTCACAAAAACATGCCTAAAATGGTGATGGAGAAGACGAATCCGTGTATTTATTCATTTAATAAATTATGTTGTCATTCAAGCAAATAAAAATAGTCTTTACTCTGAGCAATCATATAAAATATCTGTTGTATAATTAATCGTGTGCTTCTGAATAAAATTGATGAAAGCATAGTTTGCATTATAAGCATTAATTCATTAAAATTTACCCTGAACATTGTTATTTGGTTTTATTAGCAAGAAATATAGCACTTGGAATGGTTTACTAAATACATGTGAAGAACTCTAGATCATAAAGAACCTAAAATACAGAATTTTCAGCATTATTATAATCTATTTAATTACACATTCAGGTTTATTTGTTACTGAAACTTAGTAACTTGATTTTGGGAGTTTTATATCGCTTCTGTGTCTTGTTTGTTTGCACAAGTTTGTTTATGGTGAAGTGCAAAGTATTTTAGTAAAAGGGATTTGAGCCACAGATGACAAATAATTACAGGAACATATAACATAAACTACACTCGGACTTTAAAGCAGGTTTAGATTATATTACTTTGGTTATTATTCTTTGTTTTCAAAAGGGAATGATGGGTTATAGCTATATGCCCAAATATTTAAGCAAAACACGACAAAAGAAAGGTGAAGAGACCTTTTATCTAATGGCCAAAGTAGAAGGTAGCACTCATAAAATATACTGTTTTGTGTAATAAGTGAATGGAATCTTTACACAATTTTTTGCTAGGGTTAATTGTTTAGGAAACTTTTCTAATTGGCAACTACTTCATAGAAAAACTTGATCCAGACCTATATGTGGAACTTCCCTTTATATTAACTTGCTGAAATTATTAAAGTTAAAAGCTTGTTTTTCCAGGTTGATACTCTCAAGACCTACAAAGACCAGCACATTGAAGCAATCAGTTGATTACCGTCATGATGCCTGCGTATGTTTGTTTCATGTCAGACACACCTGAGGTCTGTAATTGAATACATAAAGAGTGCAACCATGGAAGAAACAAGGTTGGCTTGTGGTGTTCCTATGGCAGCATCGACACAGCTTCAAGTGCACCATGAGCATGAGCACTGCCAAGAAAATATATTGGCTCTCAACTCTCAGAATACTGCCGCGTCTAGAACTTTTGGCCTTGCCAACCACTGGGCAGTAAGAGACAGTAACAAATCACAGCAGATACTGTTTCCTTAGAGCAATTAAATTACATCAGAAAAACTAAGCTGAGTGATAACAAAACAATTTCTAAATGTCAGGAGCCTATATCAATTCATTCATAAGTTGCTCATTTCACATGTCCTTGGTGTTGCTTATGATTCTACTCATGGGTCATTGTCACCTTTATACCAGGATCTAGAGGACAAAGCAGCCACTCCAGAACACTGAAAGTTACTGTAGTCAAGGAAAAAAAGAATGTTGTGAGGCACGCTCTGAATTTTTGCCTCTAGAAGGAAACAGACACTTTAGTCTACTAACATTTCAATAAGCAAAAGGAAATCACATTCCATAACTGAATTAAACAGGGCAGTGAGCTATATCCTACCATGTGCATGAAGAAGCCAAAAAATATGTAAGCAATCCTAATGTTTATCACCTTAAATTTATCCATGCATGCTACTGTGGTCACTTTCACTGTAAAAGCAGTCATTGCAGAATCATCACTAGTATCTCAGTGTATTAGTCAGGGCAATTAATATTAGTTTCTGAACCAAACTGCAAATATCTGTGACTTAACACAATTTTTTTTCTTCTCATTCATATAATAATTCTGTAGAGGATTAACTTTCTGAAATTCCTTAAAGGTTTTCACTGAATCCTCTGCATTTAATATAAAGAGGAGTATGAGAAGCATTGCGTGAGGTATCTTATAGCTCAGTCTAAAAGTGGGAAATATAACTTCTACCTACATTTCATTCACCAGTGAAATGGTCTCATCCTACCTGCAATTGAGGCTGAAAAATACAGCATTTCCTTGTGGTCCAAAGAAAGAAATAATGTTATCTCACCAATCTCTGTCAAGGTCAGTCCTTCTGATGCCAAAATACCTGCTTTAATCTTCCTCCCATTATAAAACACACCGACTTCTCTCAAAATGAAAAATGCAGAGTTCTTTCAAGGTCTGGCATCCAGCTCAAAATGTAGTATCTCTGGCCACTCATAATTCTCCCAGTGAAGTCCAGATAAGGTCCTCATTTCTCAGTAAAATCTAAACTTAAAAGAATAAATATGTGTCCTGTGTACAAATATGCAACGGTGAAGTGGGAACAAGGTGGCAGCAATAAATACATCTCTATCACCACAGTCATTTGTTCTTGACTATTTGCAAATCATTTCAGGAAGACATGGTGAAACATCCTACACTGTGAGTGGCAGAACCCCATGTGCACTGCAATCTCATTTCCTACCCTCCGGAGGAGTATATAAACTTTTCCTACATAAATAATGGCCATATTTTTGTATCAATACATTGTAAGTTCTAAGATGTGTGTGTTTTTTTAAGAGGAATTAAAATAGAAAAGCATATACCTAAAAGATGTTCCTCGGGATATATCTGCATATATTCTCTACTCTTGTCATTTTAAGTAAAAATACAGTGGTCCCTTGATATCCTCAAGAGACAGGGTCCAGGACCCCAGAGGATACCAAAATCAGCACATATTCAAGTAATCCTGTGGAACCAGAGTATACAAAAAGTCAGTCCTCCATATCTGCGGGTTTTTCATCCTGTGGCTACTGTATTTTGATCCACATTTCAATGCAGATGCTGATTTTTTTAATTAAAATAATCTCTATATAAGGGATGCACACAGCTCAAGCTCATGTTGTTCAAGTGTCAACCGTACTTTTTTATTTCTGTCCAATATAATTTAAATAACATAATTCTGTGAACTGCATGTCATTAATTACATATACTAAGAGGTGGCATAACAATGTGTTTAAATTCCAAGAAATGGTGGCTAGCAAATTTAATTCTCATCTCTGCTCTGCCACAGACAAGTTCTGAAGTCTTGAGCAAATCATGAGTATCTGTCTCTAGCTTACTCATCTTAAGAAGGAGCCAGTAAGTGGCAATTATCTTTCAGTGTTCTTATGAGGAGTAAATAACCTGTACACATCAATGCTTAGAACAGAGCTTGCCATGTGGTATTATGTCCGGAGTTGGTTCCTGCCGGTGGGTTTGGTGGGTTCGTGGTCTCGCTGACTTCAAGAATGGAGTCACGGACCTTTCCCATGTTACAGATCTTAAAGATCGTGTGGACCCAACGAGTGAGCGGTAGCAAGGTTTATTGTGAAGAGCAAAAGGAGAAAGCTCCCACAGCATGGAAGGTGACACCAGCAGGTTGCTGCTGCTGGCTGGGGTGGCCAGCTTTTATTCACGTATTGGCCCCTCCCATGTTCCATTTTTGTCCTACCAGAGTGCCCTTTTTTTCAATCCTCCCTGCAATTGGCTACTTTTAGGATCCTGCTGATTGGTGCGTTTTACAGAGCGCTGATTGGTGCATTTTACAATCCTCTTGCTAGACAAAAAAGTTCTCCAAGTCCCCACTCCACCTAGGAAGTCCAGCTGGCTTCACCTCTCAGTATGTTCTGAATAAATTGGGCTATTAAATATGTGATATGAATTAATCAAGCAGAGAAAAAGTTACTAGTGACAGGGAAAAGGAGAAAATATGTATTCAATATTATGTTGTAAACAATTTATAAATATGCTTCACCTATGAGTTTCTTCTCAGTACCTTAGAAACTATAACACCATGGAAAATTTTGGATAGTTTAGGGAAGTGCATCATTTGGTAATGTGAAAAATAAGATGGTCGTGATAAAGGAACTTGGGAAAAAAGAAATGGCATGAATTTTGAGAACACGTACTTTCTGAGAATTTTCATGTTTAGAAAAGAGCAAGCTAAAAATCTGGAAGCGTGTTTGTTCACAGGCAATTTTCAATTGGTCTCATGCATTTCTGTGCATCTTGCAAATAGAAAGGCACTAGTTTCACATTTATTACAGGTTTTCCTTTTTAAAGATCTTTATATAGTGGATAGCCCTGGAAGATCAAGATATTGTTTATTTATGGATGAGAGAACAGATTTGTTTATTTTCAAGTAAAATGAAGATAGTGTTTCCTCCACAGAAAACATCAGACAAGTGTGCTTACTGCTCATTTATTAAAGATTTAAGTTTCCTTTACTTGGAGTTCTTCATCTGTGACACAAACTGTGTGTAGCATCAACTTGAACTCCTTGTCATCATCTCCAGTAAACTTGAGGGAAAACAGGAACCAGAGCAAAGATGAAGCTCGTGCAACTCTGTGCTGTACTGCAAATAATGGAAGTCTTTCTGTCTCTGACCAAACAGTTATGTGTCTTCTGCCAACATCCATAAAACTGAAGCAGGCTAACTTGTAAGCTCAGATCCTTCACAGTTCTTGACAATAGTCCCTTAAAACTGTCTGCAGATGCACATCCCTTGGAAAAATTTTGCATCCTTTTAAGAATAATTAATATCCTAGTTAATGACAACTATATGACAGGATAGGTCACTTTAAGCTTCTACCCAGATTACTACAACTTTTAGGTAAATAATGTATATGCCATTTTTTCTAAGGCTATCTAGCCATTTTTGATATAGAAAACAATATTGTGTAAGATAAGCTGAGCATATTTTTCACTTCGTTTTTGTTTTGCAAAACAATTTTATTGGTTTTGTTAATGCCCCAATCATCAGTACTGCTTGGTATAAGAGCCGAGTTTGAAGAATTATCATGTTGCAAATGTATTTTGCTCAGTTATTTCAAATTAGTAGACAGAATTGAGAAGTGGAACATTTTAGAAAAATATTGGTTAATCATACTTGGAATTTGGTTATGTAATATCTCTTTCTCTTTTGGGGAATACAAAGGTTCATAAACTAGTGATAATCTTCACTCTTGGAACCATTAGATGCTATCATGATGTTAGCACAGAAGATAAATTTATAATGTTGCAGTGAGGTAAGGAAATAAAACATGTAAGTCTTTGAAAACAACACTATGACAGCCCTTGCAGGCTAAAAATTAGACACCAAAGCATTTTTTGTTACTTTTGGAGAATAAAAGAAGTGTGCCCCTCAATGTCTTGTGGGAGAAAATATATAGTTTGATACACTTGTCAATATCTCTAACTCAAAAATGATGAGTATAAGGAGTGACCCTTATTGTAGGCTTATATTTCTCTCCAACAATTAAGAGAGTTGGTGGGGATGTTTTTTCCATGAATTCATCCCGGGCCCCAGGAGATTTTCATCTTGTATTCTCTTTATAATCCTATCTTAGTGTTTCATCCTCATGGCTAAGTTCAGCAATACTTCTGCATTCCAGACAGTAAAATGTGTAAGAAGAGATGTAAAAACAATCAGCTTTGTCTTTATGGAGATTAACTTAAATTTATGCTCATAATATAATTTATATTATATTTGATCAAAATTAATCACTGATAAGAGACTATAGAAGGTAATCTCCTGCTTGTGGTCATATGTACTTAGGATTCTATTACTAAACAAAATGAAAGAATGCATTATATGGACAATTAGTGGTCTCTAGTACAAAGAAATTACCAGGTCATTTCCAATTCTCAATATTAAAAAAAAGTTTATTTCTTACTGCACTATCAAATTGGAAAGGTCAGTACAGGGGCATTCAATAATAGTAAAAATATTAATAACAATCATATGTATAACAACAGAATCATTTAAAAAGATGTATATTTAAAATGTGATTATTGCATTTTATTTCCCCTGGCAGAAAATAATAAACTGGAGAAAAATCACATTTGATTGATGTCTGTTACATGGATTTTTAAAATTTGTATCAATGAATGCTTTTTAAAGGTAAACTAATTGAGGCCTACTGAAGATAAATAAATCTTTAGTTATTTTGGTAAATATATTTTACAGTTTCATTCTTTTTCAACTTAAGTTAGATAATAGGTACTATATTCTCTCCTAATGTAAATGTTTATGAGCATTGAAACTCCATCTGGAGAAAATAGAAACACTTTTAATTTAAATGACGCTTGAAGAAGGAAATGTATAAATGTATTCAAAACTGTAAGTGAAAATGGGAAGGTCCTATTAAAAAAAAAAGGACAAACACTTTCCAATGACCTTTCTATAATATTAGCAAATTTATTATGATCTGTTATGAAAGACTGTTTTGCCTTCCTTGTTTCTACTGTCTCAACTCCCTAAGTACTAATTCAATTGAAAAGTAACTTCAGGTATGGGTCCATTTTAATGTCCCTCTACAAGATCTGCAGTGCCATTAATTACAATCATATAATCTTAGAGCCAAGGACCCTTAGAGATTATCTAATCCTATTCTATTAATGCATGATGAAATGGGTTTAGCAATCTGTCTAAGGTTACACAAATTCAAAAACACATAGAAAGTTTTCATAATCAAATTAAATTAAAAGTATAAAACAATTAATGTCACTAATTTATGTATAAGAAAATATTAAATATCATTTTATATGAATTGATTCTGATAATTTTAATGAGTTCATAACAATGCTTCTAAATATTTCAAAATTTTAGTTTATCATCCAAATATGATAATAATATACACTTTTATAAGTGAGTCTTCTACAGTGAAAATTACTAATTATAGGAAAGAGAAAATCATAGATAAATAGGGTTGTATCAACTCTTAAAATGTACATGTGGAAATTTAAAAATATCCTCTTGCCAAGGGGATGTTGATGTCATTCCATAACAGGATTGACATGTGTAATTAAAACAAACAACAAAAATTAAGAATATATAAATAATATTTTAAATGCTTGAATTTATTATTTATAATGAATATTGAAATTTATTTAGTGAGATAAAAGGTTAAAAAATTCTTGAATATAATTATACTACTTTTATAATAAAATGTATCCAAGCTGAAATCTCACTTCTGTTGTCAACTGCTTTGATGGTTCTAGACTCATTTCCCTATTTTTGGTGAGTCATAAGATGGATGACACACATGCTCAATAGCAGGTTATTTTCATGGCTAAGGTTTATCATAGCAAAAACTACAGAGCAAAACCAGTTCTACTCATATTTTTAATGAATAGTAAACTAATGATATCTTGTTATTCCTATGCTTTGTCTATCATACCTACACATAAATATAAGCACTGGTAAGTTCTGGTTCCAAACATAGCTTATATATGAATGCCATAATCATTCAACATGCATACATTAGCCTTGAATTTTGAAGATTAAAAATTGTTTGTAAAACTATCTAGAAAAAATTTATTATCATTACAGCCACAGTTAGATTACAAAAGGGTTCATCAGAAATCTCTGAGGTATATAATGGGGAAAGAATATTTTGACTACCACTTTAACAGGTCTGTTATTTAATAATATTAGTTTCTTTTTAATTGATGTTTCGTGGACATCCAGAATACTAGCTATAAAATCATATATGCTGCATAATGCAAGCAAAACAAAAGCACCTGTAAATATTACAGAAGACTATACATGTATGTATATCATTGCCATAAAATACCTATATACATACACGTATATACACACATAATTGTTTTCACAACCATGATATTACTTACAAAAGCATGCAAATTTAGGGAGATGGCTAAATAAGTTATGGCTTTTTCATAAATTGTAAGCCTATTCATTATAAAATATTATTGAGGATCAACTTTCATTTGTTCCCCAACAAATTATTGAGCATCTACTATGTATATTCTAGGCCCATTTGTAGGGACTGGGGAAAAAATAGTGAAAATAACATTCAGAATGTCTTGGCTTCACAGAGCTGTTGTTCCAGTGTTGGGAGAAAAACAGTAATTAATACCACAAAGTATCATGTGTTGTATGCCAGATGGTTTAAGTTCTATTCTAAAAAATGTGGCAAAGAAGGGGAATAGAGAGTTCTGGGCACAAGAGGTGCTGGATACTGAACAAGATGGTTGCTGAAAGCCTCGATGGGTGGTATCATCTGAATACAATGAATGGTTATGAGAGAATGAGCCAAGAGCATAATTGAGAGAACATATTTTCAGGGAGCAGAAATAGCAAATGAGGCCTTGGTGTATGAACGCACCCGTGAGGTTCCACTAAGGATGCCAATGTGATACAGCAGAGGAGATGAGGTCACACTCCATGGGGAGATGGTCACATAAAGCTTCTTAGAAAATGGTAAGAACTTTTGTTTATTTAATTGGCAGCCATGAAGGGTTTTAAACAGAAAAGCAATCGCCTCTTTAAAGAATTAGCAGTAACAGTTTGACTGATCTGTGAAAATAGACCATAGCATAGCAAAAGAGAAAACAGGGAAATTAGTGAGGAAACTATCGTGTAAACTATTCCTGAAGCTGTTGTAAACTATAAACTATGTAAATTATAAATTGAAATTGTTCTATGCAAACAATATATATTTGAACCCTGTATATTAGAGGCAAAAGTCCATGATATTGGCAATGTTTTGGCCTGAACTATGGGAGGAACAGAGTTGGAATTACTCACCTGGGTTTAAATTTGGGAGGAGCAAATTTGGGATTAGAGGATAGGAAAGATCAATAGTTTTATTTTTAACAGGCTTAATTTTAAATAGACACTTAATCATATAATATATTTTAAATAAATTATTAATCATAAAATAATGTCAGGCTAATTTTAATACTCACCTATCAATTATAAATAAATAAAATGATAAGAAAATACATAAAATCCGCAATAGTTGTTGTAATTAGACAGTGGAGTTACTTGTGATTTTAATGATGTAGGAATTATTCTGTTTTTTTAAATAATAAATCTTTATTAATTTTATAATTATCAAAGATGCTATAAAAAGAAATATTTTTTATTACTATGCTACTGATGTATTTCCATTGCATTGACTAACAAAATTAATACTAGAATTTTCAAAAGTATCCACAGTGGTTACTTTATTTGCACTGTTAATTCAGCTCTTTTTAAGTATGCCTTCTAGTTCCCTAATTGATATAATTCAGAGACTACACTTGGACACAATTTAATGAATAAGCAAATTAGGTCCAGTTATTCCAATATGAAATTCCTTTTAATTATGGGCTACTTTTGGAGATGTAGAATAATTTGAATGTTTAATTTGGTGACTCAGTATGACCTACTTCACATTGTTTTATGAGTGGGTGAAAAATATAAGTGCTAGGAAATGTGTACCAGAAATAATTTGTCATCTAATTACATTTCGGAACATTATACCTCCTCAAAACTTTGTTTCAGCATATATCTCATTTTAAAAATCTATGTTGTATATATGTTTACTTCTTTAAAATTTTAAAAATGTTTGTGGCATTCACATAAAATACAGAAGAGAATAGCAATAAGTGACATACATATACTTCAGGACCTGAACATTTATATGACTACATTTTTTTCTTTCCTTAAAAAGAATATATTCAAATACATCATGAGAAAAATGTATAGCTTTATAGTTAGGATAAACCTTTAATTCAAGTGCTGTTACTTGAATTAAGGATGCACAAGCCCCGGACTCTACTCCACAAACCTCACCTGCTATTCTCACCACATAAATACCTAGGGAGAGGGATCTGTCTGAAGGAACCTTTCCCACAACAGCCTTTATTCAAAATGACACACCTGCCACTTTCCTGATGCCTACTCTTGTACTCCAACTGCAGAGTGATTTATTACACACAGTTTGCTTGTATGTTATATAACAGTGATTACATCAAGGATTTGGGTACTAGCTAACTGAATTGATATATTTGAAAGTACTTTATAAAACAGAAAGTGCTGAACAACCATTAAGTATACAGAATGATTTGGCAACAATCATATGTAGTACCATATTTTCTGAAATATCTATTTCTTAAAAAACAAGTTTCATTAAGTGTATTATTTGCTGAATAATCTTTCAAAGGTCATGTTTTCATATAGCTACTATTATTGCATTTTGAAATCAAACATTATTTTCTTTGCCATTTCAGAGAAGCCCTTGGTAATCCAGCCCGCAAATGCAATTCATGCGCATGGCTCTAAAGAGAAATGGGCAAACAAAAAGATTAACTACACATTCAATAGTCATTTATTTATTTTCTTAGAGATATCTACAGTAGCTCTCTCTTATCCTTATTTTAATAAATGCTGACGTATAGAATTAGTGAGATTTTTGGTAATAATATTTTTTTTTGAGGCAGAGTCTTGCTCTGCCAACCAGGTTGAAGTGCAGTGGTACAATCTCCACTCCCTGCAACCTCCACCTCCTGGGTTTAAGCGATTCTCCTGCCTCAGCCTCCTGAGTAGCTGACAGGTGTGCACCACCACACCCTGGCTAATTTTTTGCATTTTTAGTAGAGATGGAGTTTCACCATGTTGGCCAGGCTGGTCTCACTCCTGACCTCAAGTGATCTGCCTGCCTCGGCCTCCCAGAGTGCTGGGATTACAGGCATGAGCCACCGTGCCCACCCGGGTTATAAATTTGTTATTCCTCTTGTGGTTGTTTGGGATGTGTATTTGTGTGTGTGTGCACATATACATATTATTGAATTTACGACGTTACTCCAAAGGCTTTTCTTTAACTATTTTGCTTGATGTATATTCAACAATGATAGTCTCAAACAAACAAACAAAAAACAGACCACACATCTGATTTTTCACCAATACTGTTTATAGAATGAACCTGTATAGAGTCTGAAGCTATTCTGATGATAAATTGACTATAGGACTAGAAAAAACTATTTTGCCATTTTACAAACTCTCATTATGCACCTTATATAATAGTGCCAAGTTAATAAATTTGCTTCTATGTTTATAGTCTGCAACGGAAAAAACTTACGAGGTACTATTTTCCAGATGAAAGTGAAAGTGATGACAGATTTTATTTCTTCACTTAAATTATTAAGATATACCTTTATTATGTGAGCATAATCGATTTTATTGCAGGGAAGTCCCTTAATTCAGTAAAAAAGACAGGATTGCTTCTTGAATATTAAAACATTTTCATCTTTTCAGTTTTGCTTTTCTTGATTATCTATTTTTCTTTTTACTGAGTAATGTATATCATTTTTTAATTAAATATAATTTAAATAATATTTTACAATAATCTAAAATGCTTCTGAATACTTCGTCAATAACTTTTGGATGTTCAATAACATTAAGAACGATTACATTTTTCAAATATTATTTTTGCATTATTTATATGTTTGCATTTTTACAAGTGTTCTAATCGCATATTGCAAGGCCAAATCAGAATTTTTAAAGACTTTATTTTATTAACATTTAATTATAGCAACAATTAAGAAATAAAACAAAATGACATAAAATTTTAAATCATATGAATAAATTAAACCTATATATTTAAATTACTTTACAATTTTAGCATTTTTCATAAATGTACAGAAATTTCATTTTGTGTCTGTTGTTATAATTATTACAATATTAAAATTATGTAATGGAAAAATAAATTAAGCATCAATTAAGACAGCATACATCTGTTGACAAAAGAAAGAGAAGGTATATTTGATTTCCTTGATTTTTTCCTCTCAAAATTGAGAAATAGTTTAATTTTATAAATCTATATCCATTTAAATTACTTAAGTCACCATTTTAGCCTAATTTTTTCATTTTCTAGATAGATTACTCTTCTTTTTTTTTTTTTTTAAAAAGGTATCATTTATTCTGGTTACGGGTAAAAGACAACTTTAGATGTGCAAATATTTAGATATATAATCACAATTAGTATTTTTACTTCATGAAATCTTTAGGCGCAAACTTTGCTGTTCTAAACTAAAATTTGGATTCCAATTCAAAAGCTAAAGACTATCATAGTGTGATTATCCCAAATGAACTCTTTTACCTAACACTTACTGAAATTTCAAGATAAGTAGTATTGAGATTCTACAAGTCAGTAAGAGGTCTTCTCCCTGTGAACTTTTAGGTTTTAAGGGCACAAGGAATTTAATGGCTACTGGGCTAAAGAATGTAATAACCACTATTGTGCATATGATTTTAGTCATATAGGCAAAAAGCCTAGGAGTTACATTGTTTGGTCAGATGGCATAAGTACAATTAATTGCAATATAAATTGTCAGATTGTTTCAAAAAGCTCTACAATAAATTATTCTTCACCAGAAATATATGAGAGAACACTAGAAACAATAAGTCCTATAGATATCTTTAAATGCTACCTATTTGATGGTTTTTCTGGTGACATTCCTGTGTTATTTTAATTTGTATTTTCTTTACCACCCATGAATCTTAACAGATTTTTCTATGAAAGTTCAGCACTTTGATTCATTCTTCTGTGGACTGACTGCCTGTGCCTATCCACTTCCCTGGCTCTCTTGCTTGGTGTGTGCATGTGGCTTAGTTTTAGCAAATAGAATATTTGCTGTCCCTGAGCCTTAGTCTTAAATCCTTATACAAGCACTTTTTCTTGTTATCTTACCTGTTTGTCTGACTTGGGTGATGATTCTTAGAGTAATTTTGGTTGCCAAATGTTAAAGTTAGTAGAAGTACTATAAGCCTCTGAGTGGCTAAATGGTAGTTATTTCTGTGGCCTGAATACTCTTATGAGATATTCAGAGAGATTGAGAGGGAAGAATTATTTTTGAAGACATGGAATTTTTATTTTCTATTCCTTAGAACAGTTTAGTTTACCCTAAATAGTAACTACCTATTATTTTCCTCTGCTAATTTTTCTTGAGGCTCCTAACTTTATCAGGTGAATTTTAAGACATCTGTGAGGCTGGGCACGGTGGCTCACACCTGTAATCCCAGCACTTTGGGAGGCTGAGGCAGGCAGATCACGAGGCCAGGAGTTCAAGACCAGCCTGGCCAACATGGTGAAACCTCGTCTCTACTAAAAAGAAAAAAATTAGCTAAGTGTGGTGGCGGTCGCCTGCAGTTCCAACTACTCGGGAGGTTGAGGCAGGAGAATTGTCTGAACCCGGGAGGCGGAGGTTGCAGTGAGCCGAGATCGTGCCACTGCATACCAGCCTGGGTGACAGGCAAGACTATATCTCAAAATAAATACATACATACATACATACATACATACATACAAACACATATATGTAATGTATAAATATTACCTTTTTGTCATCTATTTAACAAAATATTTGCTCAAATATATCCTTCCATCTGACAACTATTTAACATTACTTTTCTAATATTTTTACCTTATTGCTGCTGACTTGATACATTTTTATTCATTCCACTACATCCTTGTTATTTTGGAAGATCTATCCTTTATTTCTTTATTAAGGGGTATCTTCAATTTTTTGACCTCACAATTAGATGCATAATTTTCAAGTACTATTTGAAATAAAGATGCCTTCTATTGTCTTAGCAAATTAGTCAATTTCTCTACTTACCCCTCCTCAATAAGTTGACAAATTCAAAAAACATAAATTTCCCCATTTCTTTTTCACCACTCCCCTCCAAGAAACCTTGGAACCAGTTTGTTCCAAGGTTTGTTCCCACCAAAGTCTAGATTATACAAAAATATTTTAGAATGTTAACGATATATTGTTAGTAAAATTCTTCTATTGAATAGTTTATGATAATTTGTCAACATGAAATGTTAAGCAGACATTGAATACCAACTAGAGCTATCCATATTCTCTTAACGGGATTTCCATTGAGTTATTGATGAAAGATAAAGTGATATAAAGAAAATGTGTATACACCGAGTGCAAAATATTTTATACCCTTTATGTGGCCATGAATATTAAATCACAGCTATGGGAGGAAATTGCCAAATACATATATTAGGCTGTTAAAAACTGTTTTTCTGAGCTCTGGAAACTGATGGATAGGCATAGCAGAAGAGAGCAGAAGCAAGCCAAGAAATCAAGGAAAGGATACAGCTATATAACAAGAAATAAAATAAAAGTACGTAATGTAATTCCCTTAGAAAATGAAGTAGGGTGACTGAGAAGATGTGGAGAACCTTTATACCAATGTCCTTTTTCTAATCAGATTTGATTATAAAACATCGACATAAAATCAATATATGTGTATTATATTCATTTCAATTTTAATTTCAAGACCTAATTTTGCTGTCTTAAAGATCATGGATAACTCCATCTTATCTCAGTGTTCAATCTATAATTCATTAAAACAGTTTTCAAAAGAATTTTCAAAATACTTTATTATGATTACAACCATACTTAATCTTCAATTAGGACATACTATGTGATAAATACTATGGTGAAGTACTTCTCAATAATCCATATTCTTAAACACAACAAGTTCTAGGATCAAACTGCTTACATTTATATATTTGCTCAATCACTTGCAACATAAATATTTTACAGATGAAGAAACTAAAACACTTTTTTTTTTCTCCGAAACTGTTTCAGGGCTAACTTACTCATGAGCTTGGTAAAAATAAAAATTATTAGATACCTTGTGGATCCGTTGCATACATTTCAAATTTAAGTTTTTGAAGCACTTTTTGAAAAGACTTCTTTATGTGACATTTGTTCATTAAAAACACAGTGATTCTTTTTTGAAATATGATCCAATTGTAAAATATCCTGTGTCTAGAAATGAATTTATTTTCCTAACAAAAATGAATTAAATTATTAATTAATTAAATTCTCAGAACCATTATTTAAACCAAGTGTGTTGATCCTACAACCAGTGAAAATAATCCCTACAATGCTAAAAATGTGTGTGCTATTATCCATCTATTTCCTAGTTCATTAAAGCCAAGTTATCATAATCTGGACTTTTTACCAAAGATTTTCAGGGATGTCAAAGGTTTTTACTCCTAAATTTAATATGCTGAAATATTACTTTATGTTCTATTTATTTTTATTCATTTAAAATAACATTTTTCTCTATGTTGCGATTGCAAAAATTAACTTATTTACATATATACATGATGTCATGATATACTCTAGGCACAATTTTGGATATTTCCTTTTCCCAATCTGTTTAACTTACACAGGTAATCAATATATGTAATCACCAAGCAAAAGACCTTCATTGGTTTCTATTTTGTTATTTTTTCCTCTGGAAAAGAGTTTAAGATAGTTTTAACATGAAGAATAGCAACCATATTTTTTGCATACTGTTATTTCTTCAAAGACGCTTAATCTATATAAACAAATTTTAAAAACCCTGGTATCAGTTAGGTAAAATCTCTGAGATTTAAAATATTTACTAAGCTACCAAATGTTAAGCAACACGGGATTCTGAGAGATTGGCCAATGGCAAGGATTGTAAGGGAACAAAAACTTGGAAACAATGCTGTTTGTCGACATCTTGAATAATTTGCTGTGCCTCTATTTTATGTCACAGTATTTCCACTTCCAGGCCTATACAAATAAATAAAATCAGTGTTATACACAGAATAGGTACGCACACACACACAAGCGTTCAGATATAAAGATTTCAACTGTAGCATCATTTGTAATAAACAATATTGGAAACAATGTTGGTATATATTGCTAAGAAAATGTGTCGAGATCAATTTAGTATAATTATATAATGAGATATATGATTATTTCATTTCTTTATGGAATGAGTGTAATGGGAAAATCCAGTGGAAAGCTTACGTTAAAGCTAAGAAAGTTAAATCTTTAAGACCTTTCATGTGTATGGGTCTTTCTCGGGGTCATACGAGTTTTGCAAAATTTGCTATGTAAGATGCTTAATTAAAAATAAGAAAAGCCACACCTGTTTTGACTCCCATTTGCCTTTAGTCATTTATCTCCCTGTCAGGTAGTGCGGGTCCAGCCTACAGCACTTTTAGTATTCAGCTAAGGGGAAGTTGAATAGAGACATATTTAATTTCAGTTCATTGAGGTTAATGTGCTTGATTTAAAGCCACTTCCATGTAAAATGAAGTTGTTTCTGGCAGTACAGAGACTTTCTATTGCTCACTCCATAGATTCATCCAGTGTCGTAGCACAGAGGTGCAGAGGCAGGAATGTTGTGAGACACATGTCATGCAGTACTTGGTACCAGAGGCTGCAGAGAAGGAAAGAAACAGCTGCCCTTAACCTAGCTCTCCTTTCCACTAATTCTTACCGTGGTGGTGATGTGGTGAGAACCAGATGTCCTACATGTAAGGGGATCTGCTGTAGGCAAAGAACTCTGGAAAAAAGAACCTGAGCATTTTTGTGGAAGAGTGACCCAGTTGCTCTGACCCCCTTCTGAGTGTGTCTCCATAGTCACAAAACGGAAAAAAGTCTGAGTTCTTACTCTAACCACTTGGATAAAAATAAATCTCTCTAGGGGAAAGATAACACTAGAGTCTCCAGCTTTGTAACTTCTGGGATGCATCTACTGGGTCTCATCTTCTCTTGAAATGTAAATATATATCCCTAGTGAGGTAAATCCCTCAGGATGGCCCCTAACCATGTTCTTTCTGTGAATTAATTTCCAGAGCTAGTTCTTAGCGTAGAGCAGAAGTCTGAGTAAAATTTGTTGAGAAAGTTCTTACTATGCATAAATTATTTACAGCCTAACACTATCCATTAAAATCAATAAGAGAAAGACAAACTAATCCAAAATGACTCTGCAATCGGGGCTCTAAAACAATGCAGGTTGACTGTAATTGTTAAAATGAATTTGGAAGGTATTTGATCTTATCTGTTAAAATTAAGTATATGCATACCCTGTGACCAATAATTCTGCTACTATCATCCAACAGGAACACATAAACATATTCAGCAAATGTACAAAATTTTTTATTAAAGAATTATTCACAACAGCTTAAATTGGAAGTTTTGCAGTTATCCATCAAGAGTAAAATAAACACATCATAGCATATATATACATACATGGAGTATTATCAAGCAAGAAGGATAAATGGTATACCCAAGAGAGCTTTGATGACTCTCCTAAATACATTTCTGAGTAACAGAAGCCATCCAGAAAAGAATATATATTGTTTAATTCTATTATAAAAGTTCAAAAATAGGTTAAAAAAAGTCTATGTTATTAGCAATCAGAATAATAATTACTTGCAGATGGAGCAGATGGTAATTTAAGGGAATTTTATTGTGAAATATGTACAATCACTTTGTTAAAATTAATTAACTATATACTATTTGTGTATTTCAATAAAAATGTTTAATAAACTATCTCATCGTTGTTATTTACATTTATTAAATAGCATTTAGGCATGGGTGAAAAGGTTTAACTTGACTGGCCTGAATTGCTCAAATACTATACATTCCAAAGAGGGGTCCCTCTGCAGGACTAGACCTTAGACTAGGAGTTCATCTCTGAGCCCTTGGAGTATTTTGCTTGATAAAAGTGTTCTTGTTTTCCTGAAGTCTTGGGCCATACTCTCCCAGTTCGACCAGAAAAGGTTATGTTATCAACGTGACTTATGTGAACATCTGTTTTTACTCTGGGTGTAGGAAGAAAGTTGTGCTTAAATGTCATGGAGCTGAGGTCAATCATATGGGCATTACATGACTATGCGACTGATCCCAGTAAACACCTTCGACAACTAGGCTCCAGCGAGTGTTCCTGGTTGGCAATGCTTTGTACTTTACATATTGTTGTTGGGATAATTAAACATGTCCCCATGCAACTGCTCTGGGAGGGGACACCTGAGAGCTTGGACTTGGTTTCTCCTGGAGTTCACTTCATTTGTCTTTTCTCTTAGCTGACTTCTATCTGTACTGTTTTTACTGTAATATACTGTAACAATGAGTACTACAGCTTCTGATTCCCTTAGAGACTTCCAATAAATTACCAGGTCTCAAATGGTCTTGGGAACCCCTGGCATATTACTGAACTTAAAGTTTTCAGAATATCTGTATTTGGTATATTCCATGGCAAGCACTATACCCATCACACTTTTTCATTTATTGACATAACTCCAAATATTTCCACATATCTAAAATTCAGGAAAGTAACCCTATCCTTACCTCTGAGGATAAAGCTTGTTAAGCATAGGTAAACCATGATAATTTAAATTCACCTGTTTGTGACTGACTTTTTTTAATGACTGTTTTTAGTCAAGAAAATGTGAGGGTAGGTCTGCCAAGAGCTACTGAAAAGAGTTACATTTTCTAAAAAAAAAAAATCCTCATCTTTTCTCTTTGAGAATAATTTGTGGTGTTTCTGAAATCATTGTCTGCCCATAAAGAGAGATTACTTAAACAAAAAGTCTGTATAAAATATGACTACAGAGAAAGATGAGAAAAAAATCATATTCTTGATTAATTTATTGATCTATTAAATTAATAGTCTTGGAAGTAGATCCCTCTTTGGACTTCCAGTTAGAGACAGGGCCTTACTCTATGGCCCAGGCTGGAGTGTAGTAGTGCCACCATAGCTCATTGTGTAGCTCACCGCAACCTCAAACTCCTGGACTCAAGCAAACCTCCTGCCTCAGCCTCCCAAGTGGCTGGAATACAGACCGGTGCCACCATGACCACACCTGGCTATTTTTTTTTCAGTTGTAGAGCTGAGGTCTCCCTATGTTGCTCAGGCTGGTTTTGAACTCCTGGCCTCCAGTGAGCCTCCCACCTCAGCCTCCCAAAATGCTGGGATTCCAGGCATAAGCCACCAGACCTGGCCTATTTATAGTTTAAATTTTCTCATCGTCTAAATAAAAGATCTAAAACTAATTGTCTAAGTTGGTGGAGCAGTCAGAACACACACATTTATTGATTAAATTCATTGTCATATATGGATGTGGTTCATGGTGCCCAAAACAATTACAATAGTAACATCAAAGGTCACTGGTTACAGATTATCATATCAAATATAATTATAGTTAAAAAGTTTGAAATATTGTGAGATTTACCTAGATATGGCACAGAGATACAAATGAACACATGCTATTACAAAGTGGTGCCAATAAAGTTGCTTGATGCAGGGTGGTCATAAACCTTCAATTTGTGTAAAACACATTATCTGTGAAGCCAAGTGAAGCAAAGCACAATCAATTGAAGTATGTCTATATTCCACTGCCTTTTTAGAGTGTATATAGTTGTATTACATAACATACATAATATATATACAAATATATATAATATATATACAAATATATATAATATATATACTTGGGTATATGTAATATATATTATATATATTTGTATATATATTATACATACATATTATATACATATATAGTATACATATATATTATACATATATATTATATATATATATATTTGATATGGACTGTGTCTTGTTTCCCCAAAATTAATATATTGAAGCCTTAACTCTCAATGTGTTAGCATTTGGAGGTGGGACCTTTGGAAGTAATTAGGTTTAGATGAGCCCATAAGGATGGGGTCTTCATGATGGGATTAGTGCTCTTACAGGTAGAGACCAGAGAGCTAACGCTTTCTATTCACTATGTACGTACATAGGAAAAAGGCAGCCCTTTGAAAGCCCAGAAGATGACCCTCCTCAGACTTGCCAGGTTCAAGAACTATAAGAAATAAATGTCTATTGTTCAGACCAGCGCCTATCTTATTTTTATATAGCAGCCTGAGCTTACTAAAACAATTAAGAAAAAACAGCAAAGCAAACAAACAAAAGCAACTATGTTTAAAACTCCTGGAAAAATAATTTATCTTCTGTGCAGCTGTTTTTTTAAGATTTTCCTTTAATGTATTTCCTCTCATTTTTCTTGCGTCTTATTTGGAGTCTGTAGTAGCATAGTTCTTAATTTGCTTATCAAGTAATTTACATCATATTAAACATGAATTTCAACCAGCAAAGAATATTATTAAAACTTCTGGACTAATGTTATTCACTTGTATTCTTTCCTACTACCCGGAAATGCTTTTGCTGGCAATGATTTCTCCTTTGATGTTGTGAAGTTTCGGGCCATTGTTAGAGAAACAGGTCCACTTGCCGATTAGCAGGCAGTAGGCTTTGTGACCTAAGTTCAGTAACAGAAGATCATTACTTTCTCTGGCAATTTGATACAACATGCTTCATATATTCCAAAATTCATCAATTTTCTGCTCTGTTGATGTCCTCCTTTATTATGTTAAAGAGTTGCCACAGTATAGTTTATTCATAATGCTATTTTCAGTTGAATTGCTAGAGCTCCACTTTAGCATTTTAAAATCATATTATCGCATGTTTATTTCCAAATTAAAATCCTCTCTTAAAAATCAGGGATATCAGTATTCATCTCTTTTTATGTAAAAATATTAAAAAATTAGAAGTGAAATATCACAGAAGATATTTTAAATATGAAGACAAATAATGAAATAAGGAGAATTTTAAAAGCCAAATATTTTGGATCAGAGTAAGAAGTTAGTGGTAAAAGATAAAGGTTATCCAACAACCTTTTGCAAATGAAGCCAAAAAAGTAGGTTTGTGCAACAGTGAATAACTAAAATTACAACTCTTTTATATTTCATTAAAAAACATGCCCTTTTTCAAAATGTCAGATCGGTTTAATCACACCATAAAATTATTTACCCAAAGTTAAGGAAAAATAGCATACTGTCATATAAGTAGAAAATTTAAATACACAATTGATATTTAACGTTCTCTAAGCAATGTAAAGATTTCTTTTAAGGCATCTAACAGAGTTGTATTTATTATTAGGGATCAAAAAGTGTATAAATTAGCACAATATATTTTATATAAAATGAATCTGATTGTGTTTTCTCTTATAAGAGTATACAATTATAATTCTGAATTTTGAATTTATTCTTAAACAAATAAAAACAACTGCTATATCTGAATTCTTGTTTTATGTCACTCTTGTGCATATTTTTTACTATCTATATTTTAGGCATTTTATAGGTTAAGTATGCGCAGTTGGAGCTTACTCAATATAGCCTAGCAATGCTCCCTGTTTCTTTTTTTTAACCTTTAATTTCAGGGGTACATGTGCAGGTTTGTTATATAAATACATTTGCATCATGGGGGTTTGTTTTACAGATTAATTCATTACCCAGGCATTAAGCCTATGATTCATTAGTTATTTTTCCAGATGGTCTCCCTCCCCCGACCTTCTGCCCTCTTGCAGGCCCCGGTGTCTGTTGTTCCCTTCTTTGTGTGCATGTGTTCTCATCATTTAGCTTGCACTTACAAGTGAGAGAATGTGGCATTTGTTTTTTCGTTCCTACATTCATTTGCTAAGGATAATGGCCTTCAATTCCATCCATATTCCTTCAGAACACATGATCTCATTCCTTTTTATGGCTACATCTTATTCCCTGGTGTATATGTTCAACATTTTATTTATCCAGTCTTTACTATTGATGGCCATTTAGGTCTATTCCATGTCTTTGTTAATGTGAATAGTGCTGCAGTGAACATATGTGTGCGTGTGTCTTTATAATAGAACAATGTATATTCCTTTGGATATATACCCAGTAATGGGATTGCTGGGTCTAATGGTAGTTCTGTTTTTAGGTCTTTGAGGAATCACCACACTGTTTTCCACAATGGCTGAATTAATTTACATTCCCTTTAACAGTGTATAGTGTTCCTTTTTCTCTGCAACCTTACCAGCACCTGCTATTTTTTGACTTTTTAATAATAGCCATTCTGACTGGTGTGCTTACTGGTTCTTAATCTCACCCACATCTTAGAATAATGTGGAACATTTCAAACTACCGACACCTCTTTCTAAAAACTGAAGTTCTGTTTTAATTGGACTTTAGTAGAGCCAAGAAATGAGTATTATTTAAAATCTTGCCATGTGATTCTACTAGGAAGCCAGGGTTCAGAGCCATGGATTACATTTTTAATATAAATACACATTATTAGTTGAAGCAGTTTTAAGTTAGGATAGCTGTAACGTTGATTGAAAGGGGAATACTTAAAACAGAACCCTGCCTTGGGTCGTCAAGACTTAAAAAATTCTTCTGTTTTTATTCTATTAAATATAATCATGCATTCACTTACTTTAGCATTTATAATTCTAAAACACATTGCAAATTTCACAAAACTACCATTTTCTAAATGTCAACACTCTAAATACACCATTTATTTTTCAAAGTAGTATATTCACTTCAAATTCCATTGCTGTGTCAAGAGTTAGTTGAACTTAAAATATAATTAATAGTTACTCAGCAAAAATAGAAAGATGTTAGCTGACTGTGTCAAAAGAAATATTTTAACACTGATTTCATTTTTACTAAATGACTGAATTTGTCTTTATATTTTATGCTTAAGCTTCTCTGCTTTCTTTCTATTTTTTGTGGTTTAAATAAAGAACCATGATTATCTGTATAACTGATTGCTCAAAGTAATTAATCATTTTTCTTATGAAATTACCAGGGTAAATTAAGAATCATAATTACAGAGTTTTCTCTTGTCTAGAGGAAACATACTGAGAAACTGTGTTAGGAAATTATTATTTCAAAACCCAGTCTAAGTTCTTAGCCACTGGACTTTAAAAAATACATATTACATATACTTTTTCTAACATGATTGAGAATATAGTTTGTTTCAGATTTCCACATTTCTTAAATGAAAACAATAAAGAATTCAAAAGGCAAAAGGTACTGTAAAAAAAAAAGGTATTCGATCTCATGTAAATGAGAATCCTACACTCTCAGTGAATTTTACTAGAGGGGAACTTATTGTCACATCAGATTGTTTGTTCAAGATACTATTTCTGATGTATTTTATTAAAGAATTCAAAAGGCAAAGGTATTGTAAAAAAAGTTATTTGATCACATGTAAATGAAAATTCTACCTTCTTATTGAATTTTACTAATTAGAGGGATAATTATTCTCGCATCAGGTTATTTGCACAAGATACTATTTCTGATCTATTTTATTAAAAGTCACCATTTATCATTGGTTTTCATCTCATGTTATATATGCAAATGAAACTCCTTTGAGTATGCAACGGTTATTTACTGCAGTGAATATTGTATAATCATATTTATCAAAATGTTCTTCTTTGAAATATTTTTCTAGTGCTTATTAGCAAACAGTTTTTATATTTGAGAAAGTGAAACGTGGACTTCAGAATCAGATTTAGGCCATATGGTAAGCCAGTTGCCTGAAAAATCTTCATAACAAATGCTAATATTGATGAATTTTGGAGATGTCATTATATATGTATACCTAAAACTACAGGAAAACAAAGAAAATTACCAATGCCAGAAACACAGGCAACACTTAAAACCAGCAAGACCAGTTGCTCTGACTTTTCTGGATGGCAAGAGAGATGGACCCAGCAATTTATAAATTTGGATTTTCTTTTTTTTTTTTTTTTTTTTTGAGACGGAGTCTCGCTCTGTGGCCCAGGCGGGAGTGCAGTGGCGCAATCTTGGCTCACTGCAAGCTCCGCCTCCCGGGTTCACGCCATTCTCCTGCCGCAGCCTCCCGAGTAGCTGGGACTACAGGCGCCCGCCATCACGCCCAGCTAATTTTTTTTTGTATTTTTAGTAGAGACGGGGTTTCACCGTGTTAGCCAGGATGGTCTCGATCTCCTGACCTCGTGATCCACCCGCCTCGGCCTCCCAAAGTGCTGGGATTACAAGCGTGAGCCACCGCGCCCGGCCAAATTTGGATTTTCTTAATGCTCATCAGCGAAGGGGTGATGCATAGCTGGACCTAGATTGAAAGAGTAAAGAAAAATACTTATTAACCAACCCAGTATAATTAAGAAGTTTGTCTGTAAATACTAGAACAATTGGTAGAAAAAACAAATACATATTCTCCCCTGAGAATCTGTAACATCAGGATTATCCATCATGTGTTGTTTGACTTCAAACTTTTAAATTATACAGCCTTGAACCATGAACCATCAAATTAACAAATTAACATATAGATTATTTTCTGGCCATTGATACACTGGAAGTTTGGTGGAAGAGATGCAAAATCATTCCAGAGCAAAAGCTGAAAATTTTTTTCTGCAAAGGGCAAGATAATAAACATCTTAGGCATTATTGACCATTTTAAAGAGCAGCTTATAGTCACCAAAAGGAATATCAACAAACTAGAAAGTGAAGATGAAGAATTATCCAGAATGCAGAATATGAACCAAAAGATAGAACATAAGATAAGCTGAAAGCCATGGAGGATTGAATAAAACTATCCAAGGAATATCTAAAAGAAATTCTGAAAAGAGAATAGTAGGAATAAAAATAATGGGATTATAATAGTTTGCTTCTACTTCTGGGATGAATGTAGTAGTTGTATAAGACACATACTCTTATTAAAATGACAAGAAAAAGCTGGATAAATTATAAAAGCCATATATTTTTTAAAGCATGAGGGAACTGTAGAAACAATGATGAATAGATGAACTAAGAGTACAGACATACCTGAGTGTTCGAAATGGGCCAAAGAGCATGATGCATTCATAGCGTCTACTAGTCAATTCTGGCACAAATTAGGAAGTAGAAGGCATGTTCAATGGAGGCAAAACAGTAATATATATATAAACATGTGGGTAAGTCTAAAGAAGCATTTGCTATATTGAATCAAACAAATACAATAAAGTAAAACAAATACTAGAGAACATTGTTAAGCTGAGTTAAGTTTGGCTCAAAGTGCCCATTGTACTTGCCTAATTAAGTTTGGCCCAAAGCGGCATCCATACATAGTGACTGTACTCTAACTTAATGTGTAGATAAGTTGTAAGCTAATGTAGATATATGGACTTGTAACCAAGCAACTGAGACTCAACCAATCATAGGAGCCAAACCCTTAGTCAATCCTAGGCTGAATGCTGCCAAATTATGCCCAAATAAGGCAAATATTGAACTGCACCAATCAGGGAAACTCTGAATATAATTTTATATGTTCTGGTTATAAATACATCTCACCACTCTGGATGTGGAGTCACTCTGAACGATCTTTGTTCTGGGATGGTGCCTACTTCTCAAACCTTTTTCTTGGTCAAATAAACTTAGTGAAATTTAACATGTCTTAGTTGCATTTTTTTTAAACAACATTCAAAGACCTACAAAATAGGACAGGGAACTTGTATTTAGACTATACTGTCTAAATGCAACGTATTTATGCTAGTTATTTGTGTGTTATAGAGAATATAGTGATATTGATATACTTTAAGTCATTTATGTACATCGGGAAGAGGAAAAAAAAAGTTACCCAATTCAATGGAAGTCAAACGAAGAAGCAGAACAGAGCTACCAGAAAAACATGATAAGAGTTAAAGAAGATGGGAGCTCAAAGAGGAAAACTGTCACTGAATTTGGGGAACTTTTCCTTGCAAGCCAAGTTAACTTTTATTCAGATAGAATTCTCAGATGAAAAAGACAGAAATTATAGTCTATGGCTGACAAAATATAGAGAGTCTGCCCAGAGACTTTTGCTATTCTAAGCTAGAATCATAAGGTTAATACACTCCAATGAAGGAGAAAACAAGAACCAGCTCTTGAGCATACTTGAAGTCTGGGACCAAATCTGAGTTGTTCAGATACTCATATTTTCACCCTGATTTAAGATGATCTGATATGGGTAATGCTTGCATAAGCAAAACTTCTGGAGGAACTTATCTCCATAGTAGACAACAAGGTAATCTTAAACTATCCTGACACTAATTGGGTGTATAAACTTGGCCAAGTCATTTTTCCCTTTGAGTCTCAGTTTCCTCAACTGTAACGTGAATATGAAAGTAACTAACTTGTAGGTCTGTATTAAAAATAAAGTCAATTATTTTGGTAAATCATTTGTATGCAATATAGCATACATGAGAGAGAGAGAGAGAGTTTGTGTGCATGTGTTTAGAGAGACATGGAGAGAGAGACACACATACACAGAGAAGAATCAGTATATTGTTAAGGATAACAACATCCAGAAACAAATCGACAGACAAGAAAAACAATTTAAATAATAGAATTATCAGACAGAAGTTAAAGAACAAAACATAGGCTTAAAGATGCACATAGGAAAATACAAATATGATCATGGTAGATTTAGAAAGGAAATACCTGCTAGAAGTAACAGAGAACTACTAGAAAATTAACGAAGTGCAGTAGGAAGAAAGAAAATAAATTATTGAAGAAAAGTTTCAAGATACAAAGGATAGAGTTAAACGTTAATATGTGTCTAAACTTTACCAGGAAAAGAGAGACAAAGGCAATAACTAAGGAAATAATAGAGAATGTTTTTAGTACTGATTGAAGACAGATATAAGCAGATTTAAGAAGGTCAACAAATTCTGAGTGGAGTAAGAAAAGTACAATGAAGAAAACAAAAGACAAAGCCAAAATTCTGTAAAGCAGCCTGAAAATAAGGCTTATTACCATTAAATAACAACATTTCAGTCTATAGAAACTTACATCCTAGGAGAGGGAATACTTTAAATAAAAAAGTAATGGATGAAAAGAGAAAAATTCCATCAAGTGGGATAACTGTTATCCATAAAGAAGTAGCAGGTGAAATGGGGAGTAAAAAAACAAACATATATAAATCCTCTTATTTTATATATTATAGCTCAATTTTATTCCCATCTTTGATAATCCAAAAATTATACACTGATCAATATATCTGTTCTAAATGTTAAGATTCCAACAGGTAGATCATGTCTCTCAAAATGTGTTGCACATTGCCTCAACTGGAGGTTCATGATGCATATTAAAATAAGAAAGGCTTAGAGAATTCTTACAGCAAGGAAAACAATGTAAGTTTATTTAATTTAGTGTTTTAGCTATATATTTAATAATTATTTTAGGTAGGCAGTTGTTTAAAGACAATAGAAATTACTTGGAATTTAAAGCAAGCAAAAATGAATGCGTTGGAAAAGCACAACGCAGCTCTTAGAATTGAAAAAAAAAGTAGGTGAACCAGCCTCAGGCAGTAATCAGAGAGCAAGTCAGAACCAGTATCAGAAAAAGGAAGTTCTGCTTTTCATGTGGCTATTGTCCTGTCAGTCATGACCGCTGGCCACTGCCAGCAAAGCATGCACAGGCATTTTCTGGAATGCTGCTGGGCTCTGCTTTAGCTTGTCACTTCCCACTTTACCATTGGATTCAAAAAATCTATCCATCTGACAGGAATAATTTCAGACTCTCTGCCTACTTCTTACCTTGCAAGGTTAAAAATGCAAGGAATGAGTGGTTATTCTTGGGTCTCTGGTTTACATTTTAGCCTCCAGTTGGTGGGAAGAGAAAAATCTACTCACAAACAGCTTCAAAACGGAAAGGTCCTATATTGGCATTCCTACATAAAAGAAAGTACTGGGGGGCTTGACAAATGGACATTTGTCTTCAAAGAACACATTTTCTCCTTTAGACAAAGTTTGCACTTATATAGCACAATTAACCTACTTCTTATCAATCAATAAAATGAAGAGACAATTACAGAACAGGATAAGGTGTTTGCAAACTATGTATTCAACAAGGTTTGATATCCAGAATATATAAGGAACTCAAAAAACTCAATAGCAAAAGAAAAAGTTGACTAAAAAATGGACAAAAGAAGACATACAAATGGCCAAAAAATATATAAAGAAATGCTCAACATCATTAAGCCTCAGAAAAATGCAAAACAAAACCGCAATGAGCTATCACCTTATCCCAGTTTAAATGATGGATATTATCAAGAAGACAAAATATAACAAATGGAAACGATAATGTGGAGAAAGAGGAATGTTATACACTGTTGGTGGGAATTTAAAATAGTATAGCTGTTATGAAAAGCAGTATGGAGTTTCCACAAAAAATAAAAAAGAGAACTACTATATTACCCAGCAATCCCACTACTGGGTACGTAATCAAAAAAAATGAAATTAGTATGTCAAAGAGACATCTGCACCCAGGGATATTGAAGCATCATTCAAAATAGCCGTGATATGGAATCTGCCTAAATGCTCATCTAACAACAAATGGATAAAGAAAATGTGGTGTATAAATGTATATCTATCTATCTATCTATCTATCTATCTATCTATCTATCTATCTATCATCTATCTATTTATCATCTATCTATCCACCCCTCCAGAACAATATTCAGCCATAAAATGCTGTTATTTTTAGCAATGTGGATGAAGTTGGAGGACACTTTGTTAAGTGAAATAAGCCAGGCACAGAAAGACAAGCACTGCATGATCAAATTCATATCTGGAGTTTTAAGGATATGGAGAAAGATGTTAGGTTTTTTCCTTGTGTGAACAATATTTAAAATTATTATATTTGGAGAGATAACTAGAATACTTCTGCCAACTTAACTATGACCCATTGAATTGCTCTGAATTATAAATCAGATACTCTGAATTAGCACTTCACTACCATTTTTAAATCTACAGCATTTATATAAATTAATAACTGCTGTAGAGCATACTACTCATGGCTGAAAAAAGTGACCTGATGATTCGAGCTATCTAAGACCCACCTGATGTCTGACAGCACTAAGGATCAAGCTATCACCTCTCCCTTAACACATCTTTCACACCAGTGTGCTAGAGCAGATAGCTGAAAAGTTTTCCCTAAGCCAGAGATCATTCTGACAAGGCATGTGGAACAATGGAGATGTCAGCATGCTTTCAAGACAAGTAACAGTAATCCTGGCTCTTAACTTGCTTTAATAATAATGAATTCTTTTATCAAGTCCTGAGGAATGAGGGCTTCCAGGTGCCGTATTTCCAGGTGCTTATCAGAATTTTTCTTTGCTGATAAGAACAATTGTTGCAGCATGCTTTGCTAATCATATACAGAAAGACAAGAAATTTATATTCTAATAATAGAACACAAGTCCATCTCTTGCATCTGATTTAGCCAGATTAAGTCACCTTTCCACCAATATCAATCTGGAAGTGATATCATGAACTAAATGGTGTCAACCTGGGGTTTGTATTATATCTCGACAAAGGAAAAGAAGTTGCCATCATTGGCAAGGTACATACAGGATACATCTCTGTTTCGGCAGATGGGATGAGATTTCCCTGATTCTCCTACACTGCAGAGGGTAGAGGGAGGTATTTATATAATACACAGAATTTTAATTGAAGAAGCAAAGAGGAATGGATTAATGGGATTAATAGTGTTTATCCAATACAAGATGAAAAACAACATATTATTGTTTGTATCGTGATGGTTCTAGAATAAAACACATCATTTCTCTAATTTTAGTTAGATCTTTGCTGAAAGAAAAAGATAAATAAAATACCCTACAGTTTATCCATATCCATGTTCTTCTACACTAAATATTCATCTTTGATTAGTTATTTTTAACTATATTTGATTTCTTTATAAATTACATTTTGAAACTTTAAACACATAAAGACATTGTTTCCCCTTAAAAGATTTTTCTTTTCCTTTCTTTTGTTTTTTTAATCTAAAACTTACTTTCAAAAACAATGACTTTCATAAACTTGCAACTTGTTAAATATAGTATTTTTATTAACATTCTAGTTTGTAACACAAGGCAAAACCTAAACACTTACCATTTATAAATAATGGGTAATACTGTTTCAACTTAACCTTGAGAATGTAGAAAAAAAATTGAGTCCAGTCTGATAGCAACCAAAAGATCTCAGAAACAGTAATCTTAATGCTCGCCTGGCAGACACAATCTGCACAGAACTTAGTCAAAATAAGATTAAAAGTCCATAGCAATTTCCTTGAGTGGCCAGTCAGATATCCCCCATTACAGTCACCAACCAGCCTGCCCCTGGGGCCTATTTCAGAAATAAATTGGTTTGTAGATGAGCTGATGCAGAAGAAGGAAAAAAAAAATGTTTTCTTGAGACTGTACCTAAATCTTATCAAGTAATACAGGGAAGCTTCAAAGTCTTTTTATTCTGAAATGTTATTTTATTCTGCTTTATATCATCTTAAATTTATTAGTATTATATTAAATATTAGTTTATGTAAGCTTATTATTTGACTCTGTATAGGATATAATAGATGGCATTGAATATTTAATAAGATAGCAACAGCAATAACACCTGGGAAATTGTTCAGGGAAGGATTCTATTCAGTTATTAAAAGATTTGCATACTTATTTCACTAATATTACTAGCAATCACAAGCATTGGGTAACGCTAGACAAATCTGCAAGAGGTACCGTTATTCCAGCACCTTAAAAACATTTTTCAATCTGAAAGATACTTCTAGATGTTTTTTTCCATAACAGAGCAGATGATTTCTAAGTGTTTATATCACTGAAACTTCACAGTATTAGTGGAATATGTTATCCTTTATACCAAAAGTAATCAGATTATTTTATAAAGCAATTATCAATTAAAAGTAGATTACTAAGAACATACTGTATAAAATGCCTTATGGGCTATTAATTCTGCATGCATTGCCACATTTGATTGTCTCAAAAAACCTCCTGAAATATGTATTCTTAACACACTTTTATTGAGAACATTATGAGTAATAAAAGTTGAAAGATTTTCCCAAAGATGTACAAGTAAAACAGGTCCTCAAATAAAGTTGTTTTATTCAATGTTGTTTTGCTATAATGTAGATGAGAATAAATATTGATTCCTGGACAGGGCTACCATCTGTGTAGGGTCTGCATGTTCTCCCCATGCCTGCATGGGTTTTCTCCAGGAACTCCTGCTTCCTCTCACATCCCCAAGATGTGCATGTCTGGTTAATTGGCATTTCCCCACTGTGTGTCCCAATGTGAGTGAATGTGGTTGTGCCCTGCCATGGAATAGCATCCTGTGCAGGGTTTATTCCTGCATTGCATGCTGAGTAAGAATAGGTTCTTGCCACCCGAGACTCTGAACTGGAATAATTGGGTAAATAATCATCTTACTTGTTTTTATCAATCTTTTTAAAAATGTATGTATACCTCACACTTATTTCAGTGTTGAATGTTATAAGTGTTTTAGTCTCCATTTAGAAGTACAGTGATAATATTGTGACCAGAAATATGCAGTAGGAACTTATATCTTGTTGTATCAATTGGCCTATGGTAAAATTTGTTTCATTGTTCACCATTTTGCTGATAGTTGCAGTTTCCAATAATCTACTGATATTAAATGTGGACTTACTATGTAAACAATAGCAAGGATCCTAAATCCTAGGTTATATCTAAGTTTAAATGGCTTGACACCAAGTCAGAATTGCCTTATGACCATGCTCTTATAAGTGTTTCATTTTTTAAAACAGTGCAAACTGAATTTTGCATGAGAATTATCATTAAAAAAATTTTTGCTACAGATAGGATCTTGCTATGTTGCCCAGGTTGACCTTGAAGTTCTGGGTTCAAATGATCCTTTTGCCTCAGCATCCAGTGTACCTGGGACTACAACTGTGTGCCACCATACCCAGGGCTGCAGGAAAAGTTGTTATGTAAAGCAGTGATTTATGAAAATAAGACTTTATTTGGGCAACATAGAAAATGTAAACAAAAAGAGTTGCTCAACATAAAACTTACTCAAGTCACAATTTACCTCTGACATGACATATTTCCATCCACTTCAGAAAAAAAATGTGTATACCTTTTTATTTCTTTTTTTCTTTTCTTTCCTTTTTTTTTTTTTTTTAGACGGGCTGGAGTGCAGTCACAGCTCACTGCACCTTTGAGCTCCTGGGCTAAAGTAATCTTCCTTTCTCAGCCTCCTGAGTAGTTAGAACTAAGACATGCACCACCATGTCTGGCTAATTTTTAACACTTTTTTGTGGAGATGGAGTCTCGCTATGTTGCCCAGGCTGGTCTTGAACTTCTGGCCACATGCTATCCTCTCACCTCGACCCCCCAAAGTACTTGGATTATCGGCTCAAGTACTTAGATGTATTAACCAGGATCACAGAGAGCTTGATTTTGTAAGTTTGAGTTAGCATGTAATAACTGCAGTTGATTTTGATGCATGTATTTAATGAGAATCATTGCTTTAGACTATATGATATTTGAAACAAAAGAGCAATAGGACTGCATGGCACAATATAAAGTCTGTTATGACATAGTGACTTTAATATATTTTAATTAAAATTATAATAGTAAAAGCTAAAAATGACAAGACAATTGTTAGAAATCATATCACAACAGCATAATCATGTATCCATAAGTGATTGATACAATAACATGAACTGACATTTTGCTGCAATATTAATCAGTTAATACAGGTTTTTAGGTTTCAGTTAACTGGTTAATCATAAAATATTATATAAAAAATTATCAAATTGTGTAAGTCATCTCACTGTATTCTAAAATTTATGTTATTTTATATTTCTAATCTATGTTTTGCAGAGATCATGAAAATTTTACTGGGTAACTGAAGAAGAATTGTCCCAAGGACTTGAATAAATGTTAATGTTCATAACAGTATGTTCTAAAAAGAAATTTAAGTAAAAAAGGAAAAAACATATTTCATTTTAAAAATATCTACCCATGCACATCATTCATCTAAAAAACCCATTTAATATAATCATCTAGTTATGTAAAGATATACCCAATAGCTACTTAAAATAGAAATATTCTATTTCATTATTAGAAATTATTATTTTAAAAGGTTGTTAAAACATCAAAAATATGCTTATTTCTAGTAACCAGAGAACACAGCAGGGTTATGAAACTTTGGATTCCTGTTTGATTTGGCAGGTAACTAGATTAACAAAAATACAAGGTTTTGAGTTTCAAAACAGAATAGCATATTTAAAAAATACTTGGTGGGTGTCTGGCAATTGAGAGACCTTAGTAGCACAATCATTGGTCTTCACAATCACTGCCAGGTACTCTTTCAAACTAGCTTGAATAACTGCAAAACACATTATCAACCCAGCTTCTTTTTGCTGGACCTGGGCATATATAAACTGATTAGATTTAAAAATAGAAAAAATAGAGTTTTTTCAGTTGTGTTTGAAGAGGTGAACCCTTGGACTCAAAATCTCTCAAAAGTCCTGTCTTTCGCTTCAGAATCTGCATTAATTTGCACAGGAATATACTTCTGTGTTTTAATAAACACATGCAATTTTTCTGTTTTCATCTTGCAAGTAATGACAGCTTTGTTCTCAAACCAATTTTGTTTTTTATAGATTTTACCCTGATATATAATGAAGAGACAATTGCATGATCTGTGTAGAAATTCTTCCTCTAAACTAAATTATACTACCTTAGAAATCTGACATGAAAGTACCAAAACTATGTAAATTGACCTCACCAAGAAAATTATTACATAAAACAGTGATTCATGGAAATAAGACTTGATTTGGGCAACATAGAAAGTATTAAAACTAAAAAGGAGTTGCTTGAGATAAAATTTACCCAAGTGACAATTTTACCTGTGACAAACATATTTCCATCCACTGCAGAAACAAATGTGTTTAGTTTATTAAAGTATATGTTTAACAGCAAAAAATAAATAGAATAAATTTATTATCCCTATCCAGTGACAAACACAATTTTAAAATAAAAATGAAAACATCCTGCTTATATTTGCTATACTATTTCATGCATTAGGCTAAGATATATGGTTATTTCCATGCTTTCAGGATGTGTTTAACAAATCTCTTATACATTTTCCCATTGTTGTCATTTTAATATCTTGAATATAATATTAAATAAACATTTCTACAAATAATTTGAACCTCAAAGTTTCATAAACATCTATCCTTCAATATTTAGGCCTAAAAAGTAATCTCCATTATCTATCAAATTCTAAATTTGAACTTACTATGGTTTACTCCTACTTTTTAATTATTACTTTGGTTAAAGATACTTCATGATATTATTAAGTTCCTTACTAATAATGTATATGGTTGTATTACATTCATTTATCCATCAAGACTAACTTTGAGCTACTATGAAATATAATTCAAATCATTCACATAATATCTAATGAATGATTACTATAATACAAAGCACTATACTAGGTTTCATAAGTGATACAAAAACAAGTGCAACCGCCTCAGTAACCAACACATTTGCAGTCTAATAGAGGAAAACAAGCCCTGTTATAAGAATAATTATAGTAAAAGGCTATATAAAATACAATCCATTTTGAGACACACCTTCAACTCTATTTGCTAATTCTCATTTTCACTCTTTAGTTTATTTTTAGATTAAATAGTTATTTTCACAAATCAGTCTGAGGACAGAGTTTTTTGTTTTGTTTTGTTTTGTTTTGTTTTGTTTTTGTGAGTCATCAGCACTATGCAATTGCATATACCTGTTGTGTTTAGTCTACAAAGGCTGAACATCATGTAATAGTTTTTATGCATTTTGTTCATAGGTTACTGGGTGCTTTAAGGCAAAACTGAATGAGTTTCCAATAGTCAGTACAAAACTACAAGAAATACAGGCACAAAGTGCCTGGGGTTATCCTCAGATGAAGTTAGATTTGAATTGCATTCAATAACCTTTTTTACAATGTGTAGATGCTCAAAGCAAATACAATAGTTTCTCTTTGCCTCTGTGACTTGAGTTCATAGTGTTGTGTTTAAATATAACTTTTGTAATGTCTACTTCACTGAAGAAACTTTTAAAAAATTTGACTTATAATGGTTTTCTGTAATAACCTATGGTGCTTGGTTTGTAAAGTAAAACAGGAACTCAATTTAGTACCTACTGAATAATAACATTTTTTAACTGAGATTCCACTCATAAGGCACCTAAATTTTTAAAGTTAAAACATATTATATTGACATTAAATTTAAAAAGAATAAACAAGTTAGAGAAGAAATAAAAAAAAAATCTTCAGAGAATAAACTGCTTCCAAGTATACAAGTACTAAAGAGGCTACACACTGGTATGCTCATTATAAATAAAAACACTCATTCATGTAATTTTATCTCATTACTACATATTTAAAATAATCTCTTATCATTATAGTAGGCCATCATTTTCCAAATAGCATCAAGAATCCTTATTTTGAAATAGTAATCAGATCATGTAGTTCTCCTGATCAGATCTCTTCACACTCTAGAATAAGATGCATACCTTCATTTTAGCTTTTAGACTTTTTTCTGATCTAGCTCTAGATTATTGTTTGATCTCATTTTTACTATTCTTCTCATTGCTCATTCAATTCAATTTCAAGCATAATGATTTTTTGCTCTTTTGGGAATACACTAGCTTTTTGATTTCATTAGAGCCTGTACACTTCCCTCTTCCTGAAATGTTCTTCCCCAAATTTATGTATAGCTTATTTTCTCTCTTTGTTCAGGGCTCAGTGTAATTGTAGATTGTTCTCTACCTTGAATATGTCTTACCCCTCATTTGACTGGTTTTCCTTCATACCAATTATTTGTATTCTAAAATATTTTATATTTTTCTGTTGACTTGTTCACTGAGTTCCTTCCTCTAAAATGTAGCTTCATGAGGGCGATATTTTGTTAAAATTGTATGCTACTGTATCACTAGAACTGAGAACAATGCCTGAACAGAGTAGCTACTCATGACTCATTGGCTAAAACAAGTTAATGAATGAGAACAGGCAGGTAGAAAGCCAGGAAGGAAAAGAGGATATTATATTAAGTTGAATGAGGGATTAAATGAATATAAATAAGCTGAAAGTAGCATAGGTTATGCAATATGCTTAATAAAGTATGTTTGTCTATTTTCGTTATGTAATCCAAAACCTGGCTGACCACAAAACTTGCTTTTTATTCACTTTCTCTTTCTTCCCTGTTTAGTGCAGCATAAAATTAGTTATCGATTTTATCTCTTAACGCTCCACCTCTATTAGTGAAAGGATCTTCTCTTATCATATTTCCAGTCCAAAGTTCAGTGGAAACTTTTTACACTCTTACAGTCTATTTGAAATCCTTATATCATAAACATACCAGCACTTATCCCAGCACTATTCACAGTAGCAAAGATATTGAATCAACCTAAGTGTCCGCCAATAGATGATTTGATAAAGAAAATGTGAGATGGTACCATCTCACTCCAGTTAGAATGGAGATCACTAAAAAGTCAGAGAACAACAGATACTGGAGAGAATGTGGAGCAATAGGAATGCTTTTACACCGTTGGTGGGAGTGTAAATTAGTTTAACCATTGTGGAAGACAGTGTGGAAATTTTTCAGGGATCTAGAACTAGAAATACCTTTTGACCCAGCAATCCTATTACTGGGTATATGCCCAAAGGATTATAAATCATCCTACTCTGAAGACACATGCACACATATGTTTATTGCAGCACTGTTGACAATAGCAAAGACTTGGAACCAACCCAAATGCCCACCAACGATAGACTGGATAAAGAAAATGTGGCACATATGCATCATGGAATACTATGCAGCCATAAAAAATGATGAGTTCATGTCCTTTGCAGGGACATGAATGAAATTGGCAAACATCATTCTCAGCAAGCTAACACAAGAACAGAAAACCAAACACTGCATGCTCTCACTCATAAGTGGGAGCTGAACAATGAGAATACATGGACACAAGAAGGGGAACATCACACTCCACAGCCTGTCAGAGGGTGAGGGGCTAGGGGAGGGGTAGCATTTAGAGAAAGACCTAATGTAGATGACAGGTTGATGAGTGCAGCAAACCACTATGGTACGTGTATACCTACATAACAAACCTGCAAGTTCTGCACATGTACCCCAGAACTTAAAGTATAATAAAAAAGATTTCCACCTAAAGATAAGAAGATATGATGATATACACAGTGGAATACAATTCAGCCTTTAAAAATAATATACTCATGAAACATGTATTTTGGAGCAGTTTGGATGGAACTGGAGGACATTATCTTAGATGAAAGTCAGACACAGAAAGACAGATACTGCATGTTCTCATTTATAAATGGGAGGTAATTAATGCATTCACATGGACATAGAGTGTGCAATGATAGAGACTTGGACATGAAGACTTGGAAGAGTTGGGGGAGAGTGAGAGGGGAGTAAATGATAAGAAATTACTTAATAAGTACAAGGTATGCTTTTTAGGTGATGAATATGCTGAACATCCTGACTTCACTATGCAACCTATGGATGTAACAAAATTACAGTTGCACTCCATAAATTTATAGAAATAAAATAAAATAAATTACATTTTAATAGAGACACTATCAGAGAAATACACCAAAATGACTCGACTGAATTGGAAATGGAAAAGGTAGAAATCTCATTTTCTCTTCAGAGACTATTGCAAATTTGTATGTATGTAATACACTAATCACATCAGATGCCAGTTTTAAGTACATATTTTCCTCCACTGTGTAGATTTGTTTCAATACGGAAAAATTTCAGAACATACGTAATCAATACAAAGCCATTCTCAGTAATTTATTTTCATTCCATGCCATGTTACTTAGGTTTACATTTACTACCTTAGAAAACATTATGTACAAAAGCTTTTCTTTCTTATAGTGAATTAAATCTCCAACTGCTTTTGTTTCTATTTTAAGAAAGTAAATATTATGACATAAATGTTTGCAATGTTTTTGTTTAAATAAAGTATTTCTAGATTTCTCTTAATTCATAGTTACGTTTGTTTCTTTATTGATGTTCAAACACAGACTTTTAAAAATTCATATTTTTTTCAAAATGTGTGACTATTTACTTTCTAGCTCAATTTAAAAAGCATTTACCATAAAAATGGCAGTATCTTTTTGTACAGATGCTACCTCTGAATCAAAGCCTCTCAGCAACTGGCAAACAGGAAGCTCTAATGCACTTTAACCCTAATAGTTATAAAATATGCAATCATCTGAAATCACATACTGATTTCCACTTCTTTTCTAACTACGGTTATATGTAAATATTTCACTTTCAATAATAGATCTTTGCCTGTTTATTTAGTTTTTTTTTTTCCTTGGCTTAGAAATAGTTTTTATGAAATATTCAAATACAAACATAGTCTCTAAAAGCAAAGTATGGTTCTTTGACAGCCAAAACACTTTCCCCTAAGCATTTCATTAGTTATATAAGTGATAAATGTTTTTCTGAATGGGAATTTACCTAAAGTGTTTCAAAATTAGGTGACCATTTGTGCTTTCCAAACCATACAGAACTTTATATTTATTCCTGGGTAAATCACCCATTTCCTTGTTCATCAAGATCAGGTGAAATGATATCCATGTGAGATAATTAATTCCTCTGCTATCTATTTTATTATACTTAGTTATTCATCTAAAATAAATATCTACTATAACAAGTAAAATATATAATAGTGTCGAAGACAACAAGAGTATGTGTTTGCAGTATGTGTAATAGAGTTAAATATATCTAAATATAGTATATCTGTACTAAGGCAATGAACATCAATTTTAGCTAATCACCCTCATTAAAGCAAAGGGCACTACCATATGTGACACAGTTGTCATTGACAGTCTGTTAAATCTTGTAGCTGAGGTAACTGACAGGGAAGAGTTTGTGATAGTGAAATTTGTAGAACTAAGATCAAATTACCAAACACGTAGGCATTATTAAACAAATTCTCACCAATTACTTCAAAAATATTGTAACTTCTATTTAATATTTCTTGTTTTTAATCTTAAAAACTCTAAATTGAGTAGAATTTGAAATAGCAGTAAATTTCAGGTTAATGGAAATACAATCACACTTGTTATTATTGTTCAATTTTTTTTTATTAAGTCTGAAGAAATATTTACTTGAATATGACATCTAAGAATGATGGACAAAAGCTTTTTAAATTTTCTTTCCACTCCTTTTTCTGAAAGCTTTGATACAAAAATCATTTGACACAAATGATTTTTTTTTTTTTTTGTGACAGGATCTTACTATGTTGCCCAGGCTGAAGTGCAGTGTGCTCATGCAATCCTCCCATCTCAGCCTCCTGAGTAACTGGGACTACAGGCACATGCCACCATGCCCAGCTAATTTTTGTATCTTTAGTAGAAACAAGGTTTTGCCACATTGCCCAGGCTGGTCTCCAACTCGTGGGCTGAAGTGATCTGCCCACCTTGGCCTCCCAGTGTTCTGGGATTACAGGAGTGAGCCACTGTACCCGGCTGATGCAAATGATTTCTATTATTAATATCTTGCAGTTAGTCTTCCATTGGATAACCATCAATGTCAAAATAAAGATTATTAGTTACTGAAGGACTGAAAAATCAAAAATCAACTTCATGAGATGCTTTACAAACAAGTGTTCTCTTTTAATATTTGACTCAGTAAAAGTTTTTAAGAAAAGTTAAGTTTGTGTTTTTATTTGTGTATACTCTCTAGTGCTTAAATGTATCAGGATAGAACTTTTCTAAACTAGGTCAGTCTTTTTTCCATATCTATGGTTGAATACTTCAGTTAAATAAAGCAATGGTAGATAGCAAACTATGTTATAATTGGCATTTTGGGCACTGGTTGCAATTAATTGCCAAAAAAAGCATATCTCACCACAATTGATCTCTCATTTTTCCACTCTCATTTATTTCCCTTCACTTCCTTCTTGGCTTCTGCAAAAGCATTTGTTTTTCCTTTTTCTTTCTTCTTTAAAAAAATATATTTGAAGAGATTTATTCTAAGCCAAATATGAGTAACCATGGCCAGTGACACAGCACTCAGGAGGTCCTGAGAACATGTGCCCAAGGTGGTTGGGATGCAGCTTGCTTTTATACATTTTAGAGAGGCATGAGACATCAATTAACTACACTTAAGAAATACATCAGTTTGATCCAGAAAGGTGGGACAACTCAAAGCAGAGGGAGTGGGGGTGGGAGGGGTTGGGGCTGGCAGGGGGGTTGGGGGATGGGAGGATATTGGGGTTTGGGGGTTGGTTCCAGGCTATAGGTGAATTTAAACATTTTCTGGTTGATAATTGGTTGAGTTTGATTCAAGACCTGGGAATGATAGAAAGGGAATGTTCAGGTTAAGATAAAAGACTGTGGAGACCAAGGTTCTTTTGAAGTCTTACAGTGGCTGCCCTTAGAGACAATAAATGACAAGTGTTTCCTATTCAGATCTTTAAAAGGTACTAGACTTTTAGTTAATCTCTTTAGAACTGCGAGGGCCATTTTTTCATATTATAATTTATCTCCTTCATGTCTGTAACAAAGATAGGAATCGCTATAAAGTGTCTTCCCAGTTTCTGCCTAACCACATCCCTGGATTTCCTGGCTCCTGGCTTGGCATATGTTTGGGGTTAGCCTTCTCCCACTGCTAATTTGTATGCCATAAGATGGTTGTTTTGTTCCTCAGTACATTTATGTCAGATATAATTGTTACTGTAGTAAACAACTATTGTGTAAAAAAATGATAAGTGAGTGTGAAAGTAAAAAAACAAATCAGAAAATGAAGCAGAATGTAAATAATTGATAAAGACAAGTTCTGAAAAAATATCAAATTGGATTTAGGAGTCAGACACCTGTAAGAGGTTTATTTGAGGGGCTAAGCGTGCTGGTATTTACACACATATTACTTCTTGTGTCTCTTCAATTTATTGGTTCATTTCAAAAAACCAAAGCTAAAAATCATAAAATATTCATTATGTAAAAAGAAACAAAGTTCAATGAATCCATACATACATACCAAAGACCTTTGTCGGATAGTTGACAAGTATATTTGCATATATGTTTTCCAAGGTAAAAGAAAATTTGTGGCTGGGCACGGCAACTCATGCCTGCAATCCCAGCATTTCGGGAGGCCAAAGCCGGTGGATCAGCTGAAGTCAGGCATCCAAGACCAGCCTGGCCAACACGGTGAAACCCCATCTCTACTAAAAATACAAAAAAATAGCTGGGCATGGTGGCTGGCACCTGTAATCCCAGCTACTTGGGAGGCCGAGGCAGGAGAATTGCTTGAACCCGGGAGGCAGAGTTTGCAGTAAGCTGAGATCAAGCCACTGCACTACAGCCTGGGCAACAAGAGTGAAACTCTGTCTCAAAAAAAAAAAAAAAAAAAAAGAAAGAAAGAAAGAAAAAGAAAAAAGAAAATTTGTAGGATATGGATAAGTAATTTATTTTAGAAGAATTTTTTTTTTTGTAGAATGATTTGTGCTAAAGCAATACATCTCTTTCTATCATATACTGATATCTTGAAAACTTTTATAACGTTTCTAGTCACATTCAGTATTTTAAAAATAGGATTGATTCTAAGTTTTGAGTTTATGGTGTATTTGAATATTAGAGATATTATCTCTTATACATTTCAAAGCTTTGCTGCATTCTAAACTCAGTCCTGCCTTAGCCTTAGTAACGGCAATGAAGTGCGGGGATAGAATGTTCACTATTTTTTTATGTGCTGTTAAAATTTCATACCTCCTGTTCTATCTTGAAGTCTTACAGTTTTGGAATGGTGAGTGGGGGAAACAAGCATAAAACTATTACATAATTCATGCAGTTTTCACTGGGCAACAGTATCTATCCTCTGAATGGTGAAATGGCTACTTTTCATTTATTTATTTTTTTCTCTCCTGGGGTAAAGCGCTTGAAAACTGCACCACTGGGAAATTGCAGCTATAGTCCATGTTTCAACATAGTCCATGCTTCTTTGAGTTGGCCACTTACTGTTTACTCTCATCTCCTTAGGTTTAGCAGTAAAGACCTGTAAGATTTCTTCTGTTAGGATCATCTAGCCATTCCAAACATTTCTCTTAGATTTGATTCTTTCAAGACAAATCAACCCAATAAAAATCTCATAAATAAAGGTGAGCTAGCTACCACATTTGGTGTTCTCATCTGACCAAACCAAATTTTATGTATACATTCAATTCTCAATCCAACCCAGTCTGTTTGCCTAAGCCATTCCAGACAAACTTCCACTTTGAAGGTTTTAAATGCATAAGTCAGATAGCAATCCTTCAGTTGCCCCAGAGGCACATCACGTTCTTTGAATGCTTCAGTATAGTCCTCTTCATTTAGCAATCAGTGAGGCAATACACTGGCATCATGATCCCTTTTTTTAGGAACTCTGTACAAAATTCCCTTTGAAAATATAAATTTTGGAAATGAGTGATGAGCAAAGGGGTTTCATTAACATTATCACAATCTCTTGATATATCTGCTTGATAATGTAGCACCTATTATTTGGGGCCATTAGGACCTTGGCAGAAATTCTGGTAAATGTAAAGAAACCACATTTAACATCCAGTTAATTTAGTTTGTTTGTTTGTTTTGTTTTTGTTTTTGTTTTTGAGACGTTGTCTTACTCTGTCACCCAGGCTAGAGTGCGGTGGTGTGATCTCGACTCACTGCAACCTCCACCTCCACCTTCTGGGTTCAAGCAATTATCTTCCTCAGCCTGGGATTACAGGAACCCACCACCATGCCCACCTAATTTTGTATTTTTAGTAAAGACGGGGTTTCACCGTCTTGGTCAGGCTAGTCTTGAATGCCTGACCTCGTGATCCACCTGCCTCGACCTCCCAAAGTGCTGGAACTACAGGCATGAGCCACCTTGCCTGGCCTCAATATTGTTTTTAATAATTTCTGCTTTACTTGCAGTTAATCATATCAGGCCGTCTACCATACCCAGTTGTGTCAGCAAGAAGATCTGTACAATGATAAGTAACACATGGCTCCCAGAGCTAACATATTCCTAACACTTATATAAACACTTTTTCAGAAATTTGACAATATTTTATAATTAAACAATATCTTATTTTACAAGAAAAGATATGGTATCACAATACTCTGAGCAAAGAGTTAATTTGCTTCTCAAATTTCCTAGATAATGAAGTAGTCCTAAAATATTTAACTCAGTATTGGTAATAGTTTCAATTTGAGGAAGTGTTCTGAATAGCCTTTTTAATGCTGATGTCATAAGATTGTGTTACAAACACAGACTTTCATTTAAAGACACTTTATTTTTAATTTTGTTCTAAAAAATAAAATTATATATAAATACACATGTATCCTAAACTATATATGTATAATATACATATATGTATATATATACACAGAGAGAGAGAGGAGAGAGAAACAGAGACAAAGAGAGCCATAAATCCTGAATTTGTTGTTGTCAATGGTGTTTGATAGCATCACTTTGTAACTCAATAGGATATATCTGCACAAAGCTAAAATTAATTTATTTTTGCCATACAAGGCAAGTGTATCTTGTTGACATCTATAGAGAAAATAAATCACCCTCTAAAGAACTGTTTATAAATAAATAATTGATATCTGAAAATTCAGAAAAAGTACCACTATCATTTTACTTCCCATATTGCATTGAAATTATATGTTTATGCTTCTCTTGCTTCTACCTCTCTGTGAGTTCAAGGTTAGAAAAGGAGAAATTTTTATCTTAGCATTCCCAGGACCAATCACAATATCTAATACTTAGAGCGTGCAATGTTGGTTGAACTGAAATAAATCTGATATAAAAACAAATAATGCTTTAGGGAAGTGATTTTTCATTTGAGATTATTTTCTCAGAAAAATTAATATGACCAGGTTGTCATCCTATGCAAACATCAGTATGCCTTACTGATTTTTCACTAAGTTATATAGCTTATATTATAAGACTTTTTTATGGGTGTCTCTACCTACAGATTCCAGGCACTAACAAACCTGTAGAAATTCATAAATTTAATGCATTTTATCAAGTTGATTAATATAGCATGAACATTTTTCAACTGGCTTCACAAATCATTTATTGTTAAATGTTATTCTTATACCTGTATTAGAGAGAAAAAAGCCAGAGGTAGCAAGGTGATATACAGATCAACTGGAAATCCACAAGTTTTGGTTTGGAACTCTTTGGAAAATTGAATAAAGAGTCACACCTTGCTCAAAACTGAATTAGTAAAAGCGATGCACATATCAATAAACAAACTTCTCTAATAAAAAAAGCATTAAAAATATAGTCAGCATATATTTTTCTGGAATATAAAATTGAGGAACTAGAATAATTCAACTTGAATAAGTGTAACTAATTCATTTTCTGCAAAATATTACCCAGAGTTTGAGTATTTTTCTATTTATTCTATCGGAAAAAAATGATATACCACTGTACTGGAAATATTCAGAAAAGTTTGTCTATTTTTTAAAATTGTACTTATTATACCTTTATAACCGTAAGATAATATATTTATTATTTGAATGAGAATTAAATGTTTATGATTTATACAAAAATGCCTGACACAGACTACTATGCCCACAAAAGTTGAATGGTTGTTTTTAGCTTATATATACCTATACAGGTTAATAGATATATCTTTACTTCTTTTTTCTTTTTTTTTGAGACGGAGTCTCACTCTGCAGCCCAGGTTGGAGTGCAGTGACATGATCTCGGCTCACTGCAAGCTCTGCCTCCCAAGTTCACGGTGTCCTCCTACCTCAGCCTCCTGAATAGCTGGGACTACAGGTGCCCGCCACCACGCCCGTCTTATTTTTTGTATTTTTAGTAGCGATAGGGTTTCACCGTGTTAGCCAGGATGGTCTCAATCTCTTGACATTGTGATCCGCCTGCCTCAGCCTCCCAAAGTGCTGGGATTATAGGCGCGAGCCACCGCACCCGGCCAATATATCTTTACTTCTTATAAGAAATGAGTAACTTTATTAATTCTACCAACAGATAACATTCTTCCTCTCAGAGAGTAATATGCAATCATTTCCTAACCTTATTTTATTGCGCTATATTTTAAATATAATAAACGTGTCAAAAATGTGGTTTCGTACTTTTTATAAATTGATATATTTACCTAATTACACTAAATCTAGAAAATACTATTGTGCTTATTCAAACTTCTCTTCTCTTCTTCAGAGGCAAACCTGTATAATTTCGTTGGTTTGTTTGTTTGTTTTAAGACGTAGTCTTACTCTGTTACCCAGGCTAGAGTGCAGTGGTACAATGTGAGGTCACTGCAACCTCCGCCTCCCGGGTTCAAGCGATTCTCCGGCTTCAGCATCCCAAATAACTCGGATTAAACCCTTATAATTTCTATCATGATTGATTAATTTTGTTCATCTTCAAATTCCAATAATTAGAATTCCTACAGGATGTGTGTGTGAGTGTGTATCTGGTTTATTTTCTTTAGCATAAATACATATTTGAGATTTAGCCAAATATTTGTGTGTATCATTTGTTTATTTTTCCTCATATTTCTGAGTTGCCTACGTATTTGTCAGAGTTTGCTTATTCATTAGTCTGTTAGTGAATATTCAGATTGCTTTCAGAATTAGCTTTTACAAATAAAGGACTTAGGTGCATTCTCAAACAGGTTTTTGTGTAAATATATGCTTTTATTTTTGTTGGATAAATTTCTAGAATTGACATTGCTGTGCTATAGGGTAGATGTATGTTGGCCTTATTGAGAGGCGAATTATTTTTCAAAGCGGTTGTTCCACTTTTTTTTTTTTTTTGAGACACAGTCTCGCGCTGTCGTCTGGGCTGGAGTGCACTGGCGTAATCTGGGCTCACCGCAAGCTCCACTTCTCAGGTTCACGCCATTCTCCTGCCTCAGCTTCCTGATTAGTTGGGACTACAGGCGCCCGCCACCATACCCGGCTAATTTTTTTTTTTTTTTTTTTTTTTTTGGATTTTTAGTAGAGACGGGGTTTCACCATGATAGCCAGGATAGTCTCGATCTCATGACCCCGTGATCCGCCCGCCTCGGCCCCCCAAAGTGCTGGGATTACAGGCATGAGCCACCGCGCCCAGCCAGTTGTTCTATTTTACACTCTCACAAGAAATAGACACGACTTCTAGTTTCCCCACATATTTGCCAATATTAGTATTATCATTTTAAATGGTAGTCTTTCCAGTTTCGATGCATTTTGGTTGCATTTCCCCTTATCTAATAACACTGAGCATCTTTTCACATTCCTATAAGCCACTTGTATCTCTTGTTTTGTGAAATACCTGTTCAAGATTCTTATAACTATTTAGTGGATCTCAGGAGTACTCTGTGCGTTTTGAACACGCAATTTTTTTCTCATACATATATGGAATAATTTATCACAGTCTATGGCTTAAAATTATATTTTCTTACATTTTGCAGCTTTATTAGGATACATTTTTAATATCTACAATTTATCAATTTTTACTCTTATGATAGTGCTTTCTCTGTTCAGAAATACTTTTCCTATTATAATAGCTCACAGATATTGTTTAATTTTTTTCTTTTAAAAGCTTTCTGAATTTTGCTTTTTCATTTTTATGCCTACATTAAAAATATTGGACTAGTTTTGTGTATACAAAGGACTGATGCATGTATTTTTTTAATATGAGAATGCATTTATTTCAAAAGCCTTTGTTAAAGACTTACTTTCCCCACTGAATTATCTACATGCCCTTATAAACATTTAATTTACTGCATAGGTGGAGGTCTAATTTTGAACCCTTCTTTATCCTTATTATTTTTGTGTTATGATGCTTTGATACTGCAGCTTTCTTAGATGTCTGAAAATTGGCTCTATTTTTTTCTCAAAATTCTAGGTCCTGTGAATTTTCCAAACAAATTTTGGCAATAGCTTGTGAATTTCTCTCAAAATGTTTGCCACAATTTACTACAGAGTTGTAGTAAATAGATATAGAATTCATTGTAGTCAATAAATTACAAACTATAGATTGCATTGATGCTTTTTTTTTTTTTTTTTTTTTTGAGACAGAATCTCACCTTGTCACCCAGGTTGGAGTGCAGTGGCACAATCTTGGCTCACTGCAACCTCAGCCTCCCAGATTCAAGCAATTATCCTGCCTCAGCCTCCTGAGTAGCTGGGACTACAGGCCCGTGCCACCATGCCTGGCTAATTTTTTTGTATTTTTTTTTTTTAGTAGAGACAGGGTTTTATCGTGTTAGCCAGTATAGTCTTGATCTCCTGACCTTGTGATCCGCCCACCTTGGCCTCCCAAAGTGCTGGGATTACAGGCATGAGCAACTGCGCCCAGCCGCTACTGCATTGATTCTAAAGATTAACTTCCAGAGAATTCACATCAATGTTGCATCTTCAAATCTAAGAACATGGTAGATCTTTACATTTATTTAAGTCTTCTGTAATGTTTCTCTACAAGAAATTTTAAAAAGTTTTAGTGTGAAAGATTTTTAAAGGTTTCACTTAAATTATTCTTAACTATTTTTATACCATTAAAATTTTACTTTTAAATGTATTCTCAATTGTTTATTTCTAGTATTTAGAAATTCCATTAATTTTCCATATTGTATTTTGTGTATTGACCTTGCATTCTACACATTCTGCACCATTATTGAATTTGATTCTTATTATTCACAGCTTTTTAAATAAATATATTAGGATTTTCTTCATATACAATATACATATATATGTTCTGTGAATAAAAATATTTTTTCTTTTCACTTTTCAATTTTTATGCTTTTCATTTCTTGACCCCATGCAAGTCCGAAATCCAGAGGGGCAGCCAAATCTTAAAGCTCCAAAATGATCTCCTTTGACTCCATGTCTCACATCCTGATCATGCAGATGCAAGAGGTGGGTTCCCATGGTATTGGGCAGCTCTGCCCCTGTGGCTTTGCGGGATATAGCCTGCCTTCTGGCTGCTTTTGTGGGCTGGTGTTGAGTGTCTGTGGCTTTCCCAGGCACATGGTGTTGTTGGTGGATCTAACATTCTGAGGTCTGGAGGATGGTGGCCCTCTTCCCACAGGTCCACCAGGCGGTACCCCAGTAGGGACTCTGTGTGGGGGCTCCCACCCAACATTTCCCTTCCTCACTGCCCTAGCAGAGGTTATCAATGAGGGCCCCATCTCTGCAGCAAACTTTTGCATCGGCATCCAGGTGTTTCCATATATCTTCTGAAATCTAAGCAGATGTTCCCAAACCTCAATTCTTGATTTCTGTGCATCCACAGGCTCAACACCACGTGGAAGCTGCCAAGGCTTGGGGCTTCCACCCTATGAAGCAACAGCTCAAGCTATACTTTGGTCCCTTTTAGTCACAGCTGGAGTGGCTGGGATGCAGGGCACCAACACCCTACACTGCACACAGCATGGGGACCCTGGGCCCAGCAAAACCGTTTTATTCTAGGCCTCTGAGACTGTGATGGGAAGGGCTGCTGTGAAGACTTCTGACATGCCCAGGAGACATTTTCACCATTGTCTTGGGGATTGACATTCAGTTCCTCGTTACTTATGCAAATTTCTGCAGCCAGCTTAACTTTCTCCTCAGAAAATGGGTTTTTCTCTTCTATCACATTGTCAGGCTGCAAATTTTCTGAACTTTTATGCTCTGCTTGCCTTATAAAATGAATGCCTTTAAAAGCACCCAAGTCACTTCTTCAATGCTTTGCTGTTTAGAAATTTCTTCTGTCAGATACCCTAATTCTTCTGTCAAGTTCTAAGTTTCACTAATCTTTAGGGCACGGGCAAAATGCTGCCAGTCTCTTTGCTAAAACATAACAAGAGTCAACTTTGCTCTAGTTTCTAACAAGTTCCTCAACTCCATCTGAGACCACATCAGCCTGGATCTCATTGTTCACATCATTATCAGCGTTTTGGTCAAAGCCATTCAAAACGTCTCTAGGAAGTTCCAAACTTTCCTGCATTTTCCTGTCTTCTGCTGAGCCCTTCAAACTGTTCCAACCCCTGCCTGTTACGCAGTTCCAAAATTGCTTCTGCATTTTCAGGTATCTTTTCAGCAGCATCCCACTCTACTGATACCAGTTTACTGTATTAGTCTGTTTTAATGCTGCTGATAAAGACATACCCAAGACTGGGCAATTGACAAAAGAAAAAAGGTTTAATTGGACTTACAGTTTCATGTAGCTGGGGAAGCCTCACAATCATGGTGGAAGGCAAAGAGGAGCAAGTCGTATCTTACGTGGATGGCAGCAGGCAAAGAGAGCTTGTGCAGGAAAACTCCCCCTTATAATAACCATCAGACCTCATGAGACTTACTCACTATCAGGAAAACAGCACAGGAAAAGCCTACCTCCATGATTCAATTACCTCCCACCAGGTTCCTCCCACAACGTATGGGAATTCAAGATGAGATTTGGGTGGGGACACAGCCAAACCACATCAATGAAGCTCTCTGTTGTATATGTTAATGCTGATAATGTTTTTTTGTTTTGTTTTTGAGATAGAGAAGGAGATCTTAGAGACAAAAAAGGGGAAGCTCCATTAAAATTGGTAAAGGAAGAAACATAATATGAAAGGAGGGAAATAATAAGGTAAAAGATGCAGAGACTGCTTTCCAGACAAAGTAAGAATGAACTTCACTTTGGAATAACAAAGCAGTGCTTGCTTGGCAAGGTGAGTCTTAGAATCTGACTAACATCAACAGGGCAGAGTCTCAGGTAATTAACAAAACCAGGAAGGAACAGGGAGCAGCAATGCTAAAACACAAGAAACCAGGTTACTTTGTCCTACTTCATAGTTGTTATTTTCCTAATCATTGGAGATAAGCTATGATTAACAGAAAAACTACCCATGTAAAATATTGTCACCCAACTTTTAAGAAAAACAAGAAAGAAGATACAAAACTTAGCAAACAGAATAAGTAATTTCAGAGAATCAGAATTAAGAAAAGAAACAAATGTAATTACAGTAAGTGTAATTCATATCTTCAGAGACATGCAAGAAGAGGTTGCATTTTAGAAAATACTGATAATAGCTCTTGGATTAAAAACTCAACAGATGTTCTGAAGAGAACAATAGACATAGTTAAATATAGATCTAGCAAGTTTGAAGTTTAAAAGTTGAATAATTTTCTCTGAATCCAATGGCTAGGAAAAAATGAAGAAAGGTAAAGGGAGGTAAAGTGAAGATAAAGAATTGTTGACGTAAAGTTGTTTAAAATGCTAGAAAAAAAGGAAAGTAAACATAAAGATGGAAATAATTAAAGAACTAATTTAAATATTTTTTAGAACTAGAAATACTGTAGATTTGAGATTTAAAGTTTTCATAGAAGTATGAACTTATATTAATGGAGAAATTCTACTGACAGACATCTCTTGAAGAAGCAATGGGATACTAATGATTAGGACAGAATCATAAAGACTTCCAGAGTAGGAGGATAGAAAGGTAATTTTCAATGGAATAAGAAGTAGATAGAAAAGAAAATTTATTCTTAAACATGTAGATGTTGTTAATAACTGGGACAAGACCATCAATGTCTGAAGAAATAAATGTTTTTACAAATAGTGTCCTATAAGTACCCAAATACGCATTTAATTTTGTGGACAAAGCAAAGACAATTGTGCATATCTCCCAATTCCCAAGCATTTAAAAATCCAAAAATAAAATAATAAAATTAACAAACAGATTTTTAGAATTATATCTGGCAGGAGTTTGGATCAGTCATAGAGTGCAATAGCATACTTGAAAATAAGGACAATATGGCCATTTTAATGATATTGATTCTTCCTATCCATGAGCATAGAATGTTTTTTCATTTGTTTCATCCTCTCTGATATCTTTGGTGTTTTTAGTTCTTACAGAGATCTTTCACCTCACTAGTTAGCTGTATTCCTAGGTATTTGATTCTTTTTGCAGCAATTGTGAATCAGATTGCATTCCTGATTTGGCTCTCCGCTTGACTCTTGTTGGTGTATGGGAATGCGAGTAATTTTTGTATGTTCTTTTTGTATCCTGAGACTCTGCCAAAGGTGTTTTTCATCTTAAGGAGCTTTCGGGCCTTAAGCTTTTGGGCCTATAAAGTTTTCTACATATAGGATCATGTAATCTACAGACAGGGATAGTTTGACGTCCTTTCTTCCTATTTGGGTACCCTTTATTTCTTTCTCTTGCCTAACTGTTTTGGCAAGGACTTCCAATACTATGTTGAACAGGAGTGGTGAGAGAGGGCATCCTTGTCTTGTGCACAAAATACACTAAAATAAAATTGCTTAAAACTAGTGATAAAGAAAAATTCTCAAAGTGGCCAATGACAAAAACACAGTTTGCACAGAGGAACAAAAAATGCCAGCAAACATTTTATTAGAAACAAAGAAAATTAGAAGATAATGAAGCAACATCTTTAAAGTACTGGAAGATAAACATTGTCAGCTGGGAATTGTAGACTCAGAGAAACTATCTTTCAGGATGTAGGTGAAATAAAGATTTTTTCAGGCACTTAGAACCTGAAAGAAATCATCACCAGTAAAACAACACTATAAAAAATGTTAAAGAAAAAGTTTCAGGCAGAAGTAAAATAATATCAAAAGGAAATTTGGATCTACATAGAAGAATGAAAAGCACTGGAAATGGTATCAACATGGTTAAATATATAAGATCCTTTTATTTCTGTTTGAATTCAATTGATTGTTTAAACAAGGGGTCAGCAAGCTATAGCTTCATGGGTGGACTGCCTGTTTATGTGAACAAATTTTTACTGAGACACATTCATGCTCATTTGTTTATGTATTATCAATGGGTGCTATAGAATTACAAAAGCAGAATTAAGTAGTTGTAACAGAGCCTAATGGCACACAAGCCTAAAATATTTAGCTTTTAAGGAAAGCATGTCCGGTTCTGGTGGCTCATGCCTGTAATCCCAGCATTTTGGGAGGCCGAGATGGGCGGATCACGAGGTCAGGAAATTAAGACCATCCTGGGCAACATGATGAAACCCCGTATCTACTAAAAATACAAACATTAGCTGGGTGTGGTGGCATGTGCCTGTAATCCCAGCTACTCGGGAGGCTGAGGCAGGACAATCGCTTGAACCCAGGAGGCAGAGGTTGCAGTGAGCTGAGATGGCACTACTGCACTGCAGCCTGGTACAAAGCTAGACTCTGTCTCAAAAAAAAAAAAAAAAAAGAGAGAGAAGAAAACAACATTATTAACCTCTAATTTAAACAAGAATAATAACAATTTATAATGAGTTTACAACATATATAAAAATAAATTAATGACAATAACAGAACAACAGTTAGGATAAAATAATGAAAATGTTGTTACTTCATGATACTGTATGTAAAGTAGTATATTATAATTTGAAGGTAGAATGTGATGAGTTAAACATGTATACTACAAACTCAAAAGCAACCATTAAAATTAACAATATAGAGTTTTAATTCTCAAGTAAAAAAGGAGATAAGATGAAACCATAAAATATATTTGATTCATAGAAAAGAAGGCAAACAAGAGGGAAAATAAGCAAAAAACAGATGGGATGGTAGGGGAAGCAAAATTTTATTACCATCTTCTTAGTTTTTTTTTTTTCCTCTGCTAAGCCTGAGAATTAAATTGATATAAGACAGATCAACAGGAAAATGCATACAAATTTATTTAATGCATGTATTATGTGGCATGCGAGATTCTTTAAGGAAGGAAGACTCCATGACATAATCACTTATGTTCTGAAGTAGACACAGAGTAGTAAATTGTGAAATATGACAAGACAAAGGAGCTGGAACTAGTGTAGTTAATTGGGTGAAGAGGTGATTAACAGGATAAGGGTTGGTTTAACAAGGTCTGTTTGTACAGGTTTCCCTTGCCTCAACTTCTCATCCTGGGTGATGAGACTGTTACTTTCCTTCTTGTATAAAGAGGGCAACTTTCATGTAGAAATTTTACCTCCTACTTTTAAGAAAAAGGAAAATCAGAGTGCTTTAAAGGAAAATCAGAGTGCTTTTCTTGCATCTGCTATTTTTCAAGTGTCTTTAACTCAAAAAAATCAATATGCCAAAGTGGCATGTTTGGGGGTATCTGGTTCTGAATTCCTTCAGGAAAGATAGAAAGCAAAAGCAAAATAATAGGTTTAAAACTAAAAATATCCAGGTGCGGTGGCTCACGCCTATAATCCCAGCACTTTGGGAGACTGAGGTGGGCAGATCATGAGGTCAGGAGTTCGAGACCAGCCTGGCCAACATAGTGAAACCCTGTCTCTACTAAAAATACAAAAAATTAGCCAGGCATGGTGGCGGGCACCTGTAATGCCAGCTACTCAGAAGGCTGAGGCAGGAGAATGGCTTGAACCCAGGAAGCAGAGGTTGCAGTGAGCCAAGATCATCGCATTGCACTCCAGCCTGGGCAACAGAGCCAGACTCTGTCTCAAAAAAAAAAAAAAAAAAAAAAAAAAAGAAAAAAAAATATGTATATATGCACACATAACCACATTACATATAAATGGTCTAAATATACCAATTTAAAAGCAGATTGGATCAATGAAACAAGATCTAAGTTATTACTGTCTAGAAGAAATTCAAGAATATCCTAATAAAAGATATCTATGTAAAAACAATAGCTGGCATCATACCTAATGAAGAAAAATCAGTTTATTTCCCCCGATTTCAGGAACAAGATGAGTCCATTAACTCTTAGCACTTTGTTTTAACATTTCACTAGACGTTCTACCAAGTAAAATAGACAAAAAACATAAACAAAAGAATTACAGACGGGAAAGGAAAATGTAGATTGGGTTTATTTATAGACGGCATGTCTATGTAGAAAGTCCACTGAAATCTACAAAAACACTGCTGGCTATAATAAGTGAGTTAGCAACATAAAAAAGAAAAAAAGCAACATATTAAACTAATATTTCCATATACCAGCAATGAACAATAAAAAATTAAAATAAAAGTACTATTAATAATATCATGAAAAATGTAGAAGAATTAGGAATTAATCTATCAAATGATGTAAGAGTCTGGTACACTAAAACTCAAAACACTGCAGAAAGTTAAAGAAGACTTAAATAAATGGAAAGATGTAATATGAATATGGGTTAGAAAATTCACATGGTAAAATGTGATTATCCCTAAATATAGATTCAATACAGTCCCAATTAAAATATTATTAGGCATTGTTTTATAGGAATTTACACACTAATTTTAAAACTTCAGTAGAAATGCAAAGAGTCTAAAATAGCCAAAATAATCCTTAAAAATAAGAATATTTTTGAAGGATTAGCACAATCTAATACCAAAGCTTATAAGGCTACAGTAATGAAAATAGTGTGATATTGGCATAAAGATAGACAGAAATGTCATTGGAAGATAATAGAAAATTCAGAAATATATGTACAGAATTTTGGTAAATTGGTGTTCTCCAAAGATACAAAGGTAATTCAGTAAATAAAAGATAGCCCTTCAACAAATTCTGCTGGAACAATTAGATACTCATATGCAAAAAGTAGAACTTTAACACGTAACTCATGATACAAAAATTAATTTAGTACAGATCATATGCCTAAATGTAAAATGTAAAAACAAAGTGAAAAAAAAGGAAGAAAAATTATGTATAGGAGAAAATATAGAAAAGTATTTGACCTCAGGCTAGTAAATACTACTTAGACATGACACAAACACCGTTTCATCAAAGTAGAAATTGACAACTTGAGTTCATCAAAATGTAAAACATATGTTCCTCAGGAAACACTGTAAAACAAATAGAAATATAAGACACTACTGAGAACAATATTTGCAAAATATATGTCTGGCAAAAAAGTTGTGTCCAGAAAACATAAGAACTCTCAAAACTTGATAATAAATCTAACAACTCTAATAAAAGTAGGCAAATGACTTAAATGAATACTTCTTCTCTAAAGAACATATGTAGATAGAAAGTAAACACATGGAAAGATCCTCAATATCATTAGTCATTAGGGAATTAATCTGTGTCTGTCAAAAATGAGTTGGGTACAGTTGCTCAAGCCTGTAATCCCAGCACTTTGGAAGGTCAAGGCAGCAGGGTTTCTTGACCCCAGGAGTTAGAGAGCAGCCTGGGCAACATAGTGAGATCCTGTCTCTACAAAAAAGAAAGAGACATGGCATGGTGTCTCTATTTAGCTAGGCATGGTGGCACATGCTTGTAGTACCAGCTACTCGGAAGCTGAGGTGGGAGAATCACTTGAGCCCAGGAGGTGGAGCCTGCAGTGAACTATGGTTGTGCCAATGCACTCCAGCCTGCGTGACAGAGCAAGAACCCATCTCAAAAAAGAAAAAAAGAGGCCAGGCGCAGTGGCTCACACCTGTAATCGCAGCACTCTGGGAGGTCAAGGTGGGTGGATCACCTGAGGTCAAGAGATCGAGACCAGCCTGACCAACATGCTGAAACCCCATCTCTACTAAAAATACAAAAATTAGCTGGGCATGGTGATGCGCGCCTATATCCCAGCTACTTGGGAGGCTGAGGCAGGAGAACTGTTTGAACTCGGGAGGTGTAGATTGCAGTGAGCCGAGATCGCGCCATTGAACTCCAGCCTGGGCAACAAGAGTGAAACTTCGTCTCAAAAAAAAAAAGAAAGAAAAAAGAATGGCTAAAGTTAAAAAGGCTGGTCATGCCAAGTGTTGGCAATACTATAGAGGACAACCAACATACATGCACTGCTAATGGTAATGGAAATTAGTACAATGACTCTGGAAAAAGGCTTGTCAGTTTTTAAAATATTTTGACGTATGCACCTATCATATGACTGCCAATCAATTTGTAGGGAAATGAAAGTATATGTAAATAAAAAACTTGTACCAAAACATTCACAGCACTTTTTTATAGGAGAGAGGGGCTAATAGTGAAGAGCATGTAACAATCAAATATTCATTAACAGATAAATGAATAAGCAAGCTTTGATATATCCATATTTTGAAATACTACAAGCAATAAAAGAAATGAAACTTTCATCCATACTATAAAATAGATTAATCTCAATAAATATGCTAATTAATAGAAGCTAGATCAAAAGAGAACAAACAGTATGATATCATTTATATAAAAAGAGGCATTAGAGCCTAGTAGTTAGGAGTGCAGCTTCTGGAAGCAAAATCCTTAGTATGATGTTTTGGCTCATTGACTGCAGCATTTATTTTATGTGCGCTCTTAAGGTTTTTATAGAAACAATATGCCTCAGTTTACTCATCTATATAATGACTATATCGATAGTCATCTACTTTATAAAATATAGTATTTTATAATGTAATACTTTATAATATATATTTGATATATATTTTAAAATGTATTTATTATATTTTATAAAGTATAAATAATATAAAATAATATCTATAGTTGTTGACTTATAAAAATAAAGATTAAATGAACAAAAATATGTGAAGCACTAGTTTACTACCTAGAAAATGGTACATTCTAAATATCTTCATGATTGTAATAAATAAATGTATCCTTATATGTTATTTTATTAATAATAAACAAAAATTTATTTTTAGAATAATGAATATAATTATTTTTATTTTTAGAATAAATAATAATGAATAATAATATTATTATTCATACTTATACACCTTTGAAAAATCATAGGGTAAGATGATTGAAATTCTGTGTATAGCATCTCAGCAGATGAGATCTATAAGAAAGAACCATTGCACCCCCATTTACTTAAATCAGTTATAGCTTAAGTTGTTTGAAAAAAGTCATTTATTGGAATCACCACATGACATCAATCAAGAGCAAAGTGTGTAGAATACTGTCAAGTTTCTCCAAGAATTTATTTCTGTTTTCAATTTGCAACTCACTGAAGCATTGAACATTTTATGAGCTCTACAGCTAACAATGCCTGGGAATTTAAATATTTTCCATGGCATATGATTACTTCAAATGAAAAAAAAGAAGCAGATATGATAATGAATAATTTACCATGTATATATGGTACAAAGTAGAATCTTTAAAAATAAAGACACAAACAGCAACAACCACAAAAACCTCAATTGTTTCTGCTTTTGTTCTATTTTTAGTGAACTTAAAATTTTAAGAGAAACTCTTTCTCCTTGTTTTTAACACGTGTAGAGAGAGGTGTGGAATATTGTAAAGCTTTTTATCTGACTCGGCCTGAGTCTCAGTAGATGAAGACTCATCGAGTTTAGTAGGCCGAATAGTTTTTTCTAAAAGATATGTGATGCGTTAATCCTTGGAATCTTTGAATATAATGACACGTTAAACAGTGAATATTACCTTATATGGCAATGCTTGTGATTAAGTTAAGGACTTTAAGGGAAGGGGCTTATTCTGAAATATACTCACGGGTCTTTAATTCAATGACAAATGTTCTTCTTTTTTTTTTTTTTTTGAGATGGAGTCTTGTTCTTTCGCCCAGGCTGGTGGAGTGCAGTGGTGCAATCTCTGCTCACTGCAACCTCTGCCTCCCAGGTTCAAGCAACTCTCCTGCCTCAGCCTCCTGAGGAGTGGGATTACAAGCGCCTGCCATCATGCCCAGATAATTTTTATACTTTTATTAGAGGAAGGGTTTCACCATGTTAGCCAGGCTGGTCTCAAACTCCTGACCTCAAGTTATTCGCCCTCCTCGGCCTCCCAAATTGCTGGGATTACAGGCATGAGCCACTGTGCCTGGCCTGACAAATGTTCTTTTAAGAGTGAGTCAGAGGGAGACTTGACACACAGAAGAGGAGGCAATGTGACCAGGGAGCAGAGATTGGAGTGGTGCAGCCCCCAGAAGCTGGGGTAAAGGAATGCTCGCATGAGTAAAGGAATGCTGGCAGCCCCCAGAAGCTGGAAGATCCACAGAATGGATTCTCTCTAGGGACCTCAGAGCGAGTGTGGCCCCACTGTATTTAGGACTTCTAGCCTCTAGAACTGTTTTAGAATGCATTGCTGTTGTTGAAGTCATTTAGTTTGTGTCAATTTGTTGTGATAGCCTAGGGAACTAATATAATGAAGCATGGAGAGAGAGAGAGGATAAAAGGTGAAAACCATGTGCCAAAACTAAAGAGATGCTGACATTTGTGATTAAATAGAATAATTGCACTATTTAAGATTAATCACTTGAGCCTCGGAGGTGGAGGCTGTAGTGAGTCATCATGGTGCCACTGCATTCCAGCCTGCATGACAGAGAGAGACTCTGTCTTAGGGAAGAAAAAAAAAGATTAAGGTGGTCCAGAATGCACCCAAGCATAAAATGCAAAGATGATCTTGCCCCATGTATATTTTAGCATACTACTTAGGTACTATTTATTTTTTAATTATCTCCTTTTTACATTTTGACAATTTTACCCCAGTGGTCAAGCCTTGTATTAGAAAAGACAGAAAGAAGGAAAAGAAAGAAGGCAGGAAGGAAGGCAAGGGGAAAGAAGGGGAAGGAAAGGAAGTGGAAGGGAAGGGGAAGGGAAGGGGAAGAGAAGGGGAAGAGAAGGGGAGGAGAAGGGGAGGGGAAGGGGAGGGGAGGGGAAACATGTTGCTTTGGACAGAATAAATGGGTAAGGGTTTCTATTTTAATTAGATTAAGATTAATTAGATTAAACCTCTGAGGAAGTCTTACTTGAGCTGAGAAACTAAATATGAGAGGGAGGAGTACCACTGCATTGGTTATAGATGGGGTAGAAGTCTACAAAAGAGTTCATTGAGGAATAGAATAGTAAATAAGTGACTTAATAATGAGTTTGTTGCCGGGCGCAGTGGCTCAAGCGTGTAATCCCAGCACTTTGGGAGGCCGAGGCGGGCGGATCACGAGGTCAGGGGATCAAGACCATCCTGGCTAACACGGTGAAACCCCGTCTCTACTAAACAAAATACAAAAAATTAGCCGGGCATGGTGGCGGGAGCCTGCAGTCCCAGCTAGTCGGGAGGCTGAGGCAGGAGAATGGCGTGAACCCGGGAGGCGGAGGTTGAGTGAGCCAAGATCGCGCCACTACACTCCAGCCTGGGCGATAGAGCGAGACTCTGTCTCCAAAAAAAAAAAAAAAAAAAAAATAATAATAATAATAATGAGTTTGTATTGTTCTTATTTTGCAAAAGAATGCAAGATCTGGGTAGAGAAAAGGCAAGAGGGAGGACTTCCCAGATTGAATCAATAATATTAACAGTATCAATCTGCCACTAATAATTATTTAAGAAAAGTATTTTTCTGCTTTCAGTTTTATTTATTAAATAGTTTCTGCTAGCCTAATGTTAAAGTCTGCCAACTAGTTCCTTCAAGTTAATCACATTCACTTTTGATTCCCTCTTAACACATTAAGATATTTTATAACTCTGTGAGTTTAAAATCTGATGCAAATTCATTGTGGTCAGGCAAGATGCAAGACCAGTCAGGCAAATACACTTCCCTTATTTTTTATGGGTCTGAAATATCTTTTGTCTTGGGAGATGTATTATTATACAAAAGATCTATTTGGCAATTTATAGTTTGCTTTTTATCTATTCAATTGTTCCCTGGTATTCTTAGAACAGAAAAGCGAACCTTTTAAGAATAATAACATGCCAATTACCTTTAATTACTCTCTAGCTCTTTCAGTTAAACAAAAAAACCCTCTCATTTTAGGTTTAGTTTGTAACTGAATAGAACATTTTATATCTAAACCCTTAATGGAAAGGCTTTCCTATTTCCCACAATTTTCTTTTCTATTTAATGTATTCTCTAAATTTAACACATTATTTAAAATGCCATCCATATACCTGATCAACTTGAAAAGATGGAGAAACAAAGAAGTAAAGTTTGTTATCTTTTCACATTTTATTCTGTTTCCATTTTCATAATCAAATAAATGTAGACTGTAAAATACTTATTTACAAATCTGTCTGATTTATATAATAAACTCTGAGGAAACTGGAATGAAGTAGTGCTACAAGCAAGGGACAGAATAAAGTTTTGTGTATTAATTACCTGATTTATACTTTAGTCCCTTTAAGTAAAGGAACGTAACAAATAGAAGGATAGTTATTAATATATTTGGAGGAGAAAGAAAGATAAAATGAAAGATACAATGTTCTTAAAAACCGAGAGTTTTATCTTTTTTCAGAAGTCTAAAAAATATTTAAACATCTTCCTTTATGTTAGCGCATATTTATGTTATACATTTCATTTACAAGTAATTGTATGGTAAATAGTTACAAAAACAACAAGGAAAAGCTTTGAGTTAAGGAGCTCATGATTTTCAGTGTAAAATACATGTTATTTGAGTAATTTGGGAAACTGACAGAAGCTTTCTTGCAGTCAAGAATGCTGCTCAAAAATTAATTTTAAAATAAAAATAAAAGAAAAAAAATCCTGAAAGCTTATGTAGCAAAACAAGTATTGTAGTCCATTACAAAAATTAGCCTTTTCTGAAATCATGTTAAAAAGCAAAAAGATCTTAGAGCAGAATTTCATGTACAGTTCATTTTGGAACTGATCTTACTTCCTTGGTAGGTGGTCTTACTTCATCCTGTTGGAGCCCATCATGGAGAGCTGTTTTACAAATATTCTTAGCTCTACTACCCACATAAAAATTCAACCTATGACTCCTGTTTCTGATAAAGTAGCTATTTAAATTCATTAAGAATGTTTCATCATTTTAGTATGCAAAATGCATTGTTAGATTATGTAAGTGACACATGCTATCTTAAAAGTTAATAAATCTCCCAGAAGAAATTAGACTCAGATGCTATATTTATTATGGAGAATTAAGAAATACCTAAGGTTACTGTGATCATCACTTAGGAGTTTTGAATCAATTATATGAGAAACTAAAGAAGAAACTTTGACCGGAAAAAAAATGAACCAACAAGAAAAAAATTATATAAAGTCATTTTATTGGACACAAATGCTAAAAATTAGAAAAACCATACATTTTACTCTATCAATCTGTTAGGAAAAACTATAGAATATGATAGTGATTGCATTGATTCTGCTTAGCAAATTAAATGCAAAACTAAGATATTCACCAAATATAAAATATAGTTATTTTCTAAGAAATAAAACTCACACAACTGCCATTTTTAGCAGAATGGTGGCAACTGCCATTTTTAGCAGAAACCAAAACTATTTCCTGTTAACAAGAAGGAAAAACCATCAGTGAACACTCAAGTAATAATCAGGGGACTAGGATGAACTCTCAGTAAGAAACCACTGGAATATACCTGGACTAAATCTATTCTAACAAAATTAAGTATACCAACCGAATAGTTTTGTGTGTGCATTTGTTTTTACTATATACTTTTATAATCTCAAAAGTACCTAAAAGGAGGCAAAACAAGAAAGGATTTGTCTACAGAAAGTAAAAATAAGAATGATTATAAAATATTGTTAAAGAAAAGACACTGCACAGAATAGTCATGGAGATTTCTGTACTAATCACCTTGATCATAATGAATAATCACTGAATTTCACTGGCCTATTTTCCTCCACAAGATTCTATGTTAGGTAAGCAACTTTGGGTAATTCAATAATAGGAAAGATGTTTCTTTTATAACATATCTGATTTGTACAACTAATTGAAATACATTTTATGCTATAAAATAAAAATGGTAACTCTTATTTACACAGCTATTTATTGTGAATTTGTATAAAGACAGCTCATCCTTAGAACATAATAGACTAGGATTCTTGGTAAAGTATATATTGTATATCTGAAAAATGTAATAGTGACAATATTAAAGTGTTGCCACTTAGTGCTGTGTTACCTAAAGTGTGTGACGCTTTCTGTCAGTCTTATCACTGACATTTAAATTTCAGATATAGGTGAATTCAATATTGAAGTGAATAGAGCTACCGACATTTGCTTTCCTAATATTCATGGAAGTTGTTGTTGACCTCTCATAGATAAATAAGCAAATAATATCTTCAAAAATATATCTAACTTGACTCAAATACTTCTAAGTATTTTGTCATTTGAAGGGATATGAGCAAGTTGAGAAGAAGAAATGTGGAGAGAGAAATATTCATGAAAACTAAATTTATAACATTCAACTATTGCTCAATTCTTAGAAATTTAATCACTACTTATATTTTAAAGCAAAATATTTTTGAACTTATTTAGAAAAATATGACTTCATCTCTCATATGTCCATTCAAAGTTTTAAACAAAGTATAAAAGGAAATTAAACAGTGGAGGAAATGAGAAAGGTCATAGGCATTCAAGAGGTTTCAACAAATTTCTGGAGGAATGAAAGGTAATTGAAGGATGTGTTAAAATAATTTCTATTATTATCTTTATAGATTTAGTGTCCAGTAAACCTTTTATAAACAATCCAACTTGCTGTTTTGTGTTCTTGAACTTTATTTAAACTGAATTATATTGTACATATTCTTTTGTGACTTAATCATACCACTGCATATTATGTTTGTGAGAGTAAGCCACATTAACATATCTAAATAAAGTTATCTATTTTTTTTCTAAAGTGTAGTATTCCACTGTATGAATCTACCACATTCTACTGTTGTTTAACTTTTGCATTGCTTATAGTACTTAACTGAGCCTGTAAATATTTTGGATTACATTTCTTAATGGCCAACCATGTACATACAAAATAAGGAGTGAAAGCCAATTGCTGATTAGAATATATGGTCATCTTCAATATTACTGGGTAATACAAGCCTCTTTTTAAAACGGATATAATTTCCATTTCCAGGAAAGCATATGAAATTATTATTGCTCTATATGTTTGCCAGAAGTCTGTCTTGTCAGACCGTTTTTGGTCAATCTCTTGTATAAGTAATAATGTACATATAAAACATTTTCATTTGCATTTTTGTGTTAAAAATAAGTTAAAGTGATTCTAAATATGTATGGTGGACACTTACATTGTACATTTTATAAAGCACATGTGCAAGCCATTTTCTTTGTTTTACTGTCGGGTTTTCTGTAATTTTTGCCTGGCTTTACATTTAAATATTGATTGCCAAGGAATTGATTGTTAAATATTATATAAGGTAAAGAATCACTTTAATTATTTTCCATATGTATAGCCAGTTTTCTCACTCTCATTTATTGGCAAATTTATTTTTCACCACTGATCTATAATACTAGCTTTCTTACATATCATGGGTTCTTATATTTTCCTTACTGTAGTCTACCTATTCCATTTCATTGATTATTTATTACTTTGTTAATACCACATTGCATTAATTCTTATATTTCCTGTAATATATTTTTCCTTCCTCAATAAATTATTAACTGAATTTTAATATTTTTAGAGTTTACATAAATTCTAGAATTAGCTTGTCAATATCTAAATCAAACCTTACTGGGTTTTACTTTGGATGCACTAGTTACAAAGATTAATTTTGGGGAGAAGTGATTTCATTAAAGTCTTTCAATTCAAGAATATATTTATGTCAATGTTATGTCTATGTTTATTTGAACTTTATTTAAACTGAGTTATACTGTACATATTCTTTTGTGACTTAATCATGCCACTAAATATTATGTTTGTGAGAGTAAGCCACACTGACACATCTAAATAAAGTTCTCTACTTATTTGAAATGCATTTCAATATTGCATAATATATTTGTGTCAAAGCATCTTGCTAAAAGCTCATATTCATTAGTATAATGTATCTTAGAATCATTTTGAATTTTCTGTGTACTTAGTGTCATCGGTAACATAGTAATCTGTTTTCTCTTTCATAATTCTTATTTTTTTAATATTTACAATCCTATCCCAGTGTCTAAGACCTGCAAAAGGATAAATAAAATTGCTTGTACCATCTATGTTTATTTTGTTCCCAATCACAAAGGAAATATTTGAACATTCCATTGTTAAGTGTTATAATTTCAATAGAACTTTTGAAAACAAATGTTATCAGTTAAACTAGATTCTCTTTTAATTTCGGGTTGTTAAAATGTATGACTTTTTAAGAAAATAAAATTAAATATGCTTATAATATTGTTAAGTTATTTGTTGTGGTGTATCATATTAATTGATACCTTTACATGAGGCCATTATTGCTTCCCAGGGTTTCTTAGAATAAACATTGGCTGTGATGTCTTACATTTTAATGCATTGCTTATTTCTGCATGGAACTTTTTTAAGTTTTCCTTCAATATTTTCATAAATTACATTGGTGTTTAATTTACTTTCCCTTTACTATCCTTGTCAGGTTATAATATCAGAGTCATAATAGCATAATAAAATAAAATAGAGTATGTTCTTTCCTGTTTCATGCTCAGAAAGAATTGTATGTAAGATTGGAATTATTGTTTTGTTTCATGTTTGAAACAACTTGCCAGTAAAGTCATCATGGCTTGAAATTATCTTTATGATATGATTTCTGACTACTGATTACATGCATTTGTTGTAGCACAATTCAGATTTTTCTTTTCACTTTAGGTTACTTTTGGAAAAATGCATGTTTCAAGTAATTGTACACATTTTACATATATTTCCAAATTTATTGAATTAAACGTTTTCATACTACACTAATTTACCTTCTTGATATTTGTATTATTTATAACAAAACTCAATAAACTGTGGCAAATAAGCCAGACAGTATTTATAAATAAAGTATTACTGGAACACTGTCATGCTCATTCATTGACATACTGTCAATTTATGCCACAACAATAGAATTGATTAGTTGCAACAAACCATATAGCCCAAAAACCTAAAATAATTACCAACAGATCCTTTCCAAAAAACAAAAAAAATTCTTGACACCTGATGTATAATTATTTCCTATTTTGATTCCTGAGATGGCATACTTGTTTCTTCTCTTAATTTTATCAAGCCATTTCTCCAGAGTTTTGTTATTGTATGGCTCCTACAACAACTAACAAACTTTTGGCCATATTTCTTGACTTTTCTTTCCCTGTATTCTTAATCACTATGCATGTATTTATTATTTCCTTTTATTTCTGTTGATATTTCTAACTTCTACCAATAAATTCAAAACATTTTAAAAATTAATTTGTTGTCCTCATAAAATAAGAATTTAAGGTTCTACATTTTCCTCTAAAATGACACATTTTATAATGTAGTATACATTTTTTAATTAAAAATATTTTATAATTTCCATTATGATTTGCTCTTGGGTGTTGAGTTACTAAGAAGTATATTTCTGAGGTTTTTCTTCAATATGACTGACTATAGATATTTGACTCTAGTTATTCTCAGAAAGAGAAAGCAAAGTTATGGATAAATAATCGTTAATTCCAATATCTATATAGACGGAAGTGTGCTAGAGCACCACAAGAAGAAATTTGAACACAGAAAAATAAGGAAGCAAGAACCCAGCAGACATTATACTCTGAGGGACTTGATGTTCCATGGAAAAGCACAGGTGGGGGTGTCTTTTGCTCTTCTCACCTCTGCGGCAGACTGCTTGTTTCTGAACTGTTGGAGAGCCCTCCATTCTCACAAGCCCAAGCACTGGTGTGGGCCGCAATCTTGGAACAAATTGAGGACAGAGAACAAGGCTACTATTTCCTGCAGTGCCACTTGCCCTTCACCCAGCCCCAAGATGAGGTGGTGGGCACCATACTGGATATGCCTCTGTGGTGGACTTCTATACTGCCTTTGAGTGAGAGAGAGGCTTGCCCCATCCCCTTGCCGGCTTCCTTCTCCGTCCCTGCGTCGAGCTGTGGCTAGATTTCTCCATGAGGGCAGAGGGCAGGGCAAGAGGCGTGAGAAGCATCTTCTGGAAGGTCTGCGGGCACCCTCCTGCGGGTGGACAATGAGCGCCTGGGAGGCCGTTGTCCTTGGTTGGGGAGCGGTCGTCTGGATCTAGCCTAGCAAAGAGGCTGCTCCGGATGGGGAGGGAATGAAAACCCCTGCGGCTCCGACGCAGATGCCCACGTTGCCCAGGCCTTCACAGACCCCCAAGCCGGAACCGCCGGGAAAACGATTGCCAACCGGCCACAACACCCAGGCAGAGACGCGGGGAGAGGCTGACCAGAAGAAAGGCCGACGTGCAAGAAACCCAGCCTCCGGCGCACAGGGAACATGTGTCCCAAGGCGCACGCACACACAGACGGACAGAGACAGAAAGAGAGGGCGACGGAAAGAGCGAGAAGGGAGAGAGGGAGAGAGAGAGAGAGAGAGAGAGAGACTTAAGAGAGAGACGGTAGTGGGCACACAGACACGCGCGCGCGCGCACACACACACGCAGACACACAGACACACACACACCCCCATAACGGACACAGACATACAGCAGGTAACACCCACCCCCAGGCAGCCCCTGAAGCTGCCGGGTTCTAGTCTCCGCGACTACGAGCCACCGGTGAGACAGCAGCCCACGGGCACACAGGGAGACCTGTCCTTGACATCACAAGGGCGCCACTTTTGGGGAGACTCACCCGCACACCGTCCGCGCACGCCTGAGGCTGGGATCCCGCGCTGCCTCCCCGGCGATCTGTCTGAGGTTTCTTCCTCCTGGGGTTTCTTCCTGCTGGTGGACCCTCCGCGAATCCCGGCCTCCGGAGACCGTCCTGGTAACTGCCCTGGCCAGGGCTGGTCTCAGCCCCGACTCTGACGCACGATCACACAGGGCTCCTACTTCGCCAAGTCTCAGGGACCCATACCCGGGCAACGGTGGCGGTCACTGTGACCAAAGCGGCGGCTCGGGCCTCGCGCATGCGCACTGGCGAGGCCGACTCACCCGCCCCACCCCCCTTACTCGGCAGAGTCAGGCTGCGGACCCTTTAAAAAATGGCGGCGACGCGGCGGCTGCGGGGACTGGTGCGGCGGTGCTGGAGGTTGCGGCGGCGGCTGCGGCGCAGCCCCGGGCGGCGGGTGGGAAGAGGACTACCAGAGGGGCCTGCGGGAGACCCAGGGTCGGACCCATAGGAGTCCTGTCGTCAGGACCTCCTTGATCGGTCTTCTGCTTGGGTTCTCGGTGAAGGAGGAGCTTCGGGTGTTGGCTGGGCTGCGCGGACTCCTCTTGGGATCCGATGATGGATCCCACCCGGTGATCGGGAATGGGGTTACAATGCAGTGAGGCGGAAAGGCTCTCGCCGGGGCACAGAAAGATCCCCAGGGCCGCAAGGCGTGCTGTCGCCTGCAAAGGCACTGACCCACGAGCCCACTGCCTCCCTCCTTCCTGGGTGGAGCAGGGGCCTGCCTTCATCTCCAAGGCCCGGGGGCTCCGGCATCTCGACGCGGCTTCTGGAGACACGGGCAAAGAGAGACAGAGGCTAGTCCGAGCCGGAGCCAGTGTGACCACACGTGGCACTGACGTCCCCCAAGAGCACATGCAGTGAGCCTGTGTCTCTGAGGCCGTAGTGGGCGACGACGAGACGGACAGTGATGTCCAGGCCTGCGCCCGGGGGCCACTGGAGACCTGCCCCTCAAAGCGGAGGAAACGCCAAGCTCACCTGAAAACCTGCGAGACAGGGCCTGTGCACGAGTCCAGTACTCCTACTTCGCCAAGTCTCAGGGACCCATCCCCGAGCAACGGTGGCGGCGCAGAGAAGAGCACGGCGCCGGCGCAGGTGCAGAGAGACAGGAGGCTGATGGGGGGAAGTTGAGGCACCTGGGGCAGAGAAAAAAATGCATTGCCAAGAGGTTTCTGGGTCATCTACTGACGAAAATGTCTTCCCATCAGCCCTTGCGCTGGTCCCCAGGGACCCTGGCATCCGTCGTTGGCGCCCAGGGTGCGCGTCGGGCCACTAGGGGTACCCCAACTCGGACAGAAGGCCCATGAGTTGAATTTGAAGTTTGTGGGAATAGAGGTGAGGCACCAGGGGCAGAAAAAAAACAGGAGACCTCGCCTCAGACAAGCGGGGCCTGGGTCCCCCATGGATGAAAGTGCCTTCCCATTATGCTGTACCCTGGGCAGAGTGGACAGTGACGACCCTGGTTCGAGCCCAGGGTGCGCTTCGGGACCGCTTGCGGTTACCAGAAAGTGAACAAATGGTCCATGAGCGGAAGGTGAGGCACCTGAGGCAGAGAAAGTAAAGAAACGCGCCGCCGAGAAGCAGTGCCTGGGTCCCTCACGGAGGAAATTGTCTTCTCCTTAGCCCGTTCGCTTGGCAGTGAGGTCCCTGGCGTCCCTGGTTTGATCCCAGGGTACGCCTCGGGCCACTAGTGTTACCCCAAGGTGGGCAGAAAGCCCATAAGGGGAAGGCGAGGCACCTGGGGCAGAGAAAAAAAAAACTTCGCCGCAGAGAAGCGCGGCCTGATTCCCCACGGACGAAAGTGTCTTCCCATCAGTCCCTGCACTGGGACCCGGGGACCCTGGTGTCCCTGGTTCGAGCTCAGGGTGTGCCTCAGCCGCTACGTGCACCCCAAGGGGAGCTTTGGGAGCACAAAGCCCATGAGGGAAAGTGAGTTTTGAGGGAGGAGTGGTGAGGCACCTGTCACAGAAAAAGAAAAAAAAACAACCCGCGCCACAGAGAAGCAGGGCCTGGGTCCCCCACGATGAAAATGCCTTCCCATCAGCTCCTGCTCTGGGCCCTGTGGACCCTGGAGACCCTGGTTCAAGCCACGGGTGGGCCTCGAGCCCGCTAGGGGTACCCCCGTGCGCCTCTCTGCGCCTGCGCCGGCGCCCTGTGCCTTTGCGAGGGCGGAGCTGCCTTCTCCTCAGCACAGACCCGGAGAGCATTGCCAGGGCGGAGCTGAGTTCTCCTCTGCACAGACTTCGGAGATACAGCGAAGCGGAGCATGTTCTCCTCAGCACAGACCCGGGAGGGCGGGCCAGGGGCACCGCGAGGGCGGAGCTGCGTTCTGCTCAGCACACACCCGGGAGACACCGCGAAGGCAGAGCAGCGTTCTCAGCACAGACCTTGTGGGCACTGCCTCGCTTTGGGACTACTCGGAGCCGCATCAGTGGTGAATAAAATCCTTCCTGTTTGCAGCCCTTAATAATCAGGGTCAGAGACCAGTTAGAAGTGTTCAGTGTGGAAAACGGGAAACCAAAAGCCCCTCTGAATCCTACCCACCGAGGTTCTCCCCAGCCAAGGCGAGGCGGCCGCAGTGCGAGATCCACACCGCAGCCTCGGAAGACAAGCGGGCAGAAATCCCATGAGGGGCAGTTGAGGTTTGAGGAAGGCGAGGTGAGGCACCTGTGGCAGAAAAAAAAAAAAACCGCACCACGGAGAAGCAGAGCCTGGGTCCCCAACGGACAAAAGTGTCTTCCCATTAGCCCTTGCGCTGGGCCCAGGTGACCCTGGCATTCCTGGTTCGAGACCAGGGTGCGCTTCAGGCCGCTAGGGGTGCCCAAAAGCGGGCAGAAGGCCCATGAGGGGAAGGTGATGCACCTGGGGCAGAGAAAAAAAAAAAAAAAAAAAACCGCGCCGCCTATAAGCGGGGCCTGGCTCCCCCACAGAAGAAACTGTCCTCACATCAGCGCTTGCGCTGCGCCCCAGGGACCCTGGTATCCCTGGCTCGAGCCCAGCGTGCGCCTCGGCCTGCTAGGGGTACCCCAAGGCAGACAGAAGGCCCATGAGGGAAAGGTGAGACACCTGGGGCAGAGAAAAAAATAAAAAAACTGCGCCGCCCAGAAGTGGGGCCTGGGTCCCCCACAGACGAACGTCCCTACCCATCAGCCCTGAACTGGGCCCCGGAGACCCTAGCGTCCCTGGCTCGAAACCAGGGTGCGCTTCAGGCCCGCTAGTGGTACCTCAAGGTGGGCAGAAAGCCCATGAGGGGAAGGTGAGGCACCTGGGGAAAAGCGAAAAAAACAAAAACAAAAACGTCGCAGAGAAGCAGAGCCTGGGTCCCCGAGGAAGAAAGTGTCTTCGCATCAGCCCTTGCGCTGGGCCCCGGGGACCCTGGTGTCCCAGTTTCGAACCCAGGGTGTGCGTCTGGCCACTAGGGGTACCCCAAGTCGGACAGAAGGCCCATGAGGGGAAGGTGAGGTTTGAGGGAGGAGACGTGAGGCAACTGTGGCAGGAAAAAAAAAAAAAAAAAAAAACACGCCGCGGAGAAGCGGGGCCTGGGTCCCCAACGGACGAAAGTGCCTTCCCATCAGCCCCTGCGCTGGGCCCCATGGACACTGGCGACCCTGGTTAGAGCCCAGGGTGCGCCTCGTGCCCAATAAGGGTATCCCAAAGCGGGCAGAATGCTCATTAGGGGAAGGTGAGACACCTGGGGCAGAGAAAAAAAAAAACCGCGCCGCAAAGAAGCGGGACCTGGGTCCCCCACGGATGAAAGTGTCTTCCCATCAGCCCCTGCCCTGGGCCCCATGGACCCTGGCAACCCTGGTTCGAGCCCCAGGTGCGCTTCGCGCCCGCTAGGGTTACCCAGAAGCCGGCAGAAGGCCCATGAGAGGAAGGTAAGACACCTGGGGCAAAGGAAAAAAAAAACCGCGCTTGCAGAAAAGCGGGGCCTGGCTCCTCCACGGACGAAGGTGCCTTCCCATCAGCCCCTGCGCTGGGCCCTGGGGAACCTGGTGTCCCTGGCTGGAAACCAGGGTACACCTTGGACCCGCTAGGGGTACCCCAAGGAGAGCAGAAAGCCCATGAGGGGAAGGTGAGGCATCTGCGGCAGAGAAAGAAGAAAAACCGCGCAGCGGAGAAGCGGGGCCTGGGTCCCCCACTGACGAAAGTGTCTTTCCGTCAGCCCTTGAGCTGGGTCCCGAGGACGCTGACATCCCTGGTTCGAGCCCACGCTGCGCCTCAGGCTGCTACGAGTACCCCAAGGAGGAAAGAAGGCCCAAAAGTTTCAGCTGAGGTTTGAGGCAGGAGAGATGAGGCACCTGTGGCAGAAAAAAAAAAAAAAAAAAAAAAAAAAAAAAAAAACGCGCAGCGGAGAATTGGTGCCTGGGTCTCCCAGGGACGAAAGTGCCTTCCCATCAGCCACTGCGCTTGGCCCCATGGAACCTGGCCTCCATGGTTCGAGCCCAGGGTGCGCCTCGGGCCGCTAGGGGTACCCCAAAGTGTGCAGAAGGCCTATGAGGGGAAGGTGAGGCACCTGGGGCAGAGAAAAAAAAAAAACACCTCGCCGCGGAGAAGCGGGGACTGGGTCCCCCCACGGACGAAAGTGTCTTCCCATCAGCCCTTGCGCTGGGCCACAGGGACCCTGGCTTCCCTGGTTCGAGCCCACAGTGCACCTCGGGCCGCTAGGTGTACCCCAAGGCAGACAGAAGGCCCATGAGGGGAAGGTGAGGTTTGAGGGAGGAGCGGTGAGGCACCTGTGGCAGAAAAAAAAAACGCGCCACGGAGAAGCAGGGCATGGGTCCCCCACGGACGAAGGTGCCTTCCCATCAGGCCCTGCGCTGAGCCCCGTGGACCCTGGCGACCTTGACTCAAACCCACGGTGCGCCTCGGGCCGTTAGGGGTACCCCGAGGCAGGCAGAAAGCCCATGAGGGGAAGTTGAGGTTTGAGGGAGGAGAGGTGAGGCACCTGTGGCAGACAAAAAAAAAAAAAAAAAAAAAAAACCGCACCGCAGAGAAGCGGGGCCTGGGTCCGCCACGGACGAAAGTGTCTTCCCATCAGCCCTTGCGCTGCGCCCCGGGGACCCTGACGACCCTGATTCGAGCCGAGGGTGCGCCTCGGTCCACTAGGGGTACCCCAAAGCAGGCAGATGGCTCATGAGGGGAAGGTGAGGTACCTGGGGCAGCCAAAAGAAAAAAAAAACTGCGCCGCGGAGAAGCGGTGCCTGGGTCCCCCACGGACGAAAGTGTCTTCCTATCAGCCCTTGCACTGGGCCCCGGGAACCCTGGCGTCCCTGGTTCGACCCCATGGTTCGCCTCGGGCCGCTAGGGGTACCCCAAGGCGGGCAGAAGGCCTATGAGGCGAAGGGGAGGTTTGAGGGAAGGGAGGTGAGGCACCTATGGCAGAAAAAAAAAACGCGCCACGGAGAAGGGGGGCCTGGGTCCCCCACGGACGAAAGTGCTTTACCATTAGCCCCTGCGCTTGGCCCCGTGCACCCTGGCGACCCTGGTTCGAACCCAGTGTGCGCCTCGGGCCGCTAGCCGTACCCCAAAGTGGGCAGAAGCCCATGAGGGGAAGGTGAGGCACCTGGGGCAGAGAAAAAAGGAAAAAACCTCGCCACGGAGAAGGGAGGCCTGGGTTCCCCACGAAAGAAAGTGCCTTCCCATCAGACCCGGTGCTAGGCCCCAGGGACCCTGGCATCCCTGGTTCGAGCCCAGGGTGCGCCTCGGGCCGCTGGGGGTACCCCAAGGCGGACAGAAAGCCCATGAGGGGAAGGTGAGGCACCTGTGGCAGAAAAAAAAAAAACCGCGCCGCAGTGAAGCTGGGCCTGTGTCCCCCACTGACGAAAGTGCCTTCCCATCAGGCATTGCGCTGGACCTCGCGGACACTGGCGACCCTGGTTTGAGCCCAGGGTGCGCCTTGGGCCCGCTAGGGGTACCCAGAAGCGGGCAGAAGGCCCATGAGGGGTAGGTGAGGCACCTGAGGCAGAGAAAAAAAAAACTGTGCCGCGGAGAAGCGGGGCCTGGGTCCCCCACGGAAGAAAGTGTCTTCCCATCAGCCCCTGAGCTGGGCCCAGGGGACCCTGGCATCCCTGGTTCAAGACCAGGGTGCGCTTCGGGCCTCTTGGGGTACCCCATGGCGGGCAGAAAGCCTATGAGGGGAAGGTGAGGTTTGAGGGAGGAGAGGTATGGCACCTGTGGCATAAAAGAAAAAAAAAACCGCGCCACAGAGAAGCAGGGCCTGGGTCCCCCAAGGACGAAAGTGCCGTCTCATCCGCCCTTGTGCTGGGCCCCGGGGACCCTGTCGTCCCTGGCTCGAATCCAGGGTGCGCCTCTGGCCTGCTAGGGGTAACCCAAAGCGGGCAGAAGGCCCATGAGGGGAAGGTGAGTCACCTGGGGTAGAGAAAAAAAAAAAAAACACAGCGCTGCGGAGAAGCGGGGCCTGGGTCCCCCACGGGTGAAAGTGTCTTCCCATCAACCCTTGCGCTGGGCCCCGGGGACCCTGGCGACCCTTATTTGAGCCCAGCGTGTGCCTGGGGCCACTAGGGGTACCCCAAAGCGGGCAGAAGACCCATGAGGGGAAGGTGACCCACCTGGGGCAGAGGGAAAAAAAAACGCGCCACGGAGAAGCGGGGCCTGGGACCCCCACGGAAGAAAGTGTCTCCCCATCAGCCCTTGCGCTGTGCCCTGGGGACCCTGGCATCCCTGGTTCGAGCCCAGGGTGCGCCTCGGGCCGCCAGGGGTACCACAAGGTGGACAGAAGGCCCATGAGGGGAAGGTGAGGCACCTGGGGCAGAGAAAAAAAAAAACTGCGCCGCCGAGAAGTGAGGACTGGGTCCCCCACGGACGAAAGTGTATTCCCATGAACCCTTGCGCTGAGCCCCAGGGACCCTGGCACCCCTGGTTCGAGTCCAGTGTGTTCCTAGGGCGGCTAGGGGTACCGCAAGTCGGACAGAAGGCCCATGAGGGGAAGTGAGGTTTCAGGAAGTAGAGGTGAGGCACCTGTGGCAGGTGTCCATCTGTAAACTGTTTATCCATGTGAGCCCTGATGTCCACCAGGGGCTGGATGTCCCCCTGGGGCTAGATGTTCGCCTGGAGCCTGGTGCCCACCTGGGGCCTGATATCCACGAGAGGCTTAGTTATCCACCTATGGCCATCTGGAGCCAGAGGCCCACCTGAGGTCTGGTGTACACCTAAGGCCTGATCTCTACCTGGGGCTTGGGTGTTCATGTGGGGCCTGATGTCCACCTAAGACCATGTGTTCACCTGGAGCCTGGGTGACCATCTGGGTTATGATGTTCAGCTGGGGCCCAGAGTTCAGCTGGGGACTGGGTCAACCTTCTGCCTGATGCACACCTGGGGACTAGGTACCCACCTGGGCTCCAGTGTTCACTGGGGCCTGCTGTCTACCTGGGGCCTTGTATTTACCTAGGACCAGTGCATCCATCTGGGGTCTGAGTGCCCTCATGGAGCCTGGAGTTTTCCTGGGGACTGGGGTCTGCCTTAGGCTTAAGTGTACATCTGTGGCCTCGTGTCCACCTTGGGACAGATGTCCACCTGGGGACGGATATTCAGTAGGGGCCTGAGTGTCCACCTGGTTTTTGATGTCTACCTGGGGCCTGGTGTTCATCTGAGGTGTGATATCCACCTGGGGCCTGGACATTTGCCTGGAACCTGATGTACAGCTGGTGCCTGAAGTTCATCTATGCCTGGTGTCTCCTTGGGGCCAGGTAGTCAACACAGGGCCTGAAGACCTTCTAGAGTTCAGTGTTCACCTGGGGTCCGAAGTCCACCTAGGGCTTGGGTGTCCAAATAGGGCCTGGTGTCAGCTTGAGATTTGTGTATTTACCTAGGGCCTGGTTGTCCACTTGGGGCTTGATTTTTTACTTGGTTTTTGTGTTAATCTGGGGTCTAGTGTCCACCTGGGGCCTGGGTATCCACCTAGGGACTATTGTTCAGCTGGAGACTAATGACTACCTATGGCCTGGTAATCACCTAAGGCTTTGTTTCACTTAGGTACTTGGTGCCAAACTGTTGCCTGCTGTTCACCTGGGGTATGGTGTCCACCTGGGGTCTGGATGTCAGCCTGGGGCTTGTTGTATACATGTATCTTAGATATCCAGATAAGGGTCTGTTTTCTGCTTAGGTGCAGCAGTCCATCTGGTGCTTGAGTGTCAACCTAAGGCCTGATGTCTATGTTGGACCTAGGGTTCACCTGAGGCCTGATATCCACCTGGGGCCTCAATGTCCAAACGGGGCCTGATGCCCATCTGGGCCCTGGGTGTCCACCTGCAGCATGGATGTCCACTGGTACTTTATATCCACCAGGGGCCTAATGTCCACCTAAGACCTGGTGTTCACCTGGGGTCTGATGTTCAGCTGAAGACCGGATGTCCACCTGGAGCCGAGGAATCCACTCAGGGACTGGTGTTGAACTGGGGCCTGATGACCACCCGGGGACAAGGTACACACCAGGCTTGTTGTCCACCTGTCACCAGATGTCCACCTGAGTCCTGATGTCCATCTTGATCCTGTTTGTCCACATTAGGCCTGGTGTCCAGCTGGGGCCTAGGTACCCACTGGGGGCTTCCTGTTAACCTGGGGACTGGTGTCATTCTGGGGCCTAATGACCACCTGGGTTGTATTATTCACCTGGGGCCTGGTGTCCACTTGGGGCTTGAGTGTAACCTTGGACCTGGCACCCACATAGGATTGGGTATCAAACTGGCCCCTTGGTGTCCAGTTAAGACATCATGTGAACCTGGCGCCTGAGTGTCCACTTGGGGCCAAATGACTACTGGGGGCCTGAATGTCAACCTAGAATCTGAGGTTTACTAGGGGCCTAGGTATCCACCTGGGGCCTATTGTCCACCTGAGCCTGGGTGTCAACCTGGGGCCTGATGTAAACCTCTAGTTCAGTGTCCACCTTGGGCTTGATGTCAACCTGGAGCCTGATGTCCACCTGAGTACTGATGTTCACCTTTGACCTGATGTCCACCTGTGGACTGTTTATCCACCCATGGCCTGATGTTCACCTGGGGCTGAATGTCCAACTGTGACTTGTTGTGCACCTGGAACCTAGGCATCCACCTGCAGCCTGATGTTCAGCTGGGCTGGGACCCGGAGTTCACCTGAGGCATGATGTCCACCTGAAGCTTGATGTTCACCTGGGGGCTGGGTGTCCACTTGGGGCCCAATATCCACCTGGACTAGGTACCCACCTGGGATCTGGTATTCACTCAAGATTGGTGTTCAGCTGTGGCCTAATGACCACCTGGGTCACGGTGTCTACCTTGGACTGGGTGCTCACCTGGAGCCAGTGTTCACTGGGGGCCTAGTGTGCACCTGAGACTGGGGTATGCACCTGGGGCCTGGTGTCTACCTGGTGCCTAGGTATCCACTTGGGGCCTAATGTTCATCGGGAATCTGATATCCACCTGGGGCCTTGTAATTACCTGGGTTCTGGGCATCCACCTAGGGCTTGAGTATCCTCCTGGGGCCTTGAGTTTTACTAGGGACTCGTGTCTGCCTTGGACCTGAGTGTATATCTGTTGCCTAATGTACACCTTGAGAGTGATGTCAACCTGGGGACAGATGTCCTCTTGGGGTCTGAGTGTGCACCTGGTGCCTGACGTCTGCCTAGGGACTTGTGTTCACCTGACACCTGATATCCACCTGGGGCCTGGGTGTCCACGAGGGGCTGATGTTCAGCTGGAGACTGGATATCCACCTGGGGCTTGGGGATCCATCCAGAAACTGATGTCAAACTGGGGCCTGATGTCTACCTGCGGACTAGGTATCCATGTGAGGCTTGATGTTCATCCATGGCCAGACGTCCATCTGATGCTTGATGTCCACCTTACTCCTGGGTGTCTACTGGAGACCTCATGTCCAACTAGAGCTTAGGAACCTACTGGGGGCCTCGTGTAAACCTGGGGACTGGTATGAAGCTGGGTCCTAATGATCCCCTGGGTCATATTATTCACCTAGGGCCTCATGTCCACTTGGGGCTTCAGTGTCAACCTTAGGTCTTGTGTTCATCTTTGACCTGGTGTACACCTGGGACACCTACGGACTTGGTGTCCAGTTGAGGTGTCATGACCACCTGGGGACTGAATGTCAATCTGGGGTCTGATGTAAACCTCTAGTTCAGTATCCACCTGGGCCTGGTCTTCGCCTGGGGCCTGCGGTCTACCTGGGCCTTGCTGTCAACCTAGGGCCTGATGTAAACCTCTAGTTCAGTATCCACCTGGGGCCAGATGTCTTCCTAGAGACTTATATTCACTTTTGACCTGATGTCCACCTGGGGACTTGCTATCCATCCATGGTCTGATATTCACCTGGAGACAGATGTTCAACTGTGGCCAGAAGTGCTCCTGGGGTCTGGGCTTCCACCTGGAGCCTGATGTTTAGCTGGGGCTAGAGTTCACATGGAGAATGATGTCCACCTGAAGTTTGATGTTTACCTGGGGCCTGATACCTACCTGGTGCCCAAGTATTCTCATGTGCCTAACATCCACTAGTTGGCCTGGTGTTCATCTGAGGGCTTGGTGTCAACCAGTGGCTTTATGTACACCTGGATTCTAGTGTCCTCCTGGGGCCTTATGCCTACCAGGAGTCTGGTGTACCCCTGGGGTCTAGTATCCACCTGGAGTCTGGGCGTCCACCTGGAGCCTAATGTTGAGGTTAGACTGAGTGTCAGCCTGAGGCCTGATGTCTACTAGGGCATAGGTATTCACCTGGGGCTTGTTGTTTACCTGGGGACTAATGTCAACCTTGAGCCTAGGTATCCACCTGGGGAATAGTGTCCAGTTGCAGCCAGATGTCCACCTATGGCCTGAAGCATGGTTGTTATCCTAAGGCCTTGTATTAGTCCATTTTCACAGTTATAAAAAACTACCTGATATTAGGCAACTTATGAGGAAAAGAGGTTTAACTGACCCACAGTTCTTCAGGCTTAATAGGGAGCATGACTGGGCGGGCTCAGGACACTTACAATCATGATGTAAAGCCAAGAGGAAGTAAGCCCTTTTTACCATGTGGGAGGAGGAGGGAGACAGAATGGGGATGTGCTACACACTTTCAAATAACCAGGTCTTGTAAGAACTCTATCACGAGAACACCAAGTGGGAAGTCTGCCCCCATGATTCAATCACCATTCACCAGGCCCATTCTTCAACCCGTGGGGATTACAATTCAACATGAGATTTGGGTGGAGACATAGAGCCAATATCAGGCCTGATGCCCGCCTGGAGTCATGTCTACCTGAGGCCTTATGTAGACATGAGGCCTGGGCATTCACCTAGGACCTCATGTTAAGATAGGGGCTGGAGTTCTTTTGGTGCCTAGTGTATACCTGGGGCCCAGATGTATAACTAGAGCCTGATGTTTCAGATGGAAACCTGGGCCCCAGGTGCTCATCAGATCCCAGGTGAAAACTCAGGCTTCAGGTGCACATCAGACTCCAAGTGGACACATAGGCCCTAGGTTGATACCAAGATTTCAGGTAGACTCTGGGTCCCAGAAAAACACCCTGCCCTAGGTGGACAGCTGAACCTGAGTAGACATCAGGCCCCAGATCGACATCTGGCCCCAGGTAGATTCCTTGGCCCAAGGTGAATACTCAGTCTCCAGCCCTAGGGGAATTCAGTCTTAGGTGATTAAGGACTGGCGTTCCTCTGGGGCCTCATGTCTACCTGGGCCCTGGGAGTGCACATGGAGCCAGATGTCTATAAAGGGCCTGAGTGTCCACTAGGGCCTGAGGTTCACCAGGAGCATAGACATCCACCTAGGGCCTCATGTCCACCTAAAACCTGGTGTTCACCTGGGGCCTGGGTGACAACCTGGGATCTGATGTTCACCTGAGGCCCAGAGTTCAGCTGGTGCCTATGTCAGCCTGGCACCTGATGCACACAAGAGGACTAGGTGCCCACCTGAGGACTGGTGTTCATGGGGAACTGGTGTTCAGCTGTGGCTTGATGAGCAACTGGGTCCTGGTGTCCTCCTGGCAACTGATGTCCACCTGGGACTGCATGCTTACCTAGGGCCTGGTGTTCCCCTGGGGCCTGGTGTGCCCCTGAGATCTGGGGTCCACCTGGGCCTAGTATCCACTTGGGGCCTCATATCCATCTGGAATATCATGTCCACTTGGGGCCTTGTAGTTACCTAGGGACTGGGTGTCCTTCTGGCACTTGAGTGTCCTCCTGGGGCCTGGGGTTCTCCTGGGGCCTGGGTGTACATCTCTGGCCTGATGTCCACCTTGGGTGGATGTCCACCTGGGGACAGATGTTCACTTGTGGCTTGAGTGTCCATCTCGTGTCTAATGTCTACCTGGGGCCTGGTGTTTGCCTGAGGCCTTATATCCACCTGGGGCCTGGGCATCCATTTGAGGCCTGATGTCTACCTAAGACCCGGTGTTTAACTGGGGCACAGATTTCTTCCTGGAGCCCGACGTTCATCTGGAGCCTGAAGTTCACCTGTGCCTGTTGTCTACCTGAGGCCTATGTGTCAACCTAGGGCCTGATGACCGCCCTGAGTTCAGTGTTCACCTGGGGCCTGACATCTGCCTGGAGTCTGGGTGTCCACATAGGGCCTGATGTTGGCTTGGGACCAAAGTATTTACCTAGGGCCTGGGTGTCTACTTACAGCCTGACTTCTACATGGTTCATTGTGTCAACCTGGGGCCTGATGTCCACTTAGGGCCTAGGTAAGCTCCTTATGACTAAAGTCCACATGGGGGCTGAAACCATCTCAGACCTTGAACCTAGGGTTTAGTGTCGACCTGAGACCTGGTGACCCCCTGGGGTCAAGGTATCCACCTTGGGCCTGATGACCAACTGGGGTTTAAGGATCTACCTAGAGACTGGTGTCAACCTGGAACCTGATGTCCACTTGGGGTCTGGTGTACACCTTGGGCCTGATGCCCACCTTGGCACAGGTGTACACTTTGGGCCTAGTGTGCACCTGAAGCCTGGCTGTCAACCTGGGTCTTGATGCACACCTTTAGTCAAGTGTTAAACTGGGGCCTGATGAAATACTGGAGCCTGATTTACACCTGTGTACTGGGTCTCCACCTGGGGCCTGATGTCCACCTGCAGCCAGATATCCACCTGGCACCAGATGTCTTTGAGGAATCTGGGTGTCCACCTTGAAAATGATGTATTCCAAGAGACTAGGCATGCACATTGGGCCTGGGGTGCACCTGGGGCCTGATGTCTACCTGAGGCTGGTATTGAACTGGGGCCTGTGTGTTCACTTGGAGCCTGATGTTCATTTGGAACCTGGTGTTCACCTAGGACGTGGGTATCCACCTGGATCCTGATTTTCAAGTGGGGAGTGGATATAGACCTGGGAACTGATGGCCACCTATGCTATAAGTAACCCAACCACCTGGGGCCTGGTGTTCACCTGTGGCCTGATATCCACCTGGTACCTGTGTGTCAATCTAGAGCCTGGTGTCCACTTGAGGACTAGGCAGACACCTGGGGCTTGGTGTTCACCAGGGGCCTGGTGTTCAACTTGCAACCAGTGTCCACCTGGACCCTGTGTATCAACCTGTGGCCTAGGTGGCCACTTGGAGCTTTATGTGCACCTGGGGCCTGAGAGGTTCCTAGGATCTGATGACCACTGGGGCCCAGGTATCCACCTGGGATATCAGGCTTCAAGTGTACACCCAGGCTCCATGTGGACACCAGGCCAGGAGAACGCCAGCCCTTATCTGAACATCAGGTCCTGGATGGACTCCCAGGCTCCATGTGTACATCAGGCCCCAGGTATACACGGGACTCCAGGTGGACACCAGCACTCAATTGGATACACACCCTGAAGGTGGATACCAGGCCCCACGTGAATTCCTACACTCCAGGTGAACATCAGGTCCCAAGTGGATACCTGGACCCCAGGTGGATACCAGTCTCTAAATTAATACCAGGCCTCAGATGGTCCTTAGGAGCCATGTGGGCATTAGTCATCAGGAAGTTACCTAGGCCCAAAGTGGACATCAGGCCCCATGTTGACACAAGATCTAGTTGGAAGTCAGGCCCCAGGTGGACACCCAGGCCCTAGGTAAATACTTAGGTCCCAAGTTGACAGCAGGCCCTATATGAACACTCAGAACTCAGGTGGACATCAGGCCTCAGGTGGACATCTGAGTTCATCTGGAACCTCATGTTACAGGCCCCATGTAAACACCAGGCCTTAGATGGATACCCAATCTCTAGGTAGACATCAGAGCTCAGATTGACACAAAGACTCCAGTAGACATAATGTACCAATGAATATCCAGGCGCCCGGTAAATACCCAGGCCCCAGATTGACACCACGGTCTATGTGGACACAGAGGCCCTGGGTAGTAAACAGGCCCAAGGTGGACACTGGACTGGACATCAGATCCTAGGTTGACAACCATGCTCCAAGTTGACACCAGGCCCCAAGCGAACATCTGGCCCCAGCTGGACACTAGTCCCCTGGTGAATACCTAGTCTCAAGGTTGACATCAGACCCTATGTGAACACTAGACCCCAGATAAACACTTATGCCCTAAGTGGACATCAGGCCTCAGGTGGTTACCCAGTCCCAAGGTGAACATCAGGACCCCGATGGCACCAGTTATCAAGTGGATTCCTAGGCCCCAGGTGAATATCAAGCCCTAGGTGGATACTGAGCCCCAGGTGGATACCTGGATCCTGGTAGACATCAGGTCCCAAGAGGACACTAGAACCCAGGAGTACATTAGGCCACAGGTTAACACGAAGGCCCCAGATGAATACCAGGCCAACTTGTGGACATCAGGCCTGAGAAGGGTCCAGGTGGATATCAGGCCCCAGGTGAACATCCAGCACTCAGATGAACATTAAGCTTCAGGTAGGCATCATGCCTCAGGTGAACTCCAGGCCCCAGCTGAACATCAGGCCCCAGGTGGATGCCCAGAATCCGGGTGCACATCTGGCCACAGTTGGACATTCAACCCCAGGTGACCATCAGGCCATGGGTGAATACACGGTTTCCAGGTAGACATCAGATCAAAGGGGAACATCAGTCCCCCAGTGGACATCAGGCCCAAGGTGGACACTCAACTAGAGGTTTACATCAGGCCACATGTTGACACCTAGTCCCAGGTGGACATCAGGCCCCAGCTAGATACCTAGTCTTCCAGTGAATTTCAGACACCAGGTTGACATTCAGGCCCCCAGTGGTCATCTGGCCTCATGCGAACACTCAGACCCCAGGTGCAAATGATGTCTCAACTGGATACCAAACCCCTTGTTTGATAACCAAGGCCCAGGTGGACACCATGTCCAAGGCTGACACTCAAGCCCTAAGTGAATACCAAACTCTAGGTGAATAATTCAACCCAGGTGGTCATTAGGACCCAGCTGGATACCAGTCCCCAGGTTAACACAAGGCCCCCAGTGGGCACCTAGGCACCAGCTGGACATCAGGCCCTATGTAAATACCCGGGTCTCAGGTGAACACCATGCCCCAGGTGGACATCAGGCACTAGGTGAACACGGGGCCACAGGTGGACATCTAGCCCCTGGGCAACATCCAGCCCCAGGCGGAGATAACCATTTCCATGGATAAACCATTCCCAGGTGGATATCAGGCCTCAAGAGGATGGCAGTCACCAGGTAGACATCAGGCCTCAGATAGACACCAAGGTCCCAGATGTACAGCAGGCCCCAACTGAACCCCAGACTCATGTGGACATCAGGCCACAGGTAGACACCAAGCCTTAGGTAGATACCTAACTTCAGGTAGTCATCAGACCCAAGGTGGACACCCAGTCCCCAGGTGGACAGTCAGGCCCCAGGCACACATCAGGCCTTAAGTGGACACCCAGGCCCCAGGTTGATATCCAGTTCCCAGGCGATCACCAAGCCCCAGGTAGACACCAGGCCGTAGGTGAGCAACAGGATGCAGTAGGTCATCAGGCCACAGCTGGATACCAGTCCCCGGTGATCACAAGGCCCCAGTGGGACATAGATCTAAGGCAGACATCAGGCCCCAGGTGGACATACAGGTCTGAGGTGGAATTCACCCTGAGGGGGACATTCGGCCCCAGGTACGCATCAGGCCTCAGCTGAATAACCAGTCCCCAGGTGGACATTAACCCACAGGTCAACCACAGTCCCCAGGTTGATACCTGGTCCCCAGGTGGCTACTCAATCTGCAGGGTAACATTAGTCCCCTGTAGGATCCCAGGCCCCAAGTGGATTCCTAGGCCCCTGGTGAACATCAGGTGCAGGTGTCCAAGTAGGCCCTGGGTGGACATAACTGTGTACAGGTAAGGAGTTGACCTGTGGGGAGGATGAGCAGTCAGCAGCCCACTGGGGTCCTGAGTAGGTCTTCTGGAAGGAGGAGGCTGAGGGGATGGAACCTTAAAGAAGCAACCTCACTTCTTTGGCAACAGACCCTAACAGAACTTAGAATTCTGGTAACCAGGCCAGGCACGGTGGCTCACACCTGTAATCCCAGCACTTTGGGAGGCTGAGGCAGGAGGATCATGAAATCAGGAGATCGAGACCAGCCTGAACAACATGGTAAAACCACATGTCTACTAAAAATACAAAAAGCAAACAAGGTCAGGAGATCGAGACCATCCTGGCTAACACAGTGAAACCCCGTCTCTACTAAAAATGCAAAAATTAGCCGGGGGTAGTGGTGGGCGCCTATAGTCCCAGCTACTCGGGAGGCTGAGGCAGGAGAAAGGCATGAACCCAGGACACGGAGCTTGCAGTGAGCCCAGATCACGCCACTGCACTCCATCCAGCCTGGGTGACAGAGCGAGACTCTGTCTCAAAACAAACAAACAAACAAAAAACAAACACAAAAAAACTAGCCAGGTGTTGTGGTGCGTGTCTCGTGCCTGTAATCCCAGCTACTCAGGAGACTGAGGCAGGAGAATTGATTGAACCCAATAGGCGGAAGTTGCAGTGAGCCGAGATCATGCCACTGCACTCCACCCTGGCCAACAGAATGAGACAATGTCTCAAAAAAAAAAAAAAAAAAAAGAATCCCGATAACCAGGCACCCACATCCTAGAGTTAGCCCCATAGCCAGCTCACTTGGTGGGAAATGCTCAAGAGAGCAAGATGTTCTTGTGCTGCATCCCCATATCTCAAGTCTCCTGCTTCAGGAATGGCAGGAGTGAGAGCCTTTCTTTTCCAACGATGCCCTTGTAGGCTCATCCCTCACCCCAGATGTCTCTGGCCATTTGACAGAAGGCCCCCCCAGGTACCACAGGACAGGAGTCACCAGGTAGACATCAGGCCCCAGATGGAGCTACCAGGCCAGGCCTCACCAGTGATCCCACCAGGGCCACATCTGCACATTGTCCTTGTCCAGCTGGAGCCTCTGGAGCTCATTGAGACACAGGCACATGGTGAGGTCACCTGCAGTCTGGAAGTCTTTCCAGGGACAATGTTTTCAGGCTGAAATTCCTTTAAATTCAGTGAGGTTGTTTTCATGTTTGGAAATTCCAGTGGAAAGTGAGTGATATTGGTGACCTCTCTCCTTTTTCAGCTCCTGCTTCAGGTGCAGAAACACAGCTATTTCCAGTGCCAGCTGTTGAGCCAGTGCCAGCACCAGGGGCAGAGCCCCTTCCAGGGACAGCGCTGGAGCTAGAGGAAGCTCCAGAGCCCTCCTGCCGCTGCCCTGGGACTGCACAGGACCAGCCCAGTGAGAAGCTGCCTGACTCCATGGCACCTCCTGTAGAGCCACCGGCCTCAGCCCTGGAGCTGAAAGTGTGGCTGGAGCTAGAGGTGGCAGAGAGGGGGTGACCAGCACAGCTCCAGCCAGCAGCTCCCACACTGCTCCCAGTCCTGGGCACAGTGGAAGCTATGGAGGCAGAGACCAGGGTGTGCAACCTGGGCTCCTCTGCCTCACTGGAGAGGGACTTCTCTCATTCAGCAGAGCAGCAGCCCTGCTGCTGAAGGCCCTGCTGCTACTGCTGCTGGGGGTGTTTGCCTGCCTGCAGGAGGTGCTGGAGAGCAAGAAAAGGAGCCTGTGAGCAGGGGTTCCAGCAGGTCCTCCGGCTCCCAGAGGTGACCTCCTCCTCCAGGAATGGAGGTTTGCCCTCAGCTGGGCATCTGGGCCATTTGCCTCTAATGTGCTGCCCAGGATGGCCTCTTCTTGACAGGTGGACAGGGGTTGAGGGGGCCAGGGGGCATCTCCAAAGGAAGCTCTTAAACTCAGCAGCAGCACTCCAGAATCTCCATGCCTGCACCTGCCCAAGGATTTATTCATAGCTTAACTAAGAATTTCAAATTTCTACCATAACACTGAAATAAAGTTTGACTTTTTGAAACTTCTATGACTTCTTTCACTCCCTAATATTGTAGATGGTGTTTTTGAGGTGACGTTGAAAACCTCTGATAGTTGTGTGTTTTGTTGTGGTTCTTTGGGTGACTAAATTACCATCTGATCAAGTGATATTGAAAACCCTTCAGGTACGGCTTTTAGAAGACTTTGACCTATTTTTGCTTGTGTTGACTCTCCCTCCAGCTTTGTGGAAAGAGGGATCATGTAGGTTCATTTCTCAGGCAGATCAGTCACCTTTTGCCATCAAAGTTTTAGCATCCATTTCGAAAATTTGGTGTACAAGTTGATATTTTGGTGTTTTTAGCTAATCTGGGGTCAAAACAGAATGCCATAGATGAGGAAGCTTATAAACAAATTTGTTTCTCTCAGTTCTGGAGATGGCAAAATTCAAGGTCAAGTGGTTAGCAGATTCTGTGTCTGGTGTGGGCTTGCTTTGTGGTTCATAGCCATGTTTCTACCATGTCCTCACATGACAGAAGAGATGAGGGAGCTCTCTATGGTGCCTTCAATAGGGGCTACTAATCCCACTCATGTGGTCCCTGCCTTCATGATCTAATCATTCCCCAAGGCCCTACCTCCAAATATCATCACATAGGGAATTAGATTTCAACACTTGAATTTGAGAGGGACAATAACATTTGGTCTATAGCATCAGGTTACCCAGAGCCTTATGCATTCGGAGGAAATCCAAAATCTTCTATAAGTATTTGCTGGTCCCCTCTGGGCTTAGGGAAATCTTTAATTGCAGCTCTTGATTCAGCTTGGTCCAAGCCGAAATTCTACGTTTGCCTGAGTAACTTGTTCATGGGACAGAGGCAACTGACCATTTGGAGTTTTAGGAAATTGATGGAAGAGGGCTTGGCATCTGGATGAGAAGTGGAGGGAGAATAGAACAAAGGCACAGGAGAGAGCACAATGAGAAAGGGGAAGAGGGACATCTGGACATAAGGGCCAACTGGAGGGCAGGGAAGGTAATTTTCCTTGCATTTTAAACTCAGACCACATATCACATCAGAATCACCTGAGGGAGACGTTTTCAATGCATATTCCTGGGTTTCTTCTCTTGGAAATTTTTATTAAATCTTGAGTTGTGCTGATTTATCCATATTTATCATAAGAATTTTGGATAATTCTTACTTTGAGAGGCCCAGGCAGTGGATCACTTGAGGTCAGGAATTCAAAACCAGCCTGGCCAACATGGTGAAACCTCATCTCTACTAAAAATACAAAAATTAGCCAGGCATGGTGGTACATGCCTGTAGTCCCAGCTACTTGGGAGGCTGAGGCAGGAGAATCACTTGAATCAGGGAGGCAGAGATGACAGTGAGCTGAGATCACACCACTGCACTCCAGCCTGGGCAACAGTAAGACTCCATCTCAAAAAAAAAAAAAAAAAAAAAAAAAGAATTGTGGATAATTCTGATGCAATTAGAAAACAAAGCAGAGCTTGACAACCACTGGGTTGGGACGTATATCAGGAAGACATTTGATTATGTAAAATAACTGCAAAACAAACTGAAGGGGAATTATTTTAAAATGCTTGAATATAATTATATAATTCAACTCTTCTTATGTATGTAGTTTGACCACATATTTGATGTCTGCTATACTAAGATTGGAAATGTGTAGAAGTTTTTTTAAAAAATCAGGTAGAAGCACAGAAAAAAGGAGTTGGAGAGAAAAGAAAACTAGCTATTGTCTGGTAACAAGAGAAGAGAGGGGAAACGAAGTAGCATATTTTTGTTCATTGATGGCATCTAAATTATGATCCCAAATATTTTTTTCCTAAGAAATCCAATAATACAAGTATTCAGAGTGGAGTACCAACACTGATTTACTGGGAAAGAGAAGTGTACTCTGTTTTGCTACACAATGTTGAGGGAGAAGGAAAGGAAAATTATTTGAGTAAACAAGTAAGAGACTGGTCCTCAGGGAAGCTGTCTGCCTGAAAAATCACAACTACTGCACCTACAGATAAGCCCTGAACAGATAAGCATGCAGGGTCCAGCACAGATGCCTTCTGTTCTTTGTGTATTTGGCAAGCTCCCAGGTAAAATTTTCCTCCCTTTTTCAGGCATATACATGGCGGTCTCTGTGGGAACTTGCGCAGGGAGGAGGGGGGCTTACCTAAAACAAACCCACAGTTATAGAAACAAGAGAAGCCCACTTTGTGCTTGACTAGAGACATACCCACAGCTGGATATATAAAGGGAATTGTGCCGACAGTTTTATATATAGCTGAGAGGAGTTTCTTATAAAAGCTTTTTGATTCAACTGTAAAAACGGCAATCCACTTGGACGCCCTTGTCTGCTGCAGAGAGCTTCCTCCTTTTGCTTGTTAAACTTTCACTCCCACCTCACCTGTGTGTCCCCGTCCCTTAATCATCTTGGTGGTGAGATGAAGAACACCAGATGATACCTCACAAGAGAGACTGCTACGTTGTGGTGCATTGGCGAGACTGCAACTTTAAGAAGTGTGACTTTTATTGCTGCTGAATTATTTTATCTCCTACCCAATTGAAAATAAAGGATATAAAGTGCTTAGGTTGAACACAAAGTCCTCTGCTCTAGGTAACATCTTCAGCAGCCACATTAGCAGAGGCATGGGTGGTAATGGTGGAGTAGATGTCTCTTTGCTTCTGACAGGGTGTCTGCTTATGTGTTAAACAAAATAGTATGGTATATATTTCATTAAGAAATCTGCTAAAAAATGAAGTAAAACAGGTTCATGTTCTTAAGAGGCACAGGATTTGCTACGGCAGCAAGACCAAAAGGCTTAAGTAACAAAAATGTGCATAGTAGTTACAAACATTTTCATCTAAACAAAACAATGTGAGCATCTGCATATGACAATAACTTATGCAAAAAATATTTTTAACTGAGATTGAAATCATTTTATACATAACAAATGTTATCACTGTATTCTCAGGTAATATATTGTTTGTATATAGATGTGATAAATAATAACTTATTTAAGTTATTCATCATTTATACAACAAATAATTCTTTGGAATCTACAAAATGCTGGTTTTGTTCTAGGCACTGAATGTACAAATTGATTTAAAATATGTGTTCTTAGAGTGTGGTAGATTAAAAAATACAAAATAGGCCGGGCACAGTGGCTCACACCTGTAATCCCAGCACTTTGGGAGTCCAAGATAGGTGGATCACCTGAGGTCAGGAGTTCGAGACCAGCCTGACCAACATGGTGAAACCCCATCTCTACTAAAAATACAAAATTAGCCGAGGGTGGTGGCACAAGCCTGTAGTCCCAGCTACTCGGGAGGCAGAGGCAGGACAATCGCTTGAACCCGGGAGGTGGAGGTGGCAGTGAGCCGAGATTGCACCATTGCACTCCAGCCTGGGCAACAAGAGCAAAACTCTGCCTAATACATATACATATATTATGCATAGATACATATATACATATGTGTGTGTATATATATACATATGTGTGTATATATAACATATATACATATGTGTGTATATATATAATATATATACATATGTGTGTATATATAACATATACATATGTGTGTATATACATATATACGTAATATATAATATATGCATATGTATTATATACATATATACATAATATATAATATAGGCATATGTATTATATACATATATACATAATATATAATATATGCATGTGTATAATATACATATATATCTGTCTAATATATATACATATATACATATATTAAATATATATACATATATACATATATTAAATATATATACATATATACATATATTAAATATATATACACATATATGTTAGAAGTTGTACTGCTGAAAACAAGAGCTACCAATAAAAAAATTTCAGGAAACCTAGTGTGATTATTTTTAATAGAAATGGATATTTTAATACAGGTCTCTTGCTTTTTCTTGTGGAAATAAATGACAAGATGGAATTTCTGGGTGTTTGGTATCTGAATATTTAAGTATAGCAGGTATGGTCAGTTTTTCAAAGGCATTTTACCATCTTACTTGTCCATCGGTAACTCATAAGATATGTGGAACAACGTCCTCTCCAACAACCTCTAGTATCAGTCTTTGTAAAGTTTGTCAATTAAATGGGTGTTTTTTTGTTTTTGTTTTTCTTTTTGAGACCGTCTCACCCTGTCACCCAGGCTGTAGTGCTGCTGCGTGATCTTAGCTCACTGCAGTCTTTGCCTTCCAGGTTCAAGTGATTCTCCTGCCTTGGCCTCTCAAGTAGCTGGGACTACAGGTGCCCCCCACCACACCCAGCTAATTTTTATATGTTTAGTAAAGACAGGGTTTCACCATATTGGCCAAGCTGTTCTCAATCCTGACCTCAGATGGTCCACCTGTTTCAGCCTCCTAAAGCTCTGGGATTACAGTCATGAGCCACCGCACTTGGCTGGGTTTTCTCTCTCTCTCTCTCTCTCTCTCTCTCTCTCTCTCTCTACTTTAAGTTCTGGGATAAATGTGCAGAACATGCAGTTTTGTTACACAGGTATACATGTGTCATGGTGGTTTGCTGCAACATGGGTGTAGGTTTTGCAGGTAATTATTATATTATTAAAAGATAACAGAATACCTAGCTAAAAAAAAATGCGAGGAGGCATTGATGGGCACATGTTTAGTGAGCACATCCTGACTCCAGAATTAAAAATCCAATTTATGCCTCTGCAGTCCAATAAAATTTTTCCTTAAGAATCCAGGGATCAGACTTTCATCTCAGCAACCACTCCAATATGGTTTCTCACCTACTCATTCCAACGAGCTGCTCATATCAAAATATAAGTGCTATCCATATTGTTAAATTATAAATTGAACCATAACTTCTCAGCCTTCATCTTAATTTATATATCAGCAGCATTTCACACAGTCTATCTCCACCTTCTCTTTGTAAAACTTTTTTATAGAATTCCAGAACACTTAACTTACTTTCCCCCCACCACGTTTTTGAAAATTACCCCTAGTCCTTTTTTGCAGGTTTCATCTTTACTATTTTTCAAATGTTAGAGGACCATTAGGCTCAGGACTTTCACTTCTTATCTTTCTTATCTTTGCTTTCTTACTAATTTTTGTGTCATTAATTTCCTGATATTTCATATTACACCTAAACACTGGACACTACACCCAACACTCCCTGACTTATCCACGTGGATATCAGTTAGGAATCTCAAAATTAATATGTCTGTATGGAGCCACTGAAACTCCCCAAATTTGCTCTTCCCCATTCTGTTTAATGGCAACTCCCATTTTATAGTTTCTCAGCTCAATATTCTTGGTGTCCCCTTTTAATTCTGTCTCTATATCTCTGTCACTCTCTTCCTGTATCTGTCTGATTCTCTCCCCCTCTCTCCTCTCTCTTGCTCACTCTCACTCTTGCTCTCTCTCCCTGCTTCACACACACACAAATACGCACAGACAGACAGACACACACACACACACACACACACATTTTCAGATCTGATGTGTATGGAATTCCTGCCAGCTTTACCTTTAAAGTGTAGTAATTCCAAATGTTGTTGAAAATTCACCTTCCCACCCCCACCACTTGGTAACTATAGCACTTCCCTCACAAGGCCAAGTGCAGAGATTTCTTGGGGAAATAATGAGAACTATTATACATTCTTATTTCAAGGACCCTTAAAATTATAAGATTGCCATATTTGATACTAATTTAAGCTTCTGTCATTGCCCTTTTTTCAATCCAGTCTCCACACAGCTACCACAGTGTGCAAGTAGAAGTCTCAGCCATATCACCACACTCCTGCTTTAATGTCCCTACTCCATTGCTTCTTTTCTCCTTCAGAAGAGTTTAAGCTTAATGAAGCTGGGCAACTTTACATATTTTTCCACGAGCTGGAGATCACTTGGTGTAAGGTAAAAATGATCAGTAAATATTTTCAAATAACAGAATCCATGAATAATAGTTTTGTTTCTTTGAGAGCACATTGACTTTTAAAAATCAAGAAAATAGATTGGTCAAGAGAATTCTGCTTGTTTTGATTTTGTTATCCCTCGATTAGATTAACTGTGTTAGTATAAATGTCAGTGTGGAAAGCTATAAGCATTTCCTAAACTTTAAAATGAAAGGCATGGAATTTAAATATCTGCTCCCTTTATTCAAGCAACCAAAAAACACAACTTTTTAAATATATTTTATGTATGTATGAAATCTAAATTTATTTTTCTCTCTTTATCCCTGAATACTTTTTAAAGTTATTCATGTCCTCATTATTTTTTAATCCACTTCAGTCACATTTTAAAATATATTTTCAACTTCATTAAGAATATCTTTGTGTTCCACTGAATAGCTTGCCAAATAATAAAACATTAGCAGTATAATTTCCTCATAAACTTTATTTAATTTGCTTGGTTAAACATAGGTTTCCTACTCTCAACTCATAATTTCATTCAAGTATAATATATTCTACTTGACATTTGCAGGGTTTACATACCATGCATTTGTCATTGAAATTGGTTTTTGATATTTGAACCACTAGTTTATAATTGTATTGTTGGTTAGACTGGTCTGTAGAATCTTTCTTCGTTTTGATTCTGTGGTTTATTCATTATGGAGTAGCTGTGCTATCGTAAATTTTGAGATCAAAAGCTTAAAACATTTTATGTATTTTCAAACAAAGTGGATGGCATTTAAATATCTATTCCTTAAAATTTGGAAGAAAGGTTAACACCATATAAACCCAGAGCCTGTTTTTTAGATTAGTAGCATGTAGACATTTTCAATTTCTTCTAAAGTTGAAAAAAATAAACATTTTATATTCATAGAATGCTTGATGAAGGTAAATATTTAATTTTCACTTAAAAGAAATTTGGTTACATTGAAAGGAAATTTGGCTAATGTAAGTTAGATACATTTCTAATTAAAACAATAATTTAAGATAAATAATGCTCAAAGAACAGTGGTCACTGCATTTATTCCAGAGAGAGGACATTTATCCTGATCTGACTGTAATAACGTAGTAGGTAGAACTGCTGGCGTCGACACCCAAGCAAGGAAGGGAAGCTGGTGTCTCAAGGGGTCCCGCTGAGATGGAAAGGGTTCAGGGCCCAGACTGTTGATGTCACCTGGACCCAACCACCATGTCTCAGAAGAAGAAATGACACTCCCCTCCTGGTGCCACCCCAAACAAGGAGCTTAGCAGTGTTGCACACAAGATAGTCCTTGCAGGAGACATGTTTGACAAGTTGCTGAGGTGCCTGATGGGGCCAGGCTTTTTTTCATGAAATGAGTTTGCATCGTGAGGAAGCCTTTTTATTGGAAACCTGGCAGGGGTCCAATTTCCCCTTTGCCTTAACCCCGTAGGAGCACAGTAGACAGGGAGGAGGTCACCCAGGTGGCTGTTCCTGCTTGGCCCCCACTTCCCAGACCATTCCAGGCAGGGAGAGCCGCTGAGATCACTCCATGGGCTGCTCACATGTGGTCTGGACCTAGCCGCCCTCCTGTGCCTGGCAGGCAGCCTCTGGGCCATCAGAGGACCCACTGTGTGGTGATCAGTGGCCCACCACCTGCCCTTGTGGTGGGTGCAGTTCACAGGTGCTGCCCCAGTCCTGGCACACTGGCCTTCCCAGCCTGGCCCAGGATAGGGGATGTGAATGATCCTTGCCTGTGCCCCTTCAGACCATGTGAGGTTGGACACTCACTGCAGAAGTCCCTCCAGGTCCCTTTTCAACTGAGTTGTGGGGGACTTGCTTAGTCCTCATGCCCAGGGTCAGGGGAGGGGTGCAGAGTCTGCACCCTAAATCCCCTAGGGCCTGAGGGAGGTCTCCCAGGTGACCTCTGTCCTCTCCAGTGACATGAGTCCTCCCAGATGGCCTCAGCCCTCTCAGGTGACATGCTTCCATGGTGACTCTGGCTCTTGCAGGAGGTGGGCTACTACAGGGACATGAGCTGCCTAACTGCCATCCTCCTCCTGTATCTGCCAGAGGAAGACAACTTCTGGGCACTGGATCAGCGGATGGCTGAGGAGAGGCACTCCCTGCAGGGTAGGTGGACAGCTACCCCCAGGGCCTCACACAGCTGGGCCATGGGACGGCCACCCTGGCTGGGCGATCCTGACTTCCAGGCAAGGCAGCTTCCTTGCTTTCCAGCTTGTTAGGAGCCTTCAGGACATCCCTGCTGGGGGTCCCAGAGGGGCCCATAGCTGAACAGGGACCCTTTCACTTCAAGGCGGACACCTTTCATTCCCAACAGCAGAGGGCGCTGCAGCCTCCCCCTGGCCACCCTGTGTGTCCCAGAGCCACAGCCCTCTAGCCCTGAGTTCATGCAGGTGACTCTCACTTCCCCAAGAGTCCTCCTACCTCCCAGCTGGCCACACTCCCAGCTGCCCCCCTAGCCCACAGATGGGCCAATGAAGTCAAGATGGCAGTGTCTGCCCATCCCATGTCCCCTAGCCAGACCCCATGTCCAGGAGATGGCCATGTAGTCCTTCAGCACCCACCCGGTTCCCTCCACTAGCCACTGCCTGCCCCAGCCCTGCCTCACAGCCTCAAAGGCAGGCCTGCCCTCCTGGCACCTTTACCCAGGATGCTGCTGTGCAGTGCCTCCAGCTAGGGCCCATCTCCCTAGAGCTGAGACCACATGGTAGGGTCACCTGATGGAAGGGAGGAAGGCCTCAGGGTCTGGGGTCCCCTGCCACTGCCCAGCTCTTCCAGCTGATGGCTCCACATCTTGGGAGTGGGCTCTGATGCATGATGGGTCAGGGGCTTCTCAGGTTTCTACAGCCCAAATACTGCCCAGCTCCGGAGGCTCCTATCCCACCAGGAGTAGGTATAACACAAATCCTTCCCAAAGATCATGCGGTACCTGCTGAGTGGATGACACCCTCAACTCTTTCCCAGAGGCCCAGGGTCCCATGGGGCAGGGAAACAGAGGAAGATGGAGCTCCTCAAGGGCCTGACAAGGAGCTGAGTCCCAGCCAGGGCCTCACCCAAGATGAGGATTCTCCATGGGTTTGGAGTTGGGTTTCCTTTTCCTGCCCTGGAGGAGGAGGCAGAGGTACTAGGATGGGGGCTGAGCTCCAGCTGAGCAGGGTTAAGGGAAGTGTGTCCACCAGGCATCTGTGCATGGGGGAGTTGTTGGGAAAGCACTGGCCACTGCCCAGTGTTCTGCCCCAGGGCAGCTCAGGGGGCCCTGAGCACCTAGGGTCCAGGAAGTGCCGTGCATTGAGGTTTGTTGAGTTGGCTCCTCTGGTGTTTTGCTGATGGGGTAAGGAGGCAAATGGAGACCCCAGGCCAGGGACTCTCCTGTCCCACAAGTGCCCAGCTCCCCCAGGAGGACCTGGCTCACCCCAAGCCAGCAGGAAGCACAGGAAAGTTTCTGCATGGCACAGAAGCCAGGCCCTCCTCAAGAGGGGGCATCACACTGCAGGTGTCAGGACTCAGGCCCGCTGCTATTTCCACATTATTAATTTTATAAGGTGATATGGTTTGGCTGCGTTGCCACCCAAATCTCATCTTGAACTGTAATTTCCATAATCCTCATGTGTCCTGGGAGGGACCCAGTGAGAGGTAACTGAATCATGGCGGCAGTTTCCCCATGCTGTTCTCATGATAGTAAGTGAGTTCTCATGTGATCTGATGGTTTTATAAGCAGCTGGCATTTCCCTTGCTTGAGGTGATGAATGCCCCATTTACCCTGATGTGATTATTACACATTGCATGCCTGTGTCAAACTATCTCATGTACCCCATAAATATATACACCTACCATGTACTCATATAAATTAAAAATAAAAATAAATTTTTTAAAAAAGTGTGAGTTTTAAAGGTGAGGTTTGCCCTCCAGCGCTGGTGCCTGCCAGGTGTGACCTTCACATCATCTTTCCACATGGTCCAGGTCCCCATCTGCAGAGGCCAACAGTTCCCAGAGTGACCTTCCTCAGAAAACAGGGTCTTGGAGGAGACAGTCAGAGGAGGGGGCCTCGTCCTCCCCACTGCACAGCCCCTTGTGGGGATTGGAAGTGAGGGTCTCTGCCCACAAGTTGGCAGTCACCCTAAGCTGTTTTGTGGGAGGAAGCATAGGGAATATAGGTCAGTGCTGGAACAGCATTTCCTGATCCTGACTTGGAGAAGGTGTTAAAATCTTGACATTCCCGACTCCTCCTTTGTGAGAGCCCCTGTCCTGCAGGTCTCACAGGATTGTGAGGGCCACCTGTGGTGATGGGTTTGGAAGTGCTTTGTGAATGACACAGTGGGCCTTCCTATTCCTGTCATTGGCCTTTCGACCTTCAATACTAATTGCCTGGGGATCTCCAGGCCTCAAGGTCTAATCCTGGAAGGGTATGAGATGTCCCTAGTGGAATATTCTACACCTCCTGGGAGGTCTCTCACTTCAACCTTCACCTGACATAACCCCTGCTCCTGTTCCTTCAACCTGGAGAGCTTGCCCAGGAGCACAGGGTAGTACTGGACTGACCTCTTTGGAAAGGGTGATTACATCCTCATTTCAGCTCTCCCTCCTCCTAGCTTTCCACGTAGAAATCCAGGGCTCCATGCAGCATTTGCTGGACATGAGGGGAAAACTTTTAGGGCAGGGATCTGCCCTGGGTGGGGACAGAGGAGTATCCTGGAGTCTGAGTGTCAGGAGTGTGAGACCTGCCCAGCTGGCCAGCCCCTGTCCCCATGCTGCTCGATGCATGATGTTTCCTGCACAAGCTTCCTTTAGAGGGAAGCTTCCGGAGTGACTGCAGTGAGGTCCATGCTGTTGGGGGTGACAGAGCAGCCCTGGAGGCCCTCTGCTCTTACCCTGGCAGGAGGTGGCCAAAAAGAAGCAGGCAGAGGAAGCTTCTCCAACACGCTTGGAAAGAAATTTCCACATATCACTCACGTCACTCTTGCCACTAGAAGGAAAATTTCTACAGTGGAGTGGAAGAAAATGACTATGCTGTGGGAGAGAATGGATGCATCCAGAAGAGCAAGGCGGGAGGGAAATGTGCCCATTGCCAGAATTTTGTGTCTTTTGAAGACATTTGCCAGAATTCTACTTTTGAAGGCTGCCCCTTTTGACATTCAGTTACTGAGGAAGCTGTGGGACATTTTCAAAGCCTTTATATTAAAAAAAAAACACACAATATACTGCTGTGGGTCTGTGTTCAGGGACTATGAAGAGCACAGCTGCCACTGTTCTGTGTCGCAGATGCTGTGGGAAGTGCCTTAACACACAGAGGTTTGCTTCATGCAACCAGGTGAGGAACATCTCTAAAACATTTTACAGTCAAGAAAATTCAGTGTTCAGGAGGTTGAATGCGTTATCCAAGATCACACATATGTCCTGACAGATTTGGGGTTCAATGAAGAATTATGTATTTTAATTAAGACTTATGTATTTTAATTAATAATTATATATTTTAATTTCACATTTTAAATTTCTGCAGTTTTCTTCCATCACTTTTCACCATGCTTTCTACACTTGGAATTACTTTTTTTGGCTTCTTGATCTTCTTTACTTGTATGTTATTGATTTTCTACAAGTTTTAACATATATGATTAAAGAGTATTTCTTAATGTTTTAATAATTATCCTAGAATAAAATATATTTACTTTGATGTATGCATTGGATATTACAGTGTATTGTGTACATTTTCAAACACTTTGTGTTATACCAGAAGCATTATTCAACAGTGATCATTTTTTTACCTGAACTATGTTCAGAAAATCTTTCCACCACAGTACAAAAAGATCGACTTCATTTTGTTAACAGATGGATGTGCCATAGTGCAATTAACTGTTTAATTATCCTGTTATCCTGTTGTGGATATTTAAGTTCAAACAGTGCAGTAATAAATATGCAAGAGTGCTTTTAGACATTAAACAATATGGCTCTAAATTAAGGACCTAGTGCCTGTAATCCCAGCACTTTGGGAGGTCGAGGTGGGTGGATCACCTGAGGTCAGAAGTTTTGAGACCAGCCTGGCCAACATGGCAAAACCCCGTTTCTACAAAAAATACAAAAATTAGCTGGGTATGGTGATGCGCACTTGTAGCCCCAGCTACTCGGGAGGCTGAGGTAGGACAATTGCCTGAACCCACGAGGCAGAGGTTGCAGTGAGCTGAGATCCTGTCACTGCACTCCAGTCTGCGGGACAGAGTGAGACTCTGTCCCAATAATAAATAAATAAATAAATAATCTAGAAGTACAATTGCTTAGCCAAATTTCTTATGCATTTTGAATGATAAGAGTTGCTGCCTCATTTCTGTTACAAAGGCTATGGTAATTTACACTCAAAACACAGAATAGGTTGGTTGTTGTCACATATGGAGTCTTACTGTTGCCGAGACTGGAGTGCAGTGGTGTAATCCTAGCTCATTGTAGCCTCCAACGCCTAGGCTCAAGCAATCCTCTTACCTCAGCCTCCCTCCCAATTAACTAGGATTACAGGTGCATGCCACCACACCCGGCTAATTTTATTCTTAGTTATGGGATCTTGCTATGTTGCCCAGGCTGGTCTTGAAATCCTGGCCTCAAGGTGACCTCAGCCTCCAGTGTAGCTGACATTACAGGCGTGAGACACTGTACCTGGCTGAATGAGTGCCTCTATCCTGACACTTGTGTCCCCACGGGATCCTGCAGAATTCAGGACCCTGTCCACACAGGGGAAAACTCTCTGTTGGGGTCCTGATGACTGAGGAGGGAGCTTACCCATGGCTCTCCTGGTCATTTTTATTTAATAGTGAGCACAGAACCTCACATTTTCTGGAATGTTCCCATATGATTTTGTGAGAGAAAAGAGAATAGAGACCCCAACCCCAAGCTCACTGTGTCAAAGGGAAAATTAAGCTTGGGAACTGAGTTACGCAATACTGCCTTCCTTGTTCTCAAACACATAGCTATAACTTCACAACCCTGTGTCATAGCCTCATCCATAAGCCAGGTTCACACAGTGACAGAAGGCCGCATGTCTCCTCAGATGTCCTCCCTCACAATTTGCTGTGAACCCCTAAATCTTTCAGAATGTACATCCCACCTTAAACTATCCCTAAAAGTGAGTCGGCTCAATTTCACCCTGACAATCTCAATTACCAGCTTATTTTCATAGTTCTGGGACAAGGTCAGGACCAGAAATCATCCCTCTGCCTATCCTGAGATGAATGAATCGTTGAGTTTTCCTCTACTCCACTCCCTATATTCACATGCTTACTTTATCTTATGTAAAATGGAGATTTACTGAATGTGAGAAGAACGCATAACTGTTTCCTCTGCTCCCTCCTTTCCTATGTAAAATGTAGATATCCTGATGCTAATCAGAGCCACACAAGAATGCAAGCATTTGCTTCACTGCCTACCTTCAGTCTCACGGGAGTTCTCTGGATTTCTTGTATCAGCATGTGGACCTCTTTAGCAAGATTGAGGACAGTTTCCTGAATTATATCCTCAAAAATGTTTTCCAAGTTGCTCACTTTCTCTTCTTCTCTGTTAGAAAAGCCAGTAAGTCAGCCGGGCACAGTGGCTCATGCCAGTAATCCCAGCACTTTGGGAGGCCAAGGTGGGAGGATCACCCGAGGCCAGAAGTTTGAGATCTAACTGGCCAGCATGGCGAAACCCCATCTTTACTAAAAATACAAAAATTAGCGAGGCATGCTGGCACACGCCTGTAATCTCAGATACTTGGGAGGCTGAGGCACGAGAATTGCTTGAACCCAGGAGGTGGAGGTTTCAGTGAGCCAAGATCATGCCACTGCACTACAGACTGGGTAACAGAGTGAGATTCTGTCTCAAAAAAAAAAAAAAAAATTCCAATAAGTCATAGATTTTGTTCCTTTACCTAATCCTATATTTCTCAAAAGTTTGGTTCATTATTTTTAAATTCTTTTTTTATTTTTGTCTGACTGGGTTGATTCAAAGGTCTGGTCTTTGAGCTCTTAAATTATTTCTTCTATTTGGTCTAGTCTGTTGCTAAGGCTGTGAACTGTTTTTTGAAATTCCTATAGTAAATTTTTCAATGCAAGAAGCTCTGCTTGGTTCTTTCTCAATATGGCTATGTTGTCATTCAAATCCAGGATCGTTGTTATGGGGTTGTTGCTGGATTTCAACTTTCTGTTGGCTTTTGGTGATTTTTTTTGCCACTTATATCTTGAATACTATACCTGTCATTTCAGACGTTGCATTCTGGTTAGGACTCATTGCTAGATTGCTGGTGTAATCCTTTGGAGGTGATGGAACATTCTGGCTTTTTGTATTGCCAGAGTTCTTGTGATGGTTTCTTCTCATCTGAGAGACTTGACGCTTCCTTTGTTGAATTTGCTATCATTTGGAAGGAGTTTTTTTTTAATTTTTCATTCTTTCTTTCTCTTAAGGGTATGACTGTGGTGTATGTTGTATAGGATCATTTTGCTTCATTTCTGGGTACTTTCAGAGGACCAAGGCTCTGTACAAGTTCCTTGGTTGCAGATAGGCTCCTGTGGTGGCTTGGTGTGGTGATGTATTTTTGTTTGGTGGTGTAATTCAGGCTTCAGTCCAGTAGACAGTGCTTAAGAGTAACAGCTGGCTGCAGGGTCTTCTCCTCTGTGTACTTGTCCTCGACAGGTGCAGAAGTGACAAAGTGCCAAAAGCGCCCTGTCCCAGTGTGTACTAGTCTTCAGCAGGGGCAGAGCTGCTGGAGAAACCTAAGAAGCAGCCTCTTTCAGCCCACGTTCCTTGGGTCCCAACAGGATGACCACTGCTGGATCTGCAGCAGTGCACTAGGAAGGGGACAGAGGGCAAGAGATAACCACCTCTCTAAATCTGTTCCCAGGCTTTGGTGTGCCCCTTTCAGCAGCTGATATCGTGATCGTGTTTCCTTTGATCCAAGGGGTGGCTTTGGCAAGCTGTATTCCTCCTTCCCTTAGGGCTGGTCCTCACCAAAGTTTAGGTCTCCTGGGGAATGGGGTTCACCTCCCTCTTGTTTCTTGGAACTGATGGAGTACTCTCTCAACTGACCAAGGGAGCAGGCTGAGACACCCAGCAATGACACACACAGACCAGTTCCAGGTTGCAAAGCTGTTCTTGGCTGCAAGTCTCACCATCCTTGAGAAACCTCTGCTTTAGCAACTCTCTTCCCACTACAGTCCTGCAAGAGGAAAGAGCCTAATTCCAACACTTACTGCTGGGGCACTTTCCACACTCAACACTCAATTCTGGCTGTTGAGGCTGCTCCCCTGCTCCAGAGCAAGCACTCCAATTCCTAGCCCAAGATTAAAGTGTCTGCAGTGGCCACCATTGCCAGGCACCAAAAAATGATTGACTTTGTATGAGCCCAGATTAAAAAGGGCATCCTTCTCTCAGTCCCAGGTCTAGGTAAATGCCTGCAGCTTTTCTGAGTGTCTTTCCTCTTTCCCCATCTCTCAGCCACTTTTGTGCTAGCTCCAAGGCTTGGGAGAAACAGAGTGTTCTCCCTTAATCTGGATTGCACAAATCCCCAGTGAAAAGGTGAGTTGCAGAGGGAGACTGGCTGCTCTTCTCTCATACTGGAGTTTCACTCCCTTTTATGAACCAAATGCTATCACAGAGTCTGCTTTCCCACCTCCCCATCCACAGGATCTGGAGTGTTCTTCTCTATTCCTGTGAATTCCTATTTTTCTTCTTGAATTGAAGTCACAAAGTTTATCTTTATGCTTATTTTTCTACTTCCAAGTGGCTGAGGCACATTGAAAGCCCCTAATCCATCATTCTAGGAAAAAAGGATGGTTTAAATAAAGGAATGTTCATATAAAATATATATTAATTAGTGCAAACATATTTTATTTGACATGAGTTAGGTGAATCTTTGATACATTAATTAATTTTAAAATTGTTAAATAAAATTAGAAATATCTTCGAATTTGCCAAGGTATGTTTCTCTCCTGGGATTACTGGTCAGTTTTATTTTTTCCTTGGATAGACATTTTAAGCCATAAATCTTGACATAGACCTGATGTAGACCTCCATACCTTTCCCAGATGTGGGACAGAGCAACTGGGACAGGTCCATCCTAGCACTAAGGGATGATTAAACCTAACTTGTAGTCGTTGTACAACTATAAACATGGTTGATGCTTTAAGAGAAAGATCTTGATGGAAAGGGTTAAATGTGAAAATTGATCATATGAATTGGGTCATTCTTATCACACCAAATAAAACCATCAACGAGCCAGGGGGAGGAGGCATTCAGGGCAAAAACACCACTCCAAAAGCGTAATTCTCTGCATGCCTGGCTGCTGAAATTACCTGCTTTAAGCTGAAACCAGTTTTATCAAATGGCTACTGAAACAACCTCTTGAACACTAAGACTAGCTTTACCCACCACTGTCCCTCACCTATCAGAGCCTGCCAGCTCTCAAAAACTTTACTGGTGCCAGTGAACTTTCTCAAAGAGAAATACATACCGTTTTTCTCTCTGTCTCCCTTTTTTATAAAACCTCTAACTTTCTCTTTATGTTTTGTACATACTAAAGACACCCATTCTGCATGTATGTGTGAAGTTGTAATACTTGTATCTCAAATAAAACATTTTAATTTCAGATGTTTGTCTATATTTATTTGACTTTGACAATCTGATATTATTTAGCATTATTTCCAGTCTCCCAAATAATGTCAAAATTTTGTTATGTTAGATAGGAATATCTTGTTATTCAACTTGAAGGTAAACTGCTTGATCAATGCATGTAATTCCTTGACAGATTGTCAGCACCTCTAAGACAACATGTAGATATTGCTCATTATTAACTCATTTCATCTTTTCATGATAAATTACAAAAATTTAATTTTCATTTTTAAAATGCAAACCATTATGCCTTGTATTATGGCATTCTTGCATTACTATAAAGGAATACCTAAGCACTACATAATTTATACTGAAAAAAAAGATTGACTTGGCTCACAGTTCTGCAGGCTGTACAGGAAGCTTTGCATTGGCAGTTGCTTGGCTTCAAGAAGGGTCCTCAGGGAGCTTTTACACATGGCAGAAGGTGAAGCAAAAGAAGGTATGTCACATGGCCAGAGCAGGAGCAAGCAGGGAGAGGTGCCACACACTTTTAAACAGCCAGATGTAATGAGAACTCACTCACTCTTGCAAGGACAGTGCCAAGAGGATGGTGTTAAACATGAGAAATCAGCCCTCATGACCGCATCACCTCCCACCAGACCCCAACTCCAACACTGGGAATTACAATTCGACATGAGACTTAAAGGGTACAACATCCAAACTATTTCATTCCATCCCTGGCCCTTCAAATCTCGTGTTCTTCTCACATTGCAAAATACAATCATCCCTTCTCAATAGTCCCCCAAAAGTCTCAAACTGTTTCGGCATCACTCGAAAGTGCAGTTTCTTCTGAGACAAGGCAAGTCCTTTCCACTGATGCGCCTGTAAAATCAAAACAAGTTATTTACTTCTAAGATAAAATTGGGGTACAGGCATTGGGTAAACATTCCCATTACAAAAGAGAGAAATTGGCCAAAAGAAAGGGGCTACAGGCCCCACACAAGTTCAAATCCCAGCAGGGCAGTCATTAAAACTCGATGTTCCAAAATAATCTGCTTTGAAACCATGTCCCACATCCTGGGAACATAGAGCATTCCCACGATGCATAAGGTGGGCTCCCAAGGCCTGGGGCTGCTCTGCTCCCACAGCTCTTCTACACTGAAGGCATGAGCTGCTGGTGGCTCTATCATTCTGGGATCTGGAGGGCAGCGGCCCCCCTCCCACAGCTCCACTAGGCAGCCCCCCTAGTCAGGACCCCGAGTGGGGCCTCCAACCCCACATTTCCACTTGGCACTGTGCTAGAAGAGGTCCTCTTTGAGAGCTCCAGTGGTGCATAGTCTTCTCCCTGGGCATCCAGCCTTTCTCATACATCCTCTGAAATTTAGGCAGAGAATGCCAAGCCTCCTTCACTCTTGCACTTTGCTCACCTGCAGGCTTAACACCACATGGAAGCCACCAAGGCTTATAGTTTGCACCCTCTGAAGCCATGACCTGAGCTCTATCTGCAGCCCTTTGAACCAAGGCTGGAGCTAGAAGGGCCAGGATGCAAGGAACACCCTCCTGGGGGTGGTACAGGACAGTGATGCCCTGGCCCTGGTCCAAGTGGAACAGGAATTAAAAGAAATTAAAGAATGTGTAAGCAGAAACTCAGTTGTATGTGAGAAAACCCAGTTCCCCCTGAGAAAGAGAAAGAGCTGGAGCCCTTTAAAAATTAACTGCCTGTTTTTCTGTGGCTAGTGAGCTTCATCTCTCCTCCTTTCCCAGGCATTGTGAAGACCCTGTTTCCCTAGCTGTGCAGCTGCAAGGTCACTAGACAGATAAACTCAAGTCGTAAAACATGTTTTTCCTTGAAAAGTAAGAAATGATATAATGCATGTCTCAATTAATTGAATAACTGTCTTTGTTTCTCGCTTCTGTAATATGCTTCCCCCTGCACAGATCTCCCCACTCCCCACCACCCCACAAAATGCTTAAAAGTTAACTTAAGTCTTTGTTCAGGACTCAGTCCTTTGGTTGTTAATCTGACTGGGCCGGTGCACCTAAATAATAAATATCCTCCTCAACCCCATCAGTCTCTCTGATTCCTTAAAAAATCCCGCTACAGCCTGGGCACGGTGGCTCACGCCTGTAATCCCAGCACTTTGGGAGGCTGAGGAGGGCAGATCACGAGGTCAGGAGATTGAGACTATCATGGCTAAGACAGTGAAAACCCGTCTCTACTAAAAATACAAAAAATTAGCCAGGCATGGTGGCAGTCACCTGTAGTCCCAACTACTTGGGAGGCTGAGACAGGAGAATGGCATGTCCCGGAATGCAGAGCTTGCAGTGAGCTGAGATTGTGCCACTGCACTCCAGCCTGGGTGACAGAGTGAGGCTCCATCTCAAAATAAATAAATAAATAAATTAATTAATTAATTATTTTTTAAAATCCCACTACACAAGAAACCATTCTTTCATCCTAGACCTCTAGGTCTGTGCTGGGATGAGCTGCTGCAAAGATTTCTGAAATGCCTTCAAGGCCTTTTTTTAATTGTCTTGGCTATCAGCACCTAGCTCTTTTTCAGTTATGCAAATGTCTCTAATAAGTGGTTGCTCCACAGCCTGTTTAGATTCTTCCCCTGAAAATGCTTTATCTTCCTTTGCCAAATGGGCAGGCTGCAAATTTTCTATACTTGTATGGTCTGCTTCCCATTGAATTGTAAATTCCAACTTTAAGTCATTTTTTTGCTCCTGCATCTGAGTGTTCAAACTTCCTCAGATCCCTAGTACATGAACAGACTGCAGCCAAGTTCTTTGCAAAGGCATAACAGGCATGACCTTTATTCCAAGTCCCAGTAAGTTCCTCATTTTCATCTGAGACCGCATCAGCCGTCCATATCACTATCAGCATTTTGGTCACAACCATTTAACTAGCCTCTAAGAAATTCAGAACTTTCCTTCATCTTCCTGTATTAGGAGCCCTCCAAACTCTTCCAACTCCTGCCCATTACCTAGTTCCAAAATCACTTCCACATTTTCAAGTACCTTTATAGCAATGCCCCATGTCTCAGTACCAATTTTCTGTATTAGGCCATTCTTACATTGCTATAAAGAAATACCTGAGACTGGGTAATTTATAAAGAAAAGAGGTTTGAAAAGAGGTTTGTATAGCTGCAGGCTGTACAAACATGATTCTGGCATCTGCCTAGCTCCTGGTGAGGCCTCAGCAGGCTTTATTCACGGCAGAAGATGAAGAAGGAGCAGGCAGGCACATCACCTGGCAAGGCAGGGGAAGCACCACACACTTTTAAACAAATAGATCTTGCAAGAATTCACTCACTATCACAAAGACAGCACCAGGGACAGGATGCTAGACCATTTCTGAGAAATCCACCCCCATGATCCAATCACCTCCCTCCAGACCTACCACCAACATTGGGGATATCACAATTCAACATGAGATTTAGAGGGAACAACATCTGAGGTATCTCATGCCTCATGTTGTGACTTGGTATAATGTCCATAAGATTACACTGACTTTACACATCATATTGCAGTTTTTGCTAGCTCTTCTGTAGTAAGAAAATGGAATTCATCAGCAATGCCTTCTAAGTCTGGCTCTGTTTTCCCATGCAGACTTTTCCCTGAGCTCTGCTTGTCAGTCTTGCTAGAACCTCACCCTAGGCAGCAACCTCCAGTCTGAGATTGCCCTTGACAGTGGCTGAGGTTTGCATTGTTGGAATGGATTAGAAAAAACAAAGGGAAGACAGACCAAAACAGATTTAAATACAGATCCCATTTGTTGAAGTTTTAAGTAATTTTAAATGTTTATTTGCACCAGCTGCCCACTCCCATTGTACTCTCCTCACCCAAAAAGGTGACTTGATATTCTAGTAAAAAGCCAAACTGTGCTTTAGAGAAACCCACTTGTTACTTCTTTAAATCCATATTATTTTGCCAAAGTGAATTTTTCTTAATATGCTCTGGCAGAATCAGTAAACTAATTATTTACACCAGAGTCACTTAACCTTTCCTCTTGGTCATTTGCATGTAAATTATTTTTATATGTATAAAATTTGCTTACTCAAGAAAGCTCTTGCTATATATATATTTTTTTCTTTTTGTGGTATCTTAACATACTCTAGTCTTGTCTTGAATTCCTTAAGACTTTGAGGTAAAGAACTCTATTGTAACAAGTTTCCAAATCAAAGTGGGAAAGAGGAAGATTAGGTTAAGCATTAGGTCATCAGGTATGTAGGACAGCTAATTCCATTATCAGAATGGTAGTGATAGCCAGTTTGCATTTTGTATATTAGTTGTAACGAAAATATTCAGCATATTAGTGACAAAACCAAAGTTATTGTGAATCAGTTTATAATTTATTTTTTGAGATAGGATCTTACTCTGTCACCCAAGCTCAAGTGCAGAGGCATGATCTTGGCTCACTGAAGCCTCAACCACCTGGGCTCAAGAGATCCTCCCAGCCCAGCCTCCTTAGTATAGGTGAGTGCCACCACACCCCGCTATTTTTTCTCTAGTTTTTGTAGAGATTGGGTCTCACTTTGTTGCCAAGGCTGTTCTCAAACTCCTGGGCTCAAGCAATCCTTCTGCCTCAACCTCCCAAGTGGTGCTGGGATTACAGGTTTGAGCCACCACACCTGGCCAGTTTATAATGTTAATGGCTTTTGGAGCAGGAACCAGTGGGTGCTGCTTCTTGTCTGCAAGATGAGGAGTCTCCTCTCCCCAGAAGTGAGGCATCTTCTACCACAAGGGAGGCTTTGCCCAAACAGTCACCGAAAGGCTGAGATTGGGGAGAGAACAAAACAGGAGTGAATATGTTCCTGGAACCTAACTGCTCCCCAATTCAATTCTACTGCAGACATTCAGAATGAAGGGGACATTCAGCTGAAGAACAGGAGTGCACTGGCTGTTAAAATCTCAGATTGTAAAAACAATTTTGCTTCATTTTCCGTAAATAATTTTTAAACAATTGTTCTTAGGTGATTTTCTAAACTTCGGGTAATATCTGTGACTTAGTAAATGTTCTTTAAAAGGTGGGATAATATTTTTATTTTGTTTAATTATATGTGTTTTTAAACTAATTTTATAGGAAAAATAATTTCTTTCCTTCCCTGTTATACCAAATACAGCCTTTAGCTCAAGACACAAGTAATTCCAGGAAAACTGGAATGTAAGTTCAATATGTTGCACTAAGTACATTTGAAAGTGCATGCATTTTTATTTTAATTCATCATTCTCAGTCAACTATCGCAAGGACAAAAAACCAAACACCGCATGTTCTCACTTATAGGTGGGAATTGAACAATGAGAACACATGAACACAGGAAGGGGAACATCACACTCTGGGGGCTGTTGTGGGGTGGGGAGAGCGGGGAGGGATAGCATTAGGAGATATGCCTAAGGCTAAATGTCGAGTTAATGGGTGCAGCACACCAGCATGGCACAAGTATACATATGTAATGTATACATATGTTAATGCACCAATTCTGCATCAAGTCAGTGCAATCAGAGACACTGCAAGAATGACTTTTGGTTTTCTTTTCCTAGTTTTTGAAAGTTTCTCAAGTCTGTCATACTGGACTCTGTATTACATCTTGAATTTTTTTCACTCACTATAGATCTCCTATACGCTCAATTGTTTAGCTATTACCTTAACATTTACCCTGTGAACCCATGACATTTGAGGCTGCCAAAGTGATTATTACATGATAAAACATATACTCGGTTAAAGGCAATATTTAACAATTGTAAAACCAATAAATCAATAATTAAATCTTTCTGGCTTAGACTTAAAACTGCTTAATTTAGTCATATCTCTACCCACAACATAGGGATTCCAGCAAGGGTTGAAAGTAGAGTTGGCAAGCATTTCTATTCTCTTCTGGGACAATAATTCTTACTACCAACACTGGTTCTGACCAGTGAAATTCAAAATCAGTGAAACACTACTCAGAGTCTGAGTGAGCCAAAAATAGTTTCACTTTAGGAAAAAGTCTATATCCTTAGATGTGAGTGATTCTCTGTGAACATTTTATTCACTTTAATATATTTAAAGAAAATCTTTCTGAATTGGTGTGTTTTCTTTAGTTTGTATTCTGATACTTTGATGCTAAAAGCTTTTGATTTTAAGTTTTCATGGAGGGGCTATCTACACAATAATTTTTATACATCATTATATGCATCAATGATTAAAAAGGAGTAGAAATTTTTACACTAATTGAGAAATATTATAGACCTAACTAAATGAGGGCAAACTATAAGCAATTTGGGGAAACTATAAGGATGTAATTAAATAGTCACTGTTTTTAGAAACCATTAACTGCATATTGAAATCTTGACACTTGTTGGGAAAATGAGGTGGTAAATCAACTTGTCAGCGTGAGTACTAAATAAAACAAAATATGGTTAAGAGTGTCCCTTTAAAGTTCAGATAGTAGTTCTGCAATTTCTGATTTTAAATGTTTCTGCAAAATAGTTTATCTGAATGATTAAACTATTATTCCGTGTTCACCAACCATTAAGAAAATCTGCTGTATGACCAGGTTAAACCTGAAAATGGTATAATTCAAAACTTGATGTAGGCAATAGGTATGTAGAATGTGTTTATTCTAATATGAGAGGGCATATCAAAGTAATTTTCTTGGAGCACACTGTCAAAACAAAGCAATGGGATTTGGCCATGGACATTTCATTATTATCAAAGAGACCTGGACACTACCTTAGAGTAATAACTTTATTATTTAGCAAAGATGTTTTATAAAAAGAACAACAAAATGAGAGGAATAGAAATCACACAGGTAAAACAGATAATCTGACTTTGTGGGTCTCAGAGCAGAGATTAGTGTCTTTCAGTTTCAGAGTAAATGACCTCACTGCATTTCTCTGAACTGTCATGGTTGTCACAAATATACTGTGTTCTAACTCACTCCATGATTTAAGGTCTACAAAGTAACAAAGGCAAAATAACCTATATGCTCTACCATATTTTCCTCAATTCTAGTGTTCTTCAAAGAGAGAATGTTTTCTCTAAATCTAATTGAGAGTAATTCTGTATGGATCGCTAAACATTTCTTCAGGCAGTTGGAGTAATATGTGTCTAGGGCTAACTCAGAGGGGTCTTTTATGTCTTTTAAAAGAAGCTAACTATACTCTTGTGATATGATAATCACCATCATTGACTTACAGTTTCTAAGGTTTGAAGGGATATTGAACACTCAAGGGGCTCACATTCTTACTGATTCATGAATCTCTTCAGGTCCAGGGAACTTAGTATTTTTCAAGAGTGCAAAATGCCTAGAGACAGCTGGGAACAAATGAATGTCATTCCTGATACTGTGCTCATAGTTACTTGAGCTTCATCTCAGAAAACAAATTGTCTGGTGCAATATTTCTTACAACTTAGTTCCTAAATGAACTCAACAAACTAGTTCTTTTGTTTTATTTTATTTATTACTATTATACTTTAAGTTTTAGGGTACATGTGCACAACGTGCAGGTTTGTTACATATGTATACATGTGCCATGTTGGTGTGCTGCACCCATTAACTCGTCATTTACCATTAGGTATATCTCCTAATGCTATCCCTCCCCACTCCCCCCACCCCACAACCGTCCCTGGTGTGTGATGTTCCCCTTCCTGTGTCCATGTGTTATTGTTCAATTCCCACCTATGAGTGAGAACATGCAGTGTTTGTTTTTTTGTCCTTGTGATAGTTTGCTAAGAATGATGGTTTCCAGCTTCATCCATGTCCCTACAAAGGACATGAACTCATCATTTTTTATGGCTGCATAGTATTCCATGGTGTATATGTGCCATATTTTCTTAATCCACTCTATCATTGTTGGACATTTGGGTTGGTTCCAAGTCTTTGCTATTGTGAATAGTGCCACAATAAACATACGTGTGTATGTGTCTTTATAGCAGCATGATTTATAATCCTTTGGGTATATACCCAGTAATGGGATGGCTGGGTCAAATGGTATTTCTAGTTCTAGATCCCTGAGGAATTGCCACACTGACTTCCACAATGGTTGAGCTAGTTTACAGTCCCACCAACAGTGTAAAAGTGTTCCTATTCCTCCACATCCTCTCCAGCACCTGTTGTTTCCTGACTTTTTAGTGTTTGTCATTCTAACTGGTGTGAGATGGTATCTCATTGTGGTTTTGATTTGCATTTCTCTGATGGCCAGTGATGATGAGCATTTTTTCATGGGTTTTTTGGCTGCATAAATGTCTTCTTTTGAGAAGTGTCTGTTCATATCCTTCACCCACTTTTTGATGGGGTTGTTTGTTTTTTTCTTGTCAATTTGTTTGAGTTCTTTGTAGATTCTGGATATTAGCCCTTTGTCAGATGAGTAGGTTGTGAAAATTTTCTCCCATTCTATAGGTTGCCTGTTCATTCTGATGGTAGTTTCTTTTGCTGTTCAGAAGCTCTTTAGTTTAATTAGATCCCATTTCTCAATTTTGGCTTTTGTTGCCATTGCTTTTGGTGTTTTAGACACGAAGTCCTTGCCCATGCCTATGTCCTGAATGGTATTGCCTAGGTTTTCTTCTAGGGTTTTTATGGTTTTAGGTCTAACATGTAAGTCTTTAATCCATCTTGAATTAATTTCTGTATAAGGTGTAAGGAAGGGATCCAGTTTCAGCTTTCTACATATGGCTAGCCAGTTTTCCCAGCACCATTTATTAAATAGGGAATCCTTTCCCCATTGCTTGTTTTTGTCAGCTTTGTCAAAGATCAGATGGTTGTAGATATGCGGCATTTTTTCTGAGGGCTCTCTTCTGTTCCATTGATCTATATGTCTGTTTTGGTACCAGTACCATGCTGTTTTGGTTACTGTAGCCTTGTAGTATAGTTTGAAGTCAGGTAGCGTGATGCCTCCAGCTTTGTTCTTTTGGCTTAGGATTGACTTGGTGATGCAGGCTCTTTTTTGGTTCCATATGAACTTTAAAGTGGTTTTTTCCATTTCTGTGAGGAAAGTCATTGGTATCTTGATGGGGATGGCATTGAATCTATAAATTACCTTGGGCAGTATGGCCATTTTCACGATATTGATTCTTCCTACCCATGAGCATGGAATGTTCTTCCATTTGTTTGTATACTCTTTTATTTCATTGAGCAATGGTTTGTAGTTCTCCTTGAAGAGGTCCTTCACCTCCCTTGTATGTTGGATTCCTATGTATTTTATTCTCTTTGAAGCAATTTTGAATGGGAGTTCACTCCTGATTTGGCTCTCTGTTTGTCTGTTATTGGTGTATAAGAATGCTTGTGATTTTTGTAAGTTGATTTTGTATCCTGAGACTTTGCTGAAGTTGCTTATCAGCTTAAGGAGATTTTGGGCTGAGACAATGGGGTTTTCTAGATATACAATCATGTCATCTGCAAACAGGGACAATTTGACTTCCTCTTTTCCTAATTGAATACCCTTTATTCCCTTCTCCTGCCTGATTGCCCTGGCCAGAACTTCCAACACTATGTTGAATATGAGTGGTGAGAGAGGGCATCCCAGTCTTGTGCCAGTTTTCACAGGGAATGCTTCCAGTTTTTGTCCATTCAGTATGATATTTGCTGTGGGTTTGTCATAGATACCTCTTATTATTATGAGATATGTCCCATCAATACCTAATTTATTGAGAGTTTTTAGCATGAAGTGTTGTTGAGTTTTGTCAAAGGCCTTTTCTGCATCTATTGAGATAATCATGTGGTTTTTGTCTTTGGATCTGTTTATGTGCTGGATTATGTTTATTGATTTTATGCAAGAATAATCTAAATTTCTCTGGTGAAAAAACCTAAACATGCCTTTTAAAAATTTATATATCATTCCTTTTGTAAAATCTAATGAAAATAACAATTTTGTCTATTGTAAAAGGCAAGTGATTGCAACAGATGGAAATCACTTTATTTCCTATATCTTTGTAAAGATAATGACTGCTAATAAACAACATGAAGAATTTTCAGGTATAATTTTGATAAAAATTTAATGGTTTTGGGCTTCTAGGCCAAATCTGCAATACAACCCTTCATAAGATTGTACTTTGAAACTCTCGTTGTCATCTGACATATGCAGATAGTACAGAAATATAATCCCCTTTCTAAATGTTTACATTGTCTCCCTGGTATGAATTAGCTTGCTGGAAACATCAGTAATCACTGACATAAAGATCCCACTATTAAATAAAACTGATACTTTTTAAAACCATGCAGCAAATAAGCAACATTTCATAAAGCAACACAGGATTTTATATGTTTCCTACTCCATTAGAGGCTATTATGCTGAATTGGATCCTCATTCCAACCTGTGTCCATATTTTAGGGTTGAAATAGTCTAAAACATAACATTTACTGTTCTCCTGTTGTGATATCTGTATAGCTAATATGTTCACATTCTCTGTATTCATCTATGTTAATAATTTTAAAAAGGAAAAGAAAGGGGGCTTTAGGAAGAACTTTACATCACACGTCAGAGTAAACATCAAATCAAGTTCTCAATTTACTAATAAACCCATTTAAGAAAAAGTATTCCGCTAGAGAGCAATGAATCTTATTGTCTTTGTGTCTGATCCATATTTCTCCACCTGATACATGGAAATAACCAGAGAGTTACTATAAAATACCTCAGGTGCATTGTTGAAAGTAATTTCCTGCTTTTGTGGGATAACTGAAACATAAACGTAAATAAGATAGTTTGAAAGTTCACTTTCTCATCAATGCTCAAATAATTTGTTCTAATAAAGCCCAGTAAAATTTAGCTTGTAATGCCATCAAGGTAAATATATTCATGAAGTACTCACTTGCTAAATTTTTAAACACAACACATTATCTCATCTTTAATCTTTAGTTGTTATTTCAATTATCCATTGCTGTGTAATTAGCAGTCATCAAATTTAGTTGCTTAAAACACAAACTCACAATTTGTTAACTTTGGTTGGGCTCAGGAGGATAATAGTCGGAGTCTTGCCTAGGTTTCCTTATATGACTGACAAGGCCTACATAGTCCAAAGTGACATCACTCAAATATCTGGCACTTCACTGGTGCTATCAGCTGGGTTCTCCTCCACTTAGTCTCTCTGGTAGAGTAGATCAGGTTCTCATTTGGCATTGCTGCCATTTTAATTTGGCAAGCCTAAATTTACTATCATTTGTCAAGTGTCTATTAAGTCAGTGTCAGAGAGGGCTATATAAGGATATGGCTATGAGGAGGCTTAATAAATCGAGGGTTCTTTGATATAACAGGCTACCCAGTTACATTTCTTGTTCTAAAGATTTTTTCAGATACAACAAACAATATTTTACAATTTAACTTGTAGATGAATGAGTTTCCTGAGATATAATTTAACTAAGCAAACTCTTTCATACTAAAAATCTTATGACCTCTTTACCCATCTTAGGTTTTAAGATTGATATGAGAGGTATTCTGGAATAGAAATCTAAATTTAAGGCTAGAGTCAAGAGTGCCGAAGATAAGACTCTTATCCAAAGGAAAATCAAGCAACTGCTATGTCTTGCAAAGGCCAGTGAGCAGACAGAGGGGAGAGAATACAATTGCACCAAATAAAGACTCACTTTGGAACTCAGTGATTATATGTGTGCATATATGTGTATATATATGTATATTATACATGTGTATGCATGTATATATGTATATTATACACATATATGCATGTATATATATGAATACATATAAAACTGAAAACTGCACACATCCCATATACACCATATACATGAAAGTGAACACACACACATACATAAACATATATATTCAGTTTCAAACAATTGTTAGGGAACCTGAGGAAGAAACTAAATGGAATATAATGGTTGCATCTATGATAGCCATGGTACTAGAACTAGTAGTAGTTCTACTAAGGTGAGAATTGACATAGTAAAAGAAATAAGATACAAAGCAGTAAGAGAGAGCTACATTTTCCTTAAGGCCAGGCTGAATATTCACTAACAAGGAAATTTCTACAGTCATTATTTTAATCTGATTCATTCTCTTGGTGGGATATTCCAGAGTTACCACCTACAGAAATTCCACTTTTCCTTACTGAGGTTCTCTTTTTTTCTTTTCAGTCCAAATATTAGTCATTTGGTAGAGAAGGCAGAAACAATTAACAATTGAGTAATTCCTCAGGAATCATGTTAAAAGGTTTCCAAATCATGAATGTATAGTTATATTTTGTTCACTAGATTTTAACCCACATACCTCACTTGTATAGAAATTATGCTTATTTGGATATTCAATATATTTCTTCATACAAAGACAAAATCTATAAAATGTACACACACACAGATGCTATGGATACATGCACACATGTGCACACACAAATATGTATACATGGTTTACCATTATTTTCTAGATCATTCAGAGGTCAGTATTAATTAAAACATCATAGATCTATGGCAAATTTTGGGCCACTTTTCCTAAGACAGGAATTTAAAAAGCCTTCAATTGTCATAACAATGGGAAGAAGTCTGAGAGCTGGAGTAAGGGAAGTTGGTGCTCAGAAATATTAACTACCATTTATATATGATATCCTTATGAGATAATCTTAAAGCCAAATGAGGCTAAAATATTAATACGAGCTATTTAGCCAAGTTTTCCAGCAGGAAGAAGGAAATAAGCAGTGAACTAAAAAGCATACAAGATACAGAGGAGCAGGTTAAATGAAGCCATTACAGCAGAAATTGAGAAGAATAAACAGGAGTTAGAAGATGAGAGCAAGCAATTGCAAGTGGAGTGGGCTGAGCTGGAATTATGGTGTAGAAAATGACTGGTTGAGAAAAACCCAAACAAATATTTCTATAATGTCATGTGCATAAGATACCTGTAGATGTTATCAAGGTATATACATAAACTACCTGTCATTAGAGCTAATTTCTTAGCAAATTATTCATAAAAGTTTATAACTTTGTGAGGCATTACAGACACCAAAACTAATGATTTGGCATTTCCGTGGCCCAATTTGTCTAAAGAACTATCTTTTACACTTTACTGTTTTTTAATAGGCAATACAGTGCTCAAAAAGTCTTTTATACCAAGTCCAGTAGGTTGATAACATTGAGTATAACTGAGTATTGCTTTGTGTCTACCCTCAGGCAAATCTGGAGATTTTCTCAAGCCTCTTTATGAAAATGGAGAGACCTCACAAGAGATGCTAATGGACAGCTGACCCTGCTCCCTGCTCCATCACAGGTTGTAGAGTATTAATTCCCAAGTTACCCAGACATTTAGTTCTGAATGTGCAAAAATGGTTTAGGTTCAAATGTTTTCAACTACTGACAAGCTCAAGAATTCAGAGGAGGTAGTACTAAGGGAAATGTAATTAATATATAATATCAAAACTTAAGCATAGCACCATAACACCTAATTTTTGATGATGTCAAATACTTAAAGTTCTCCCTTTTTATTTTCTGGTGAAAGGTGCGTAGTATACAAACCTCTACTAACTTCTTGGGCTTCTGAATAAAGGAAAGGACTACCTAATGACAGTAATAGCTTGACTGCTGAAGAATTATGTCAATTAATAAAAATTGCTTCATAGGAAAAAGATGAATTGTCTCTTCAAAGTTTTTTTAAGCATGGGTGACCAAAGCCATCCCATACTTAGAAGAAAATATTGCATTGTTTTATACAAGATATGCTGTACACGTTACAGAAGATTCATGTTTAATAATGCATCTTGTAAAAATCTTAGAGAGCTATAACCTTACAACATAACTTAACCCAAATACATTGAAAACCCCTTGGATTTAGACCTACAGGGAGGTGGTTTTTCTTTCTGTACCATAGCACGCATAGTTGAAGCAAACATACTCCTTCAAACATAATACTCTTACATAATAGAAAGTGTTCTCTGTTTTCTGGATGAAAAGGCATGAGGTCTTTTGTATTAGCAAACTGAAACTGTTAACTATAAAAAGTCAAAAATCAAAGGTGCTCTCACTTATTTATAAGGACCTTGAATGGCTCAGATTCATCAGGAAAAAAAAACATTCCTCAGAGAGTCTGATCTCAAGCTGATGTTTCTTTATTGAATTTGATTCTAAACCATCATTTTTGTTGAATCCTCTGTGCTTTCAGAATGCTGAAATGTAAAATATTTTTAACTTATGAAAGAGATAATTTATTTTTATTTTCTCCTATACATTTTTAAGTAGCACCTTAAAAAATAGACAAATCCATCCAGGGTCAAAAGAACTCAACTCAATTCTCTATCACTGTGAAAATAGACTTAGTTCTTCATTACAAAAGCACTACAATAACTACAAAAATTATACCTCCTGGAGTATATATTTACATATCCATGCAAAAGGGGAATAGATTAAAAGATGTTTATGAATGTCTAAAGCCTTAAGTCAGTTTAACGTAGTATTATAAATCAGGTTTGTGGGTGATATTTTGTCTGCTTCTAGACTTGTGAGCAAGTTATTAAGTTTTAGGTTACTTATATTTAAAATTCAAAAAGGAAATGATTGTGATTGCATTCAAAGAAAGAGAGGACATTTTGAAGCTTCTTTTTTTTACTAATATCAAAACCTAATATCACATTTGTAAAACACGTTGATGGCTTACAACCAAGTAAAATACCTCAATACCCCACTTTTCAAGATCAGTAATATTGGCCTAAGAGTATCACTCTATAGGAATTATAAAAAGTTGTATTTATGCCCTGAGATTATACCCTATAATGTGCAAATATTATAGGATAGACAAGTGGATATAAGGTTTCTTTCTAGGTTTCCTTATATACTCCAAATGGTAAAACTAGATGGAAGATTAAAATTCTAAATGTTGTTAATTTTAGAACCTTCAATGTCAGAGTTACTTTGTATGAATGAGTTTAGCTAATTTTCCACACTATGCATATCTAATAGATATTACTATTGCACAGGTGAGAAAACTGCATCTCTGATTATTATTATTCACTCTAGTCACAGAGATAAGAAAGGGCAAAATATCATAATAGAAGCCCAAATAGGTCTTATTTTAATGGAATATTTTTCCACTGGACTTCAACTGGTTTATCTTATTTATCCATCCATCTAAGATCAGTTGAAAAAAGAGACTTGCAGATGCAATATTTTAGCTAATATATCCAATCTCCTATTTGAAATCTCCTGCGTATCTAACAGAAAACTCAAATTTAGTATGTCTGAAATCAAGCTGACTGCTGCACGTGTTCGCACTGAAACGAAGCAAAACAAAATTCCTTCAACAGCTTTTCTCATCCCAATAAATGGTACTACACTGTGCCTGTATGACTCATGCCCAAAACCTAGAGGTCGACCTAGGTTCTTTTTTTCCCCATGACTCTCCATTTCCAAGATTTCCATTTCTTCCGTGAACACTTCTCAAAGCCACACCCATCTCTCTGTCAGAATACCACAATGCATTGCAAATCTGCCTCCCTTCTTGTCATCTCCTCCCTAAATGCTCTATTTTCACAGTAGTCAGAGTGGCTTTTTTTTTTTTAAAGCACACAAGATCTTGACTCTTCATTCCCTACTTTCTGCTTTAAGTCCTTGTTTGGCTTTCCTCTGCTAATATAAAGAAAAATTTCCAACTTCTTTTTAATGACCATAGATCCTGACTTGATGTTTTCTACCTACCTCTCCAACCACATGTCATACACTTCCCTTCTTTTCTTATCACACCCAAAACATTCTTAATTATTTCCACAGTCTTTGTATATGCCAACCCTTTTTCTGCCTCTAGAATTTTGTGCTTGTTTCTCTTTCTTTCTAAAATAAGCTTTCTGTGGCTTTTTGTAAAATTAGATCATTGTTCTTTGAAATCTCGGCTAAGAAGTTTTCTGAAATACCTTAATTAAAGTTCCTTCCCTGGTTATTAGCAGTCTCCTCACTTCGTTTATTTTTATTGTAATCTTTAATGATTGCTTTCTATTTGTTTGACTTCTTGATCAACTCAAATTTGTATCCTCAGCTCTTATCAAAATACTAGGTAACTACACACCTATTGAAACAACTAAACATAAAAATAGTGACAACAAAAGCTGGCAATGATGAAGAAACTGTATCATTCATACATTATTTGAATTGTAAAATGTTATAATACTCTGGAAATAATTTATCAGTTTCTTTAAAAACTAAACATATATTTATAATAAGATCCAGCAATTGCACCCCTGGAAATTTATCTAAGAGAAATGTAAACCTATATGCGATCTTTAATATCTTTCATAGCACCTTTAATTCTAACAGAGAAAAACTGGAAACATCCAAGATGTTGGACAGGTGACTGGTTGAATAAACTGTGGTATATCCATATGATTAAATACTACCCAGAAATAAAAAAGAATATACTTTCGACACATGCAATAACTTGCATGGATCTGAAGGGCATTATGCTTAGTGAAAAAAAGCAAATATCAAAAGGACACATGGCATATTATTTCATGTATATAACTTTAATAAAATAACATACATATAGAAAACAGATTAGTGATTTCCAGAGGTTAGTGATGGTATGGGAGTGTGAGATGAATATGGCTATAAAATGTGAGGAAGACACTTTTAGTGATGGAAGAGTTCTGTAACTTAATTGTAATAATGGTCACATTAATCAACACGTGATAAAATTGGCATAGACCTATGAATTCACATTGTATAAATGTCAATGCCTGGTCCTGATATTGTACTAAATTATACAAGATGTAACTCTTGAAATAAACTGTGTAGAATAGTACACGAGACCTCTCTGTATTTGAAACTCCCTATGGATCTAAGATCTTTTCAAAATAAAAAGCTAAAAAATGCTAAGTATTCAATAAATAAAATAGTAACTGTATTTTATCCAATTCTTACCATATAAAAATGCTTCACATACATTAACTCATACAATTCAGTCTATAGCAGGATCATATTGATGCCATTATTAGTCCTAATTTATGGCCTAGTAGCTTGTTCAAGGTCACATAGCTAATAGGAGGAAGGGTTATGATTTTAATCCAAGCAACCAGCTCCAGAGAATGTGCTACCAACTGACACATCACAGCGTTTCTCAAAAATAATTCTGGATGGAAGGAAAGAAGGGAGTTAAGGAAGGAGAGAGAGAAGGAAGGAAGGAAGGAAGGAAGGAAGGAAGGAAGGAAGGGAGGGAGGGAGGGAGGGAGGGAGGGAGGAAGGAAGGAAAGAAGGAAGGCTGGAAGGGAGGGAGGGAGGGAGGAAACAGGGAAAGAAGGAGGGAAGGAAGGAAGATACAATAAAGGAATGAAGGAAGGAAGGAAGAAAGATACAATAGCCAGTATATTTACTCAAAGAGAAGACATCATAAAACCCTTTTAACAAACACAGCCTGACGTCTCAAATTCCTTCTCCATTCAACTTCCTTGACTGTAGAGTCCTATTCAGGGTCAAGGGAAGGAGAAATCAAACTAAAGATCATAACGCTGCATGTATGTGGCATTGTATTGCCAGAGTTCTCTGAGTAAACCTTTCTAGAGATGCACATTTTGCACTCTATTGGAAAAGTTATCTTAGTTATAATGTTTCTGAAGATGCATTTGCCATATTGAAAGCAAGCAGTCACATACAATTTGATAGACACCAGCACAAATGACAATAAAAACTTGGTAAAGTTGAAGAGACTGCCTTTGTTATATCTAATATTCTATCACCCCAGATCTATCTTCTCAAATCTCCACATTACTTAGCCTAACCCTCTTTTTCTATTTTCTAGAGGAGCCCACCACATTGATCAGGTTGATTTATTCACATTTTCCCAAAAATGCTAGGTAGATTCCTTCCTAAATCCATTAGTAAGTTATAGTCTGTATTCCCCATGGATGAACTGTGTTCACCAGTTATGACTCTTAGGAGGAACTTCATAGAAGATCTTCAGTGGCATCTATTGGTACATGTTGGACATTAACTAAAAATGTAGTTTTAGCAACCAACAGATTCTATTCTTATACCTGTTGGTCATGTCCAGGCAGTTATGTGTAAAATAATTACACAATGTTTCAAAATTTCAAGATGTTTGCCTACCTATATAGTGTCCTTCGCTCTCCTCTCCAGCTTTCCAAATAATATCCATAATTCAAAGACCAGTTAAATCCTACAGGCATATTCACAGAATAACTGCCCTGAAAACATTGCTTAAATTAATGAAGACCATCTATGGGCAATGCATCTTCAAGAGCTCAAGATCTGGTGAAAAAACGGAAACAAAGAAGAAATTTCAATACAATGTGATGAAAATTTTAAATTATTTCTCTCTTGCAAATTTCCATTGCTTGTTTGAACATTCAGGAGAATAGTACTGCTTTCCCATTGAATGTATAAATAAATGTAAGAATGAAGGTTGGCCCTCCCTCCAAATTCATTAAACATTAAATTTTTTAAGTAAAAGATAAGAGGGCTGTATGAAAATTAAAATTCATAATTACTTCCAATATAGAAAATAATTGAAATAGATAAAAACACAACCAAATAGAAATGGATATTGCTAAAAATCACCTTCTTAATTAAATTAGTAACAAAAGTGAAATTATTGTTCTAGCCATATTGGTGACATTGCTTCTTAAATTATTCAAATTAAAATATATTCTACTGGTGAGTTCAGGAAAAATTGACAATAAACAAATAGTATCATACACAAAGAAATATAACTCACTGTTTTAGCCTAGCAACTAGTGTTTACAGAACAAGTTACAGATTATTCTGCAATACGAAACAATCCTAAAGTGTTTTTAACCTTAAATCAAAATTCAAATTAGAATTAGAAATGAAATGATGTTCTCATTTCAGCAATGAATACAGAAGTGAAATCACTTGATTTTTCTGAAGACTGTATTTTTCAGTGTTCATCTGGATTTAACACTTTAAAGAATACCTTTTATTCCTTAAATAACATTCAGTTTGTGAAAGTAAGCACACCTTTTTCAGCTCCGCTTATTCTGCAGAAGGATCCTTCCATATCAAGGATTAACACAATATGCATCGTGGGTTCACAAAGTTCAGTTTGCAGCTATCCTTAGCAAATCATGAGAACCATCTGGACTGATTGATGTGGAGATTGAAAGTAATTGATCCTGCCATTGAGAAGCTTTTTGAAACATGAAATTAAACAAGATGATATTAAGCATTCTGAAGTCCATCAGAGTGGCACATCAAATGTGTTACTAGCTGTTCATTTTCCTTTGTATTTTTATAAAGACCCTTGGCTAGCAGAATGGAACAGAAATAGAAGCTAAAAGATCTAGATATTGATGTAGTGATCAAAGGCATACAGCTGGTTTACTTTGTTATAATAATATTTTATGTGGTACATGAAGACTTTGATCCCTTGACAAATGTCATTTGTAGGTGAGCAATTATTAATAGGATTGTAAGTCTTAATATGCAAGGATCTCCATTAATAAAAGTAGACTATTGTAAAGTGAATTAGCAATAATTTCACTTATGAATAAAAACTTATACTATTTCAGGTCATTTTCTTATTGTTTCTTGAAAAAAGAAGTCCTTTATAAGTCCAGTTAAATATTACCTAATTTTTGCATAAAATTTCATGGTAAACAAGGCTTATTTTCTTACTTTACTGATGTCTAAAAGCTAAATTTCACTGGTGATATATCATTTGTTTAAGACTAGGTAACTGATAACCTAAGCTGAGACCCAAAATTTGTTATTTTCTTTATTTCCAGCACAATATTTTCCATCATGGTAAAAGAAGCTATGTTTCTTTAGCAAGACAATTGAAAAACATAAACATTGGTTTACTAGAAAGATTTTTAATATTCCATATTATTTACAACTGTTTGCTTATTTCCATGTATAAAATGACATTGATTCAATAGACTTTTTCCACATTTGCATGATATTCAGCTATAACATTAACTCAGGCAATATTCATATGGCTCCAGAATTAAACCGGTATCTGACCTCCCAATTGAATTAGACGATAGGCATTTTGTGATTTGAGGAAGACATCCTATGAATTTACAAATGTCCAGAAAGTTATACAAAAGAAAAACAAAAGACTTTAGTCTAGTTAAAAGTAGTGCTACTATTTCTTGAAATTCTGAAAGCTGTAATAAGTATCACTCCCAAATCTGGGGATAAAGTACAGAAAATGGCAGCTCCCAATATAATCTTGGACATATTTGTCATTAAGAAGCACAATGAAATATGACAAATTGTACAGCAACTTTTAAAAATTGCTAATAACTCTTTGTTTATCTCAGTAGTAAAATTTAAATACTGATCCAACCTGACACATATGAACATAACATACCTATTCTGAAAGACAAAGAATATGTATCAATATTTATATTATATTTAATACAAATCATGGAATATAGAATTATAGAATTGTGCCTATTTACCTAGAAAATATTACCCCAATTTTGTTTTTCTAAGCTTCAAGAGAGATTTCTTGGAGAAAATGAGATTTTATAAGCAATGCTAGCAAAAAAAGACAACTTAAAAGATTATGGAGAAAAAGGCGTATTTTAGATACAAAACACAGATTGAGAAACACTTAGGGGCAAGAAGTAATGCATCACTGGCCAGTGTAAATGAACCGTTTAGGCAGTAAAATGTGTCCAAGCAAGTGGTGAGTATATCCTGTTCTCTTTTATATATCTAGACAAGTGATTTCAAACACCCACGTGGAGCCCTGAGACCCTGGGTGTTCACCTAATGTAAGCCCCAATATAGGAGCTGAGGTCAAGTAATTGAGGGAATATGTCCAACAATCAATAAGCAAATTAGAATGAGCTAACTGTCACACATTCTTACCCTCATCCCTTTGCTGCATTAACTGAGCAAACAGCTCTCTCTAACTATGTAGGAAAAGTGTTAGTACTCAAATAAAAAGGTAAATTTAATAATCTGCTTAAGGCTGTATGAAAAAATGAAGCAATGTGTATCAGGTTTCTTCAAATACATGCATACTGCAATCCACCCTTATAAGTAGATTTACCCTCGATTGTAAGAGCTAAAAGCAGGCCGGGCACGGTGGCTCATGCCTATAATCCCAGCACTTTGGGAGGCTGAGGTGGGCGGATCACGAGGTCAGGAGATCAAGACCATCCTGGCTAACATGGTGAACCCCGTCTCTACTAAAAATACAAAAAAATTAGTTGGGTGTGGCGGCGGGGGCCTGTAGTCCCAGCTACTCAGGAGGCTGAGGCAGGAGAGTGGCGTGAACCCGGGAGGCAGAGGTTGCAGTGAGCCGAGATCACACCACTGTACTCCAGCCTGGGCGACAGAACGAGACTCTGTCTCAAGAAAAAAAAAAAAAAGGAAACATTTTGCAAATGTTGAATTTAAATGCATATTTCTGCTTTCATATAGCTTATATGATAATAAAGCTATATGCACCAGCAGATATATTAAGTTTCATATTATATAACATATTATATATATTTTACACTGGATAATGGAAAAATGTTACCTATTATGTTGGTGACCACAATTTTGGCAGCCTTAGAAAAACTTCAGGGCCGGGCACGGTGGCTCACACCTGTAATCCCAGTACTTTGGGAGGCCGAGGCGAGCGGGTCACGAGGTCAGGAGATCGAGACCATCCTGGCAAACACGGTGAAACCCCCTCTCTACTAAAAATACAGAAAATTAGCCAGGTGTAGTGGCGGGCGCCTGTAGTCCCAGCTACTCGGGAGGCCGAGGCAGGAGAATGGCGTGAATCTGGGAGGCAGAGCCTGCAGTGAGCCGAGATTGCGCCACTGCAATCCAGCCTGGGCGACAGAGCGAGACTCTGTCTCAAAAAAACAAAAAACAAAAAACAAAACAAAAAAAAAACTTCAGAGCATAAGCCAAAACAATTAGAAATAGCATGGCTTTAAATTAATTTTTCAAGAATCTTAAGGTGACAAATATTCTGTCATCTGTCATGCAAATCTAGTTCCACAGAAGGGCAAATTAGGAATCCATTACCTGGAATAACCATTCCTCATGCCTAGAAGAAGAAACTCTACAAGTAGGATTCTTGCTTTCAACATGCCCTTATAAATTGGAGTCAGACTGAATCATTTTTTCTTGGCAATGGACAAGAAAATCAGACTGTAACTGTAGCTTTGTCACTGAGAATTGGTCAACCATTTCAAAATAGGTAAGTTTTCTCCCTCTGATGTTTCTACTGGGGCTTGAAGGATTGATAAATATGCTTCTATTCTCTGTCAGAATTTTGAACTAAGGGAGAGATACCCAAAGATTCAGGCAGATGGAGATCAAGATGGCAGGTTTATTTTTAAAGGAGCTATGGGGAATCTTTGTGGTAACAATAGATTTTTCTGTTACTGTAGACACACATACCTTCCCAGCCACAAGTGGTGCTAGACAACTGCACACCTCTCCATCCCACCTCCCATCCCAACAGATACATAGGCATTTTCTTCAGATGTTGATGAAAATAATTATTTTATCACTATATCCAGATAATTCCAACAAGCAATATGCTTGTTGAGGTGAAATAATTTTTCTAAGATACAAACAGAAAATATATACGATTGAAATAGACACTAGGTGATATTTCACATATGCAATATGAGCTCTGTTTCTTTGACAAGACAGATGAATGAAGAATTCATGTTTGAATGATTGGCATTAGTCTAAAGTATTAAATAATGAAAGTGTCCATATTCTCTGCCCAGTATGATCTTTTAAAATATCATCCACACAAATACAAGTGAGGTCATATTTTTTACAATGAGGCATCAAATTTAAAGGCAGCAAAAAAGTAATGAATATACCTCTTAGGCTAATTGTTTACCTTAGTGGCTTTAATGATATGGAAAGTTGAAGTTTAGAGTGAGAAAAGCACCAAAAAAGAAACTAATCAGTCTCCTGACTTTCATATCTGGTAGTCTTAGAATGAATGTCAGAACTGTCACAGGTCAAATAATGGCCCAGTATGTTTTCAAATAAGTGACACTGAACACCATGTTTTAGAAGTACATGATTGTCCTTCTTGATGTTAATCTCACAACTTAAGGACATGCTTGCCAAACATCATAATTTCTCTTAATAACTCATGTCAGATAAATCTCCAGTGGAGACCTATGCTCTGGACTCCAGACTTATGCCAAGTAGCCTAATTACTATCTCCACTTGCAGGCAAAATAGGCATCTCAAAGCGAACATACCTCAAAAAGAGCTCTTAATCTCCTACTATTCTCCCCACTTACCCAGCATCTTCCCCATTCTCACCTTCTCTCATCATGTTCCTCATATCAGGAGGTAATAGACTCCATCCTTATAGTTATACAGTTATTAAGCCACGAAACACCCTGTTTATACCCTTGGCAGCCCTATTTTTTTCTTTAATTATACTTTAAGTTTTGTGATACAGGTGCAGAACATGCAGGTTTGTTACATAGGTATACATGTGCCATGGTGGTTTGCTGCACCTATCAACCTGTCATCTACATTAGGTATTTCTGCTAATGCTATCCCTCCCTTACCCCCCACCCCCTGACAGGCCCTTGTGTGTAATATTCCCCTCCCTGTATCCATGTGTTCTTATTGTTCAACTCCCACTTATGAGTGAGAATATGCAGTGTTTGGTTTTCTGTTCCTGTGTTAGTTTGCTGAGACTGTGGTTTCCAGCTTCATCTATGTCCCTGCAAAGGACATGAACACATTCTTTTTTATGGCTGCATAATATTCCATGGTATATATGTGCCACATTTTCTTTATCCAGGCTGCTATCATTGATGGGCATTTGGGTTGGTTCCAAGTCTTTGCTATTGTGAATAGTGCTGCAGTAAACATACATGTGCTTGTGCCAACCCCATCAAAAAGTGGGCAAAGGGTGTGAACAGACACTTCTCAAAAGAAGAAATTTATGCGGCCAACAAACATGAAAAAAAGCTCATCATCACTGTGCCGGGTCCATCCCGCAGACCCTGGCTGAGCAACAGAAGAAAGGAGTACTCAGACACAAATATACAGGGTAAGAGCAGGCTAGGAGGCTGCGAGCCCTAGGGGCAGAGGAGAGTTAGCAGTCTCGATAAGCCAGAGCTGCTTGTATTTATTCAGTACTGGCATAACGTCCAAGGCCTGGAGTCAACACAATTGCTGGGTAATTAACATTTTTGCTCCCTCTTACAGGGAGCAGTCTCATGCTCAGAAGTTCAAAAGTCAGTTTCCTGATGACATAAGTAAACAAGCATATTTAGATAAACTTCTTCACTTTTCCTTGCACCTACTTCTCACCCTTAGCCTCAGAGAAAGAGAATTTTCTTCCTTCACCTTTATTCTCTCATGAAGCTTTTGCAAGACCTTCCAACCTTTCAAGAAGGCTTGTGTCTTTCCTTATAGCTTCTCCCACCACCCTGACCGATCTCCCACATCACTGGTCATTAGAGAAATGCAAATCAAAACCACAGTGAGATACCATCCCAAGCCAGTTAGAATGGCGACCACTAAAAAGTCAGGAAACAATAGACACTGGAGAGGATATGGAGAAATAGGAATGCTTTTACACTGTTGATGGGAGTGTAAGTTAGTTCAACTGTTGTGAAAGGCAGTGTGGTGATTTCTCAAGGTTCTAGAACCAGAAACACCATTTGACCCAGCAATCCCGTTACTAGGTTTCTACCCAAAGTATTATAAATCATTCTACGTTTTTTTTTTGACATGGAGTTTCACTCTTGTCATCCAGGTTGGAGTGCAATGGCATGATCTTGGCTCACTGCAAACACCACCTCCTGGGTTCAAGTGATTCCCTTGCCTCAGCTTCCTGAGGAGCTGGGATTACAGGCACCTGCCAACATGCCCGGCTAATGTTTGTATTTTTAGTAGAGACAGGGTTTCACCATGTTGGCCAGGCTGGTCTCAAACTCCTGACCTCAGGTAGTCCACCCATCTCAGCCTCCCTAAGTGCTGTGATTACAGGAGTAAGCCACCATTCCCAGCCACCCTCATTTTTTTATAGCTCATACTATGTTAACAAATTTTATCAGTAGTAATTCAAAACATCTTCAGATTCTGTTCCTGTCTCACCACCATCACTACCCCCCTGATTCAAACCACCATCTCTCCACTCTCCAGTTAGGTTTACTGCTATAGCCGCCTAACTGGTCTTCCTACTTCCCTGTAGCCCCTTGCCTTCAGTCTATTCTTGTTTCTGCAATTAGGGTGATTCTTTAAGAATAAGTCAGACCGAGCCATTCTTCTCTTAAAACCCTCCAATGACTTCACTCTCCATCCCACTCAAGGTATTAGTTTCCTCAGGCTACTGCAACAAATTACCACCAACTGAGTAGGTTAAAAGTACAGAAATTTATTCTCTCACAGTTCTGGAGGCTAGGAGTTGAAAGTAAGGTGTCATCAGGGTCATGGTCTCTGAAGGCTCCAGGGGAGGATCCTTCCTTGTCTTTTCCTAGCTTCTCACAGTTGCCATCAATCCTTGGCATTCTCTGGCTTGTAGTTACATGACTCCACTCTCTTCCTTCATCTTCACATACTTTATCCACTGTGTGTTTTTCTAAATATCCACGTTCTTACAAGCACACTAGTCATTTGATAAGGGCCCATCTGAATCCACTTAACTTGATTGACTAGGCAAGATTTTATTTCCAAGTAATGTCATATTTACAAGTACTGAGAGTTGGGATTTGAACATCTTTTTGGGGAAGACACAATTCAACCCACATTACTCACATCCCAAAGCTCCTTACCATGCACGCATCTCCAGTCCTTTGGTATTCAAAGTGTGATACACAGACCAGTAGCACCAGCATCCCCTGAAACTTGTAAGAAATATAAACTCTCCAGACCACCTGAATCAGAATCTTTATTTTAATGTGAAACCTTGGTGATTTATATGCAAATTAGAATTTGAGACACATACCCCTCAAAACGACCTGCCTACTTTTCTTATTATTTCATCTGCTCCTCACTCCATATCACTCTGTCATTACTCTGCTTGTGTCATATTGGCCTTTTTGATATTCCTGTAGTGCCTGGACTATTCCTTCCCCAGATATTTGCATGGGGTTATTTACTCACCTGCACCAGATATAAAGATATAGTTATTATATATAGTGATATATAATTATACATATTTTATCACACATATATAAAACACAGTGCAGTTGTTCCTGGTTAATCTATTTTAAATATACATCCTATCAACCCCATTCTTCTTCCTTGCTTTTTCTAATTCAAAAGTATTTATTTTCACAAATTTTTATCCACAGCTAAATATTACAGTGACTATTCCAAGCATTTTTCTATAAAGAAAGGTGTAGTTTACAGATTTGTTCAAAGTGGAAAAATATTTTCATCAGTAGTCTTTCTTCCCTGGTGTTAGGTTCACCCCTGAATATGTTCTGAACTCTTCCGGAGAGGCAGTCCTTCATCTAAATGTCAGTGGGTGGCAAAATGTTATATTCAAATCTGGATTATTCTGACACAGTGTCACTTCAGAAAGTAGCTTAGTTTCATTTCTGGTTGATCCCCTTTGTTAGAATTAGGAATTTAAAAAAAAAATCTTTTGTATGTAATGATCTTTATAATAATAATAAATCCTGCCCTGTGTTTGTCATTGGCATTAACCTCTGTCTACACCCTCTGATTCTCTAATTATGGCTCCAGTGGGTACAAAAGGTGAATTATGGTTATTTGGCTCATGCAGCAAATTAATTGGAGAAACTGATGACAAATAGTCTGTGAAGAACTACAAGGTCTTGCCCCATGCTGTCCCATTTTAGTTACCATTTAGTTATGTAGGCATTACACAAATGCCTCAAATTAGGACACCTTTGCTGTCTCAGTAGGTCGAGTGTATGAAAATTTACTTTATGCAGAAGAAATAAATTCTAATTTATTGGTTACCAGAATCTTAATGTATGAAGGTTCTAAGTAAATATTTGATGAATTGATGGTAGCAGCGTTAATTTTTAAATGTTCCAAGCTCCTAGTTTTTTCGTTTTGTTTTTACAAAAGCCTTAAAGTTTGGTACTAAGGAAATCAAAGAATCAACTACCACCATCATGCTTCAGGGAAAGGGAAAAATGTCTACCTTTGGGTCTAATCTGCCTCCCAGGCGAGCCTACAGGTACTAGAACTCTAACTGCAACTATGATGGCACAGGGAAAATGCATGTATGTAATATGCTTGTCGGCTTCAGCAACAACTCATGTATGCATACACATTTACTATATGTAAACAGGTCCCGTATAATACTTAAAACACAAGTGTTTGATCTATAAATATTTGATTCTTAGTATTTAAAATGCTTCTAATGTTTTAAAAGACAAAACTCCACCATGATATCACATTGAACATTAAAATTATTCCCACAGCAACACTTTTTTCAGAGAAACAATTGAGAAGTCAGTTATCTTAGTCACCACTAAAGGCACCTGGTAAGAAAAGCCTGAACTAAATTTTAAATATTAAAAAGTTAAAGAGACATCTAGTGCAGAGTTCAAACCTTTATGTTGAATTGTTTAAGAGTCATTACTGATTTCATGACGCTGATAAGTGTTTGAGATGAAATGATTTTTAAAAATGCAGAGAAAATGCTAACAGAATATTATATAGTTCCCCTAAAGATGCTTCTTCTAATCTCCAAGTATTAAATAAGATTGATCTAAATGTTAAGTACATATAAAGTATATATTTGCTAGTCATCTATAAATTTTAAGTACAATTCCAGTGATATACCTGTATCTTTTGGAAGAGAAGAACTAAACCTGCCGTTTCTTAGGCTAAGTAGACAATTCATAAGGTCCTTCCTTCCCCATTTATTCTGATTGCCAAGCTTTTGTTCAGTAAGCTCTTGGCATCTAGTGATTAACCAGTGACAGCAGACAGTAGTGACCAAGAGAGATGGAGAGAATGATGGTGTAAGACAGTATATAAGGACAGTAAGCCACTGTATTTGTGGAACCACTGCATGTCAAAACTCCTTAACACTCTAACAAGGCATTTTTGGTCTTTTAAGATTAAGGACAGTCCTTACATAAGGGACTCAGTTTCAAACTAAAGTGCATCAAAAAGCAAATTATACTTCACAAACAACTTTAAAGAGGTAGCCACAAACCCAGTTGTTTTAGATTGGCCTTCTAAATGAAGTCAGCACATGGATCCATGTGTGAGTGTCGTGGACGTCATTGATTATGTAACTGTAACTGAAAGAAAAAGGCACAGCTCTGCAGACACCCAAGAGAAGCTGGCATGTTTAATGTGGATGTAGAAGGGATAATGTCCATGGCAACTGATTGGAACACAACTGTCAGCAGCCTCAACACAGGCTAAGACTGGGTTAAGCCCCAGGAGATGCAGAGAATGACTGAGGAAGCTGTGGTCTAAGGGCACAGTACAGAAGGTAGCTTGGAGTGTGCTGTGTTTCCTAGAGCCTTTTAAGTTGGGTGGTTGAGTAAAGGAGGGTGGAGGCAGGCTGTTCTACTTCCAATCCATGGATAAATCTCATTTTCTCAATGTAATACAGAGGCTGTTCTTCTATGATTGGCAAACACTATTTGTTCTTATCATGGAAACAGCATACTGCTATCAAGAAATAGGGAAAAGACAGTAAAAAAAAATGTGTGGAAAGAATATGGAATACCATGCAGCCATAAAAAATGATGAGTTCATGTCCTTTGTAGGGACGTGGATGAAGCTGGAAACCATCATTCTCAGCAAACTATCGCAAGGACAAAAAACCAAACGCCGCATGTTCTCACTCATAGGTGGGAATTGAACAATGAGAACACTTGGACACAGGAAGGCGAACATCACACACCAGGGCCTGCTGTGTGGTGGGGGGAGGGGGGAGGGATAGCATTAGGAGATATACCTAATGGAAAAGACGAGTTAGTGGGTGCAGCAAACCAACATGGCACATGTATACATATGCAACAAACCTGCACATTGTGCACATGTACCCTAGAACTTTAAGTATAATAAAAAAAGTGTGGAAAGAATAATATGGGTTTCTAACTGAATGCTTGCTTTTGAAGAGCCCAAAAACAAACAAACAAAAAATTCTAAGAGCAGCAAACATCTACGTCTGTTATATTACTGAATTATTCATTTTTAAAATCCTTATTTCATAGGAGAGATATTTACAATTTTGAATTACAACGTTTGAAAAACTTTGAAAATAACCTGAAAGGGGAAAGTTGACCTAAGCCATTTTATTCTCTTAAAAAAACCCCAGACTTTTGTATAATAGTAATCCCTGAACTGAGTATTTTTGAAGGTTTTTCAGATAATCTGATGTGCAAAGTTAGTTTGTTTTACTATTTAGTTGTTTGGAATAGTAGAGCATTATATGAGGCTCTTACTGGAGGCTTAATGGTATTAAGAGATTAAAAGCTTTCACATTGTTTGTTTTTTACATCTATAAATAAAACAAGTTGTTATCATTTTGTAATATTTAGCTTATATACATTTTTTTGTGAGAGTTTTGTGGGACTTGGAAAGTGTATGGACTAGCATCAGACACAAATTATTTTTCCATCTTTCTCACTTGGAGTTTCAGATAGCAGCATTTTAATCATCTCTTCCATTAAACCAAGATTACACAAAAGCGTTTGAGGACACTGAGGACTGGCACTTCTAATTTTGCTTCAGAAACCAGTACTCAAAATGTCTGGTTTGGAGGTCAGTTACACTGCTGTCTTTGTATAATCAGCCATTAAAGAATATTTTGGGGACATTTCTCAGAAGTCTCATCCCCATATTTTTGTTCTTAACACATCTCACCACAAACTCTACCACACCTATGGTTTGCAAACTTTGGGAAGTGTCAGTATATGTCATTATCATGGTTATTAGTACTATTATTTGTTAAAAGCCCTTTGAAGGCAATTTATGTGACTTATATATAGTTAGTATTTTAATTTGGACATTCTCCAGTTATATGCAAAGATTAAAACTCGGCAGCTTCATTTTATAGAATTGGCATCTTTTATATGGCTATGGGGACTGCTTGGTGTCTATAAATTATTATGTATATTTGTTGGACTGAAATCAAACTTAAAATCTTCCACATTTCAAGTGTTTTTATTCTGAGCAGTACGTACAAAAAATAACGCCATAGTTGTGTTAATTCTGTATAGTTCAGCACCCTCCACAGGCTGTCAATCTCTGATTTGAACTACTTTTACCAGATTTAACAGATCCTTGAATTTACTTTACTGTCTATACTTCCTTTTTGCTCACATTGGGAATCAGATTAAACATGCATCTACTTCATTGAGGAACTCCAGATTGAGACATGCTGGGATTGACTCCATGGTTAGGGAAGATGGATGAAATGGAAACAAAACAGGAAACATGTGCTTGGCATCTAACAGCAGTTGCTGAGGGTCATTCTGCTCTTGTAGTTGTGCCTGGATCGTTTGTATAAAGGCCACTGTTACCTGTTCTTCAAATTCATTCAGGGGAGGCTAAAGGTTTAAAATTTGGACAATCTGCTGGGTGCTGAGAGAGGCACACAGGGAGCAGATGGCCTCTGCATCCTCCTGGGTTTTCTTCTTTAATTGCAGGAGCTGGGCTGCTTGGATCAGAGGTTCCATGGTCTGAACTACTCCACTCTGGTGAAGGTTTCTTCCCCAAAGCCACTCCTCAAGCTGACTTATATTGTACCTGAGTTGCATGCCTGTGCTCCAAGAGCAGACGTCCTTCCGCAGGAGCTAGGTCATTAAGAGTCACTGCGTTGATCATGTAGAAGAGCTGTTTGAATACCTGCAGGATGATCTCAGGGTCCAAGCCCTGGTCACACATGACTGTATGAAAGGCATTCATCTGGCGGATGATAGCTTCCAGGCGGTATGAGTTATCCCCATCTGCCATGCTGGAGGAGTGCTTCTGGGAGCCAGTGGGCTTCACACCAGATAGACCCTGAATGCTGTCATTTTCCAACATGGCAGAAACTATCATCGGCTGTAACACACCCTCGGCAATTTTAAAGAGCTGCTGGTAGATCTGAATGGAAAGGTCGCTCAGTACCTGACGGTATTCGGTGAGGTCAAAGTTCTTAAGGCAGTGTTCGTTGTGCTTTGCTGTATTCTGAGTCATGAAGCCCTCATCCCCGCTGTACTGCTTCAGACAGTGAAGAAGGTGGCAGGTGTTGGATAACAGGAATGACGTCATCTCAAAGTCATCACTGTGCTTCTTCAGGACTTTCTTAATGCCGTTGGTGGTGGAGGTCATCAGGGAGTGCACCTTGAGATCATCGTTGGTTTGGTCCGCGAGCCGGATGCACATGTAGAGGATGTAGGCGGAGAGACAGGGCACTGTGTCCAACAGCATCTGGGGCTTCAAGTCTGTCACCAGGTTGAGGATGAGGAGGGCCTCGCCCTCTTTGCGGCACTCCAACATGCCCTGGAAATCCTTTTCTTTCCACTGAACTGGGACCTGCCTGTTGAACTCATGGCGCTTCCTCTCACTCTGGGCCAACGCCTGGGCAGCTTCCTCATGTAAATCTTCAGTTGCTTTTAGAGCTTCCTCTCATTCTTTTCCTCTTACTTTATTTTTCACCACAGAGCTTCCTATCAACTAGTATGTTGAATATTTTGCTTATTAACTTTGTTTATTGTCTTCTCCCTCGATTAGAATATTAGCTACTTGAGTACAAGGATTTGAGCCTGTTACATTCACTGCTGAATTTTAGACTCCTGGAAGATACCCAGCATTCAATAGAGACCACACAATAAATATATGTCAAATAAATGAGTCTGTAAGTTCATCAATTTATTTGCCCATATGCATTAACTTTTGCCCATATAAATCCAATAACTCTTGTTATATGAAATCAACTGTACTATTTGCTTCATGTAATAGTTTAAAAATACATATGTGTGTATATAAATATATACAGAGATCATAGACCTAACTCCATCTATATATGTGTGTATGTGATATATAGAAATATATACACACATATATATGACTGACATATATATAAATATATACACACACATATATATGACTGACATATATATAAATATATACACACACATATATATGACTGATATGTATATCTCTCTTGTGTAAGTGGAATCAGGCAGTATTCAAACATACTTTCAATTAGTAATGACTATAGTTTAAATAAGAGAAAGTTTAAAGATTCTGATAGTTTAAATAAGAGAAAGCAAACATCACTACTACTAGTATTTGGGGAAAAAGATTACAAATAGAGATATTATGATAAAAGCATACAATATTTTTTATGTTTGTGCGCTTAGATCCATGTTCAAACTTTGGCTCACCTATACATGTATAGCACATTGGAATATGTGCTACAGTATGCCATTTATAAAGACTGAAAATAATAGTTTATAAACATTATTATTTATTTAGCAACCTCATAAGCTTGGTTTCAAAAATACCTGAATTACATAGCATAATCCCAGTGCTGGAGAACAGAACAGTAGCTGCCAAGGGTTAGGGTCGGCTGGAAGATGTGATTAGTGAGGGATAACGTGAAAACATGTACTTTGTTTGTGGTGATAGAGCAGTTCTGCATCCAGATAATGGTAATGGTTACATAAATCCACACTTCATAGATCTATACACACACATCACACATACATTCAAACACATCTGTACATGTAAAATCCTTAGAAATATGAATAGGGTCTGAACCTAAGTTAATGGTATGGAAACAATGTCAATTTCCTGATTTTGGCAATGTACTAGGTTAAGTTAGATATAATCATTGGGGAAAGTTGCCTGAAAATAGCATGGTCATTCATTTTACTTCTTTTTTTAACTTCTTATGAGTCAAATTATTTTAAAACAAAAGGTATTAAGCAAAGACAAAAATTTGAAAGTTCAAAAATCAAAGCCCATATGAATTTGGACATATTATTTGATTTCTTTTGTAGACCTTGATTTCTTCACCTGTAAAAATGGAATAATAGTATGATTCCTATCTCATTATTGCTATGCTTAAATCATACCACTTAAGTAGGTGCCTGTATATATATATATATATATATATATATATATATATATATATATATACATACACACACACACATATCTATATATATGACTGACTTTGACTGACTTAGGTCTATGATTTAAGATGTGGAAATTGGAATTTACCAGAACATTTGTGAATTGATTTGTTCTTATGCTTCACTAGCTGTCATGGTAAAGGACACCTTAGCCCAAGCTCATAGTATGAAAACACGTAAATGCTTCTATGTGCCCTAAATTTCTCTTGGTTAAGCTTTCTACTTTTTTTTTTGTTTATGACACAGAAATATGATCACAAAGCACATGTGTACCACAATACAAATTTCATGTATTTTGTCTCTGTATTATGTTTTCTTTCCATTTATGTCTTTTCAAGCTAACAATTCCCAATCTCCTAATACAGTGGGCCTTTCAAGCACTTACTTCTTTAGATAGTCATGTTCTTTTAACTAGGATCTCATAGATAAAGTTATCAAAGCATGGAAAAGGATGAAGAACCTTGACTCCTTCCCCTCTCCATCCCCCACTGAATTCAATTCGTCCCAACCTTGTATTTGTTTTATTCTTCTGGAAAAGAAAATATAGTCATCACCCTCAATAAATATACAATCTAGTTAGAGAGATATGACTTCAGAGTAGGATTTCTTAGTTTTGATTTTGATTATCTTCCTTTAGATATTTGGAAAGACCAAAATGCTGTATGCTTATGGACTGCAAACAGTATGAGTGGAAAACAAAAGTAATAAATGTTACTTCTGACTTTATTATAATGTTAGGATTGTTAATAGTTAACAATTACTTACTGAAGGAAGATTTAAATTGAATATTTCTAAATGGGAAAAATTTAAAAAGCAGGTGAGTCCATAAATTTTAGGACCCAGAATCTACTGAGCTAAAAACTCAATGAGAGTTAATTCTCTGTTGGTGTTGTAGCAATTCTTGAGGTTATTTGTGAAGACTTACATGAGAGCTAAACAATAAAAGAGGACTGAGACCACTTCAAGGGATGGAGAACACCTTCCTTTCTTGTTCAGATGATGCTCTGAGACATTGCTGTTTATTTTGACTGCCTCTTTTTAAACAAACTTCCACTTAGGAACTTAAAAACCACCTGTAAACCAACAGCCACAAAAAAGTGGGGAACTCAGTGTTTAAGCATTATTGTTCACCAGACATGGTACTGGGCACTTACATAAATGGTATGGTTTAAGCATGACAATAATGAGATAGAAATTCTACTATCATTCCATTTTTACAGGTGAAGAAATCAAGGTCTACAAAAGAAATCAAATAATATGCTCAAATTCATAAAGGCTTTGATTTTAGAAATTTTAGATTTTTTGTCTGTGTTTAATACCAATTATTTTTAAATAATTTGACTCACAAGAAGTTAAAAAATAGTAAAAAGAATGACCGTGTTATTTTCAGCCAACTTTCCCCAATAATTATATCTAACTTAACCCAGTATGTTGCCAAAATCAGGAAATTGACATTGTTTCCATACCATTAACTTAGGTTCAGACCCTATTCATATTTCTAAGGATTTTACATGTACTCTTGTGTAGGTGTGTGTGAGTGTATGTGTGATGTGTGTGTATAGATCTATGAAGTGCGGATTTATGTAACCATCACCATAATCTGGATGCAGAACTGCTCTATCACCACAAAGAAAGTACATGTTTTCATGTTACCCCTCACTAATCACATCTTCCAACCAACCCTAACCTTTGGCAGCCACTGATCTGTTCTCCAGCACTAGGATTATGCTTTGTAAATCAGGTATTTTTGAAGCCAAAGCTCATGAGGTTGCCAAATAAATAATAATATTTTATAAAATGTTATTTTCAGTCTTTATAAATGGCATACTGTAGCACATATTCAAATGTGCTATACATGTATAGGTGGCAAAGTTTGAACACAGATCTAAGTGCACAAACATAAAAAATATTGTACACTTTTATCACAATATCCCTATTTGTAATATTTTCCCCCAAAAGCTAGTAGTAGTGATGTTTGCTTTCTCTTATTTAAATTATCCGAATTATAGTCATTACTAATTGAAAGTATGTTTTAATACTGCCTGATTCCACTTACGTAAGATATCTAAAATAGTTAAACTCCTAGAAATAGAGTAGAATACTGGTTGCCAGGGTCTGGAAGGAGGGGAAATTGGGGTTGCTGTTCAATGGGTATAAAATTCAGTTATAACAGATGAATAAGTTCTAGAGATCTGCTGTCAACAGAGCACCTATAGTTAACAAGATTGTATTGCACAGTTAAAAATTTATTAAGAGGATATATCTCATGTTAAACATACTTACTTCATTAACAGAAAAAAATGGAATATTTTACACATAAAATTACATATATGCCTGAATTTCACATTTCGTTTCACAAATTGTACTGGTGCTTAAAAGGTATTTTTGCATTAAAAAACATCTAACTGAAGGAAAAGTTACAAATGAGTGATCATTCATAAATACAATATAATCCTAGGGACCGCTGTTTTTCCATTTTGAACACCCTCCACAATTAGTCTTAATAATTATGTTGACTGAATGCAAAATAATGATTTCTCAAGAGGCAATAGAAAATAGAGAATAAGTCCATTCTTGAGAAAATTTATAATTAGTGAAAGTAATTTTTTCATCCTCTTTTCTTATTTAAATCTCAAGTACTCTCTGCCACTCTGTGCTCTTCTTTCTGGGGTAAAATATGCCAGCTATCCACCGTCAGGGCATTCTCTAACCACTCCTCCTTAGAGATGTCTACAGACTTTTACTCAGCTAGACTGTCTTGTTGCCTGTCTTCATATCAACTTCGCAAGACGTGTGGACCATTCTCTTAGGCCCCTGCATGGCAGTGCATAATGTATTCCAGGCTAATTATCTAATGAGGTTCACTAAATTAATCTTTTATTATATCACATAAAATACTCTTAGATCTAACAGTACAAACATTTCCAATTATGGGCCGGGCGCCGTGGTTCACGCCTGTAATCCCAGCACTTTGGGAGGCCGAGCTGGGCGGATCATGAGGTCAGGAGATCGAGGCCATCCTGGGTAACATGGTGAAACCCCGTCTCAACCAAACATACAAAAAATTAGCCAGGTGCGGTGGCGGGCGCCTGTAGTCTCAGCTACTCACAAGGCTGAGGCAGGAGAATGGCGTGAACCCAGGAGGCGGAGCTTGCGGTGCGCCCAGATTGCGCCACTGCACTCCAACCTGGGCGACAGAGGGAAACTCTGTCTCAAAAAAAAAAAAAAAAAAAAAAGAAGAAAATTCCAATTACATCACTCCTTTGAATTACATCCTAAGACTAATTTAAAGAGGGTATCACAAAAATAGAAATGATAGCGACAGAAAATGGTCCCAATTTTCACTACACTGTTGCTAAGACCACCTTGCCACTCATCATTATAGAATGCCTTTCAGGTAACATAATAAGAGCCATTTTTAAAATGGAACCTTACTATACCCATGTGTGACAGGCAGAGGGACTCTATTATTATTCATAGTTTACAGATGAAGCAGTTAGATTTGCCCCAGGTCACTGGCTTATTCAATGACAGGCTAAGACAGAACCAAGTTTTATTCTCAAATAAGACCATAAAGAAGAGGATTGATCCAAATGACTTATAAAATTTTCTTACAGCCCCAGTAACAATAATAGATAAGCTAATGATTTCTTTAATAAAAATCTGATATGACAAGTAGAATGTGACAGAATCAACATGATCAATTAATCAGATTTGGGTAGTAGTTTGGTAGCTAAATGTTGGATACTCTTGGACATAAAGATGACAGTATTTATGACGATAAAGATGACCATTCCACAGTTTGAGAATTTCTACAGAGAGAGAGATGAAGAAAATTTCTGAAGTAATTGAAACTGTGTGAAGATGAATTATTTGGTTGATGAACTGCTATCATTCTAAATGGACTTCACTTTCTCAAAAAATAACGCATAAAGATGAAATATGTATTGAATGAAAATTATATTTTGTTTTTCCATTTTTTACCTAATAAAAAATCAGAAAAACAGATTTTTTTTAAAAAAAGAAAAGATGACTATAATAGACAATGGAGACTAGTAGAGGCAGTAGGGAGGGCAGCCAGGGTTGAAAAACTACAGGGTACTAAGCTTCGTATCTGTATGATGAGATCAGTCATACCCGAAACCTCAGCATGGCACAATATACCCGGGTAACAAACCTGCTTAGACATTTGTGTAAAATGAGATGATTGCAGGGTAGTTTTAAAAGTCATTCCCCTTATGAAAATATGGAATGTTGTGCACATTATTTCATAGACTTTGTGCTTAGTTAAAGGTCTTAACCAAAAATTCTAAATGATTTCTCCTATTAATAAATAAATATCAATAACATCATTTTAATGGGCTCTATGAAGACCTTATTTTGTGATTGTATCATAATTCAACAAGTGCCCTATTGTTGAACACTTAGGCTCTTTCTGATTATTTCCCTTTACAAAAAATGCTATATTATAAATTGTTGTATGTATTTTTAAGTTATGAAATTTTTAGGGCAAAAGGTGAATAAATGTAAGGTCTTTGATAAATACTGTCAGAATTCTCTCCATAGAGGATACGATAAAGCATCTTTTCATTTGAAGGAGCAAGAATAACTGCTAAATACTTCTGAGACTTCCAGTACTTTTTTGGTTTTAAGTTTTTTTTGTTGTTTATTTGGTTTTTTGGAGGTTTTCTGTTTTGTTTTATAAGTAGGTTTCAGTATTACTAAGTATTCAGTCATGGTGGATATTCGAAGAATAATTTCTCTCTTTGGGATTATTCCTCTAACACTATGAGCAAGTATCACTGTGTTCTTTCTCTAAAGGAAAATATAAAGCATAGACAAATTAAATGCTGCTCAGATTCTAAAACTATGAAAATATAACAATGGAGAAACAAATAGCAAGTCTGTAGCTACTCAGTGACTTTAGCATTGAGTGGATCCTAAAATGCCTATTTTGCACAGAATGAAAAAGATACAGCAGGTTCCTTTGGAAGATCAAAGTGAGAAAATTGACTACAGCTTTAACAGCCTTAAAATAAATTTTTGGCAGAATGGAAAAGTATGCATAATTGAGAAAAGTACACTAATCTGTAGAATAAAATAGATATAAAAACAGGCTAAACCGTAATGCTGCTTGCCTGTTCTTTTCACAACAATCTTCCACCAGTCCCTGACTGCTGTGTTTAGGGAATCAAAGTTTAGAGCTGAAAAAAATAGGAGGTTGGAGAGTTTAGGAGGAAGGCAGTGTAGGGCTGTGTAAATTGCAGAGAAGTCGGAGCCAGAAGACTTCAGTGGCATGCGATTGTGGATGGGCTATGAAATCTGGAAGCCTGCCTTTAAATACCAACTCAGACATTTACTAATCCTATGATCCCAGGCAAATACCATATCCTCTCTTTGGCTCAGTTTCTACATTTTTAAATAGAGATAAAAATAGTGCCTTACTGCCGGGCGCGGTGGCTCAAGCCTATAATCCCAGTAGTTTGGGAGGCCGAGGCAGGCGGATCATGAGTTCAGGAGATTGAGACCATCCTGGCTAACACGGCGAAACCCCATCTCTATTAAAAATGCAAAAAATTAGCTGGGCGCGATGGCTCACGCCTATAATCCCAGCACTTTGGGAGGCCGAGGCGGAAGGATCACGAAGTCAGGTGATCGAGAGCATCCTGGCTAACAAGGTGAAAACCCATCTCTACTAAAAATGCAAAAAATTAGCCGGGCGTGGTGGTGGGCGCCTGTAGTCCCAGCTACTGGGGAGGCTGAGGCAGGAGAATGGCATGAACACGGGAGGCGGAGCTTGCAGTGAGTCGAGATCGCGCCACTGTACTCCAGCCTGTGCGACAGAAGGAGACTCCGTCTCAAAAAAAAAAAAAGTGCCTTATTTTCCCAGTGCCTGACTCATATTATTTATTAAATATTAGCCATTCTTTTATTATATAACTAGATTGGAACTGGGCAGGTCACCTTACCTTGTGTCTCAATTTCTTCAACTGTAAAATGAAGTAGTTAGACAATGTGAGCATGTGATATCACAACTAGATGTGAAAGTCTATGGTCCTATCACAACAGCAACAACAACAAACTCACTGGATGCTATCATGCTACCATTAGAGTAGGTTTGGAAATGATCCGAAGCCAGCAAAGTGAATATGAAAATAAAGAATTCAAAGCACAGTAGGGGAGAAAAGGAGAGAGGGGAAATAAGAAAAGTCACTTTTACAGATAGATTTTTTACATCTATATTTATCATCTGATACTATAATTATATCAAATATGTGATTGATTGCATAGGCAATAAAGTTACTATAAAAGTCATTTGTGCATTGCAAGATGAGTGGTTTTTTCCAACTTCCTTTTGTAAACCAATAAGTGAATGAGGCAGATCTCAAGTGATTTAGAGATTTTGCTTTGCAAGGTGGAGGATACACCTGGGAAAAAGGATCACAAGTCACAAGTAGGTGATGTCCTGTGCTTTTTCTAAAGAGGGTTTTGGGAACTTCAATATTTAAAGGAGAAAGAGGAAGCAGGCAGGAAATTAAAACAGGGGAGGAAAAGAAGGAGAGAGGGAAGGCAAGAAAGCTAATGGCTACATTCTTGTGAGGCTCTGATTAGCGCTCAGTGAATCTATATGTTACATGTGGCAAAAACAGGAGGAAGGAGTCAGTTGTGCATTCATCCTCTCTCTCAGGAAATCTACATTTTACATAAGTTAAAGTAAGCATATGAAATTACAGCTGTTTGGGAACAAAAGGATGGCAGTTTTTGCATGACTCAGGTTCCAAGCTTAATTTTCCTTTGTCATAGTGAGTTTGGGGTCCTGAGATTTTATTTTTCTTTCACACTTTCTACCAATATAAAGCTTCCTCATAGATGCCTTCTTTTTTCAAACATTAACAACCCTCATGGTTTTCTCTCATTTTAAGTACAGAAAACATAATACTGTACAATAATTTTATCTGTCTTAAATACAAGACTGCTTATGATTCACTTAAAATAAAAAAAATGGCTCCACATTTCTGGTTTTTAGTTGGATTATGATTTCAACCAAAAATCAGAGCTTTTTAACCTTGAGTTTGAGTTTCACACACCCAGTAAAGTGGAAATATAGACTTTTTCTTAGGACAGTGTTATGACACTCAAAAGAATCGTGGCCAAACTTAATTACCTGTTGCAAACATCACTGCAGTTTTTTACTGAACTATCAGAGACTTTCTTGTGCTTATCACAGTGTATATGCTAAATGCATATTACAGGGCCAGGCACGGTGGCCCATGCCTATAATCCCAATGCTTAGACAGGCCAAAGCAGGAGCATTGCTTGAGGCCAAGATTTTGACACCTGCCTGGGCAACATAGCACAACCCCATCTCTAATTTTTTTTTTTTAATTAGCCAAGCATGGTGGTAGGTGCCTGTAGACCAAGATACTTGGGAGGCTGAGATGGGAGGATCAATTGAGCCCAGGAGTAAGGTTACAGTGAACTATGATCACACCCCTGCACTTCAGCCTGGGTGACAGAGTGAGACCCTGATTCTAAAAATAAAAAATAAATTAAAAATACATAAATACATAAATAAGTATTATGGAATCAACAAATAAATAAATTGAAAAAAGGATTGCATAAAATTACTTAGTAATGAGGCCTTTGTTGTCTATCCTTATATAAAATAAATCCCCAGGCCCCCACATCCCCCTTACTGTTCTTATTTTTCTCCATACCATTCATAGTCATGTTATACTACATATGTATTTGTTGATGGTCTTTCTCTTACTGGTAGAATGTAAGCTCCATGATAGAAGAGACGTTGTTGATGTTTTCCTTTGTATTTTTTTCACTGCTTAATTCCCAGTGCACACAGTAAGCACACAATAAATATTTACTGTATGGATATTTAAGCAAGTCACTTCCCTCAATTTCTTCAAATTATTTATGTCACTTTGAAGGTAAAATCTCTCTTCTATACATCATTTTTCCTTCAATCTCCACTTTTAATATCTGTCACTGGCAAACGTAATAAGTATACTCATTGTTCAGGTCAATAATGAGAAATTTTAAGCACTTTATTAAATATTTATTGAGTGTTCCTCTATAATGGACACTCTACTATACATTTCTGCCTTATTTGTGGAATGTATTCAATGTAATTATGCCACACAGGTAGACTTCCAGATCCTTGTGTCAAACTTACTTTCCTTGGCTTTGTTGGAGAATACATACTGTTATGAAGCTCACTTTAAGGCAAATATTTCCTGAAAATACAAAACTGATAGATATATGTATGTAGGTTTCCTTCTTATATGTCTTTTACAAGCAATGAAGTTGTATATCTCCTTTAGTGTTTAATGTGTTTCATCAGATAATGCCCTAGAAGTTTTATCAAATTTTTCTGTCCATCTTTTGAAGGTGTATGAGTGAAAAAATGCAGTCTGCTGCTTCACTAATAAAACTAGGACAAACGCCATTCCAACTGAAATATGTGAAACACTTGGTTTTATTAATTTGAAGCATTTTAAACCTCTAAATTTGGACTCGAGTAAAGACATTTCATAGAAAAACTGAAATATTTTTTGTTTATTTTTTAATCTTGATAACTTGTAATAGTTTACAGCCACAGTGGCAGCTTTTATATGTGTACATGCATTTAAATACAGTTTCATAAATAGCCATGTGGCAAAATATCTGCCTCCAGGCAAAAAAAAAATATTTGCCACTAAATGAACATCTTTAAGTAATATTGAAAATAGATGTGAGGTAATTTTTTATCTAAAGTGACTGTAGCCTATATTAAGACATGCTCACTGTAACAATTCAAGTTTTAAAATCCTTGTTTTATAACTCAAAAATGTGTCTTTTCCAAAAAACACATCTTTACATTTATTGCTATTGTACATTCATTTGGCAGGAAACAGGGATGTTTGATGTCTTGCAATGATAAAACAATCATATTCAATAGAAAGTTATCTCACATTCTGCATGACTTTTGAACATTCTATAAGATAATTACATAAGTGAAAAACCAATTTGTAGATATCTGAGTGAGTACAACCATTTAATAAATGTGAATAAAGCATTTCAGAACATTTTAATGTACACTGCATTTTCTGATAGTAAGATTTTAGGTTAAAATAAGATTATACTTTAAAAAGCTTACCATTATGAAAAAAAATTATATCACTGTTGGCAATGCCTTTTTCATATTTGAGATGCTAGTCCAACATATTGCATATCCATTTGTTTTTGTTTGATTTTATTGTTATTACATTCATGGTAATACTAAAATACACACACACACAATTACTTAGGTTTTTTTTCCGATAAAAAGCCCAAAGAAAAATGCTGACAACGTTCAGCTGAAATTTTGAAATTGGGTTTTATAATTCTGCCCACATAGCAAAAGCTGAAATGGTCTATGAAGATGCAGTTTTTGAAAGAATGAAGCAAGTAGTAAAACCAACAAAACCAAGTGAAAATTATACAAGGAAACACAATAATAAGTTAACAAAAAAATACACTTTTTCTTCATGTTGACAAGACATGATTTATTCCTTTCTAATATTTTCCCATCTCTTATAAATATATAAGCTTGCTTGTTAATACTTTGTCTAACTCTAATTTTTATTGTTACCAATGTCATTAATACTTTATTTTTCTTTATTTCTCTTGTAAAGTGACTTCTGAACTTCCTAGTTTGTTTAAACTATCGCAAGGTCAGAAAACCAAACACTGCATATTCTCACTCATAGGTGGAAATTAAACAATGAGAATACTTGGACACAGGCAGGGGAACATCACACACTGGGGCCTGTCATGGGGTGGGGGGCTGGGGGAGGGAGAGCATTAGGAGAAATACCTAATGTAAATAACAAGTTAATGGGTGCAGCAAACCAACACAGCACATGTATACAGATGTAACAAACCTGCACGTTGTGCACATGTACCCTAGAACTTAAAGTATAATAAAAATAAATAAATACATAAATAAAATAAAATGAATAAAAAATAAATACAAACATATTAATCATAAGTAAATGAAACATCTGATAATCTCATTATGTCTGGTAGTAATGTCACCTCTGAGTATTTAAATATTCATCTACATATTTCTTTGCTAAATTTCCTTTTATTTCTCCTTTATATTAAACTTTTTTTTAGAGAGCACAACTCCAAAGCATCTTTTATTAATATAGAAAGGTCATATTTAGCAAAAGACACAAGGCAAGGAAGTGTCAGGCCTGAGGTCTGAGCTGTGCTGAGGGAGAAAGAGGCTCTGGACAAGTGCTGGGAAGGGCTGAGTGGTGGGGGCCACAGAAAGTTCCAGTGGGCAACACTGTCTGCAGGTCATGGGTGGGACTCACGGGGACCTCGCTGCTAACTCTTGTTGCGTTGGCGGGGTGGGGTGGGGAGGGGGGTCCTTAGTGCTGCCACCTGCAGTGAGAACCGCCCCTTGGTTCCTGGAGGGCACCCATCAAGGGACACAGGACAGGAAGCCCAGGATGGTTAGTGCAACTAGGGATGAAGGCCAGGGAGAAGCAGGTGCTCTGAAGTCCAGACACAGAGGCCTAGGAGCTTCCTGTTAAGTGTGGGCGTTCCGCTCTGTCTCTACCAGGCACTCTGACTAGGGATGGATGATACCTCTCTTCAGGCGCTCCGCGGCGCTCTTGCTGCCAGCATAGGTGGGCCGGATCCCTTTGCCCATCTCCCCTGTGACCAACAGCAGTTCCGTGTAGGTGCTCTGGGAGCCCTGGGCACCAGGTGGTTTCATGGCCTGCATACAACCGACGGTAGGCGGTCCAAAGTCTTTAAACAGCGGTCTGCAAGGGGCAGTGGCTCCCGGCCCTGAGCCCGACGGCGACGGGACGCTTCCTGTAGGGACCGGAGTGCCTGGCCCAGGGGTGCTGAAGCCGGGGGTGCTGCTGGGGGCAGGGGTGGTAGGTTTGTAGGACATCCCCAACTCCTGGGCGCTGGGGAAGCCAGCAGGCTGCTCTTCGGGGGTTGGCTGCGGGACCGCTCAGCAACGATCTGATTGGCAAGAGGGCTGCACGCCCCCTGGTAAATCTATATTAAACTTTTTAACTGCAATTTGTATTAATCTAAATACAGTTCAAATATTCTCCATGAAAATTTCACATTTGAGTTGAGACATCCTAAAATGTAAAATACACAATGGATTTCAAAGATTTCATATGAAAAAAGAATGCAAACTATCTCTAATAATTTTTATATTGATTATATATTGACCCAATATTTTGGATATATATTGGGTTAAATAAAATATACAATTTAAAAAAATTATGCTACATTTTTGTTAAAAAATTTAAATAAACTATATATGAAATTATTTCTTGGGATAGAAAAGGGGACATGATTAAATATTTACTTAAACTTTTTTCAAAAACATATCTTTAAAACAGATTTTCAAACACAACAAAAGTATTTTAATTTTGAATAGGTAAAATAAACTTATTCCTGCTGAAATTCAATCATGGCATGATTTCCTTTGTATGCATTTGAGGACTCTGTTTATAACCCAGATAAAAACATAAAACTTTTGAAACTCTTCTAAGAATGTCTAACACAAATTACCTGTATAGATATCATGGCACAGACGATGCTGAGGCCGGACTGACTGAAGAAGAACAGGCTGAAGATGCTGTACTCACACAGCAGCTGGCCCCCAGGTTACCCGCCCTTCATGTACATGGCGATGGTCACCTGGCTCACCAGCAAAGTGAACAACAGGTCGGTGGCAGCCAGCCGCATAACTGTGTAGAAGGTGGTCTCCTTCTGCTCCTTGCGCGACTTGCACAGCACCACGATGGCCACCAGGTTGCCCACCACCCCGAAAATGGACGGTCCCAAGCTGTCCAGCAGATTGGGCTCCAGGCCAAGGACACATTGGCCTGGGAAGGGGTTAACATGACAGTGGCTGGTGGTACGCAGCCCTGGAGTGCGAAGCTGAGTCTGGAGATGGCAGAAGAGAGACAAAGCCACCATGAGTGAAATGACCACCTGCAGGGCATTAGACCCACGCCCAGGAAACGGGATGCTAACATGACAAGGGAGGAACTCAATCCCACTCTCTGGATTGCAACCACTTACCAACGGCAGCCACCCAAATCTCCAGGCTCCCTCTGCTCCTGCCAGCAGCACACCCTTGCTGATCTTAATATTTATAAACTGAGCCTCCCATTCCTCTTCCTCCCCCCAGCCTATCTCACTCCACTGACAAGACCCATCTCCAGGGAAAGGTAGCTCCCTAGTATTATTCCCGACAGATTCTGAGTTAATAAAATGCACATTGAAACCCTGGAAGACAATTTGGAAATTGCTCTCTTTCCTCCTTGGCTCCCTTGGCAGCGCCCCATCTCCGCGCCCTTTGCCCGATGGCCCACATCCCATGTCACGTGTAGCGGCCCCAGTGGTGGGGCCTAAGACAATGAAACCTAAGACTAATTGGTGTACCTGAGGGAGAAGTGAATTCTAAAGGCTAGGAAAACATATTTGGGGGAATAATCAAGGAAAACTTCCGTGGCCTTGTGAGAGACCTAGACATCCAAATACAAGAAGCACAAATAACACCTGGGAAATTCATCACAAAAAGATCTTAGCCTAGGCACATTGTCATTGGGTTACCCAAAGTTAAGACAAAAGAAAGAATCTTAAGAGCTGTGAGACAGAAGCACTAGGTAACCTATAAAGGAAAACCTATCAAACTAACAGCAGATTTTGCAGCAGAAACCTTAAAAGCTAGATGGGATTGGGGCCCTTTCTTCAGCCTCCTCAAACAAAACAATTATCAGCCAAGAATTCTGTATCCAGCAAAACTAAACATCATATATGAAAGAAAGATACAGTCATTTTCAGACAAACAAATGCTGACAGAATTTGCCATTACCAAACCAGCACTGTAAGAACTGCTAAAAGGAGCTCTAAATCATGAAACAAACCCTGGAAACACATCAAAACAGAACTTCATTAAAGCATAAATCACACAAGACCTATAAAACAAAAATACAAGTTAAAAAGCAAAAACAAAAAACAAAAACAAAGTACAGAGGCAACAGAGAGCATGATGAAAGCAATGGTACCTCACTTTTTAATACTAATGTTGGTTGTAAATGGCTTCAATGCTCCACTTACAAGATACAGAACCACAGAATGGATAATAACTCACCAACTAACTATCTGCTGCCTTCAGGAGACTCACCTAACACATAACGACCTACATAAACTTAAGGAAAGTGGTAGAAAAAGGCATTTCATGCAAATGGACACCAAAAGCCACCAGCGGTAGCTATTCTCATATGAGACAAAACAAACTTTAAAGCAACAGTAGCTAAAAGAGACAAAGACAGACAGTATATAATGGTAAAGGTCTCATTCAACAGAAAAACATGACAATCCTAAACATACATGAACCTAACACTGGAGCTCCCAAATTTATAAAACAATCACTAGTAAACATAAGAAATAAGATAGACAGCAACACAATAATAGTGGGGGACTTCATTACTCCACTGACAGCACTAGACAGGTCATCAAGACAGAAAGTCAACAAAGAAACACTGGATTTAAACTATACTTTGGAACAAATGGACTTAACAGATATATAAGAACATTTCATCCAACAACCACAGAATACACATTCCATGCAACAGCACATGGAATTTTCTCCAAGATAGACCATATGATAGGCCATGAAATGAGTCTCAATAAATTTAAGAAAATTGAAATTGTACCATGCACTGTCTCAGATCACAGTGGAATAAAACTGAAAATCAACTCCAAAAGGAATCTTCAAAACCATGCAAATACATGGAAATTAAATAACCTGCTCCTGAATGAGCACTGGGTGAAAAACAAAATCAAGATGGAAATGGAAAAAATTTCTTTGAACTGGATGACACAACCAATCAAGACCTCTGGGATACAGCAAAGGCAGTGCTAAGAGGAAAGTTTGTAGCCCTAAACACCTATGTCAAAAAGTATGAAAGAGCACAAACAGACAATCTAAGTTCACATCTCAGAGAACTGGAGAAGCAGGAACAAGCCAAACCCAATCCCAGCAAACAAAGGAAATAACCAAGATCAGAGCAGAACTAAAGGAAATTGACACAGCAACAACAACAACAACAAATACAAAACATGAATAAAACAAAAAGTTGGTTATTTGAAAAGATAAACAAAATCGATAGACCATTATAAGATTAACCAAGAAAAGAAGAGAGGAAATCCAAATAACCTCACTAAGAAATGAAACAGGGGATATTACAACTGACACCACTGAAATATTAAAGATTATTCAAGGGTACTATGAACACCTTTTGGCACAAAAACTAGAAAACCCAGAAGAGTTGCATAAATTCCTGGAAAAATACAACCCTCCTAGCTTAAATCAGGAAGAAGTAGATACCCCAAGCAGACCAATAAAACAAGCAGCAAGATTGAAATGGTAATTTTAAAATTACCAACAAAAAAAGCCGAGGACCAGACAGATTCACAGCAGAATTCTACCAGACATTCAAAGAATATTTTCTTTCATTCAAAGAAGAAATGATACTAATCCTTTCACACTATTCCACAAGACAGAGAAAGAAGAAACACTCCCTTCTTTCTATGAAGCCAGCATCACCCTAATACCAAAACCATGAAAGGACATAACCAAAAAAGAAAACTACAGACCAATATCCATGATGAACACAGATGCCAAAATCCTTAACAAAATACTATCTAACTGAATCCAACAACATATCAAAAAGATAATCCACCATGATCAAGTGGGTTTCATACCAGTGACACAGGAATGGTTTAACATATGCAAGTCAATAAATGTGATACACCAAATAAACAGAATTTAAAAAAAAACTCACATGATTTTATCAACAGATGCAGAAAAAGCATTTGAAAAAATCTAGCATTGCTTTATGATTAAAGCTCTCAGCAAAATAGGCATACAAGGGACATACCTTAATGTAATAAAAGCCATCTATGACAGACCCACAGCCAACATAATACTGAATGGGGAAAAGGTGAAAGCATTCCCTTTGAGAACTGGAACAAGACGAAGAGCCTACTCTCACCACTCCTTTTCAACATAGTACTGGAGGTCCTAGCCAGAGCAATCAGACAAAAGAAGGAAATAGAGGAAATCGAAATCGGTGAAGAGGAAGTCAGACTGTTACTGGTTGCTGACGATATGATCTTTCGCCTTGAAAACCCTACGGACTCCTCTAGAAAGCTCCTAGAACTGATAAAAGAATTCAGCAAAGTTTCCAGATACGAGATTAATGTACACAAATCAGTAGCTCTTCTATACATCAACAGCTACCAAGCTGAGAATCACATCAAGAACTCAACCCCTTTTACAATAGCTGCAAAAAACAAACAAACAAAACTTAGGAATATACCTAGCAAAGTAATCAAAAGACCTCTACAATGAAAATTACAAAACACTGCTGAAAGAAATCATAGATGGAGCCAAGCACGTTGGCGCATGCCTATAATCCCAGCTACTCGGGAAACTGAGGCAGGAGAATCGCTTGAACCCGGGAGGCAGAAGTTGTAGTGAGCCGAGATCACACCATTGCACTCCCACCTCAGCGACAAGAGCGAAACTACCTCTGAAAAAAAAAAAAAAAAAAACAAGAAAGAAAAGAAATCATAGATGACACAAACAAATGGAAACACATCCCCATGCTCATGGATGGGTAGAACCAATATTGTGAAAATTACCATTCTGTTAAAGGCAATCTACGAATTCAATGCAATCCCCATCTGAATACCACCATCATCCCTCACAGAATTACAAAAACAATTCTAAAATTAATATGGAACCAAAAGAATGCCATGTAGCCAAACCAAGGCTAAGCAAAAAGAACAAGCCTGGAGGCATCACACTACTTGATTTCAAACTGTACAATAAGGCCATAGTTACCAGAACAGCATGGTACTGGTTTAAAAATAGGCACATAGACCAATGGAACAGAAGAGAGAACTCAGAAATTAACCCAAATACTTACAGCCAACTGATCTTTGACAAAGCAAACAAAAACATAAAGTGGGGAAAGGACACCCTTTTCAACACATGAAGTTGGGATAATTGGCGAGCCACATGTAGGGGAATAAAACTGGATTCTCATCTCTCACCTTATACAAAAATCTACTCAAGATGGATTAAGAACTTAAACCTAATTCCTGAACTGTAAAAATTCTAGAAGATAACACTGGATAAACCCTTCTAGACATTGGCATAGGCAAGGATTTCATGACCAAGAACCCAAATGCAAATGCAATAAAAACAAAGATAAATAGCTGGGACTTAATTAAACTAAAGAGCTTTTGCATGGCAAAGGGAACAGTCAGCAGAGTAAATAGACAAATCGCAGAGTGGGACCCCTGACCCTGACCCCTGACCCTGACCCCTAACCACTGACCCTGACCCCTAACCCCTGACACAAACCCTAACCACTATCCCTAACCCCAACCCTCACCCTAACCCAACCCTAACCCCTAATCCCTAACCCCTAACATCTCTTAAACCCTAACTCTAAACGTTGACTCCTAACCCCTAACTCTGACCCCAATCCCTATCTCCAACCTCTAACCCTAAACTTAACCCCTAACCCCTAACCCTAACACCAACCTTAACCCTAGGTTCATTACTAAGTTTGTATTGACTATGTCAATGTTGATTATTATGATGGCTGTCTTTGGACTGCACGGCAGCGAGGGGATTGCGGATCTTATATTAATATTTTTGTATTGAGGCAGCGCATTAGCATTACAGGTGCTTGTTACATGAGCAATGGGGGTGTCATATTTTGGGTGTCATGTCTGCATTAGGAATGCCGCATTTGTCTTCCGAGGCTGCGGTGTGGATCTCGCACTGCGGCCGCCTCGCCTTGGCTGGGGAGAACCTCGGTGGGCAGGATTCAGAGGGGCTTTTGGTTTCCCGTTTTCCACACTGAACCCTTCTAACTGGTCTCTGACCCTGATTATTCAGGGCTGCAAACAGGAAGGATTTTATTCACCGTTGATGCGGCCCCGAGTTGTCCCAAAGCGAGGCAGTGCCCCCAAGGTCTGTGCTGAGGAGAACGCTGCTCTGCCTTCGCGGTGTCTCCCGGGTGTGTGCTGAGCAGAACGCAGCTCCGCCCTCGCGGTACCCCCGGCCCGCCCGCCCGGGTCTGTGCTGAGGCGAACACTGCTCCGCCTTCGCTGTATCTCCGAAGTCTGTGCAGAGGAGAACTCAGCTCCGCCCTCGCGATGCTCTCCCGGTCTGTGCTGAGGAGAAGGCAGCTCCGCCCTAGCAAAGGCAGAGCGCCCTTCGCAAAGGCAGAGAGGCGCAGAGCCCCGGCGCAGGCGCGGAGGGGGCGCAGGCGCAGAGGGGGCGCAGAGCAGGGCAGATGGCACCAAGAGTGGGTCCCTCAGGCCTCGAGCGCACGCATTCCAGCGGCCACCCAGACCATGCTCCGCCGACTGGGCGCCCAAGCTGCAGTCGCCCTCTGTGTGCAGGCAGCAGCTGCCTGGCAACCCCCGAGCTCGCTCGCGCTGTCAGCATCGCAGAACCAGGGCCAGGTGTCCCAGTGGCTGCGGCCAAGCCAGGCATTCTGACCGGCGGCGGTGGCGGCTGCACAGGAGCGAGAACTGAGAAGCCGCCGCTCAACCCCACACGGGGTGACTGCTGAGGGCCCATACCAACGGCCCCGATCTCCCTCAGGTGGAGGACTGGGCGGGAGGCACAGCCTGGGGGCCCTCAGGCTGGGCGCGCTGGCGATCCCGAGGCCGACCAGGCCATGCACCTCCAGCCCGCCTGGGCACCCAAGCTGCAGCCGCCTTCTGTGTGCAGGCAGCAACCTCCAGGCAACTCCCGAGTCCGCCCTCACTTCCCACATCTCGGAACGAGGGCCAGATGTCCCTGTGGCTGCGGCCAAGCCAGGCGGTCTGCCCTGCAGCAGCTGCACGGGGGCGGGAACCGGCCCTCAGCCCTATCCCCCGTGGCTGCAGAGGGCCCTTGGCTAGAGGTGTCGAGCTCTGGCATAGGAGGAGCCGGGCGGGGGCAGGGTCTGGGGGGCTCTCAGGCCAGGGGCACTTGCGATCCAGAGGCCGCCCAGGCCATGCTCACCACCTGGGCGCCCAGCTACAGGCGCCAGGCAACTCCCAAGCTGGCTGGCGCGCCCAGCCTCGCAGACCCGGGCATGGATGTCGCCGTGGCTGCGGCCAAGCCAGGCGGTCTGCTCGGCGGCGGCTGCACCGGGGCAGGAACCGACCCTCAGCCCCATCCCCGGTGGCTGCGGACGGCCCCTGGAGCGGCCCCGACGTCTCTTCGGAGGAGAAGAGGGGCGGGAGTCACGGCCAGGCAGGCCCTCAGGCGGGAAGGGATGCGCGCCTGCGATTCCGGGACGTACCGCGCCAGCCCAGGAGAACCCGGAAGCCAGCAGCTCTTGTTTCTCTGTGTGATTCTGTGAGGAACCACCAAATTGTTTTCCACGGCAAGTGCATCATTTTCTATTCCTAGCAGCCAGTTCATGAGGGCTCCAATTTCTCCACCTCCTTAGCAACATTGATTTTCTGTGTCGTTGTTATGAAAGCCTTACTAGTGGATGCAAAGTGGTATCTCATTTGGGTTTTGTCTTGCATTTTATTAATGAATAACAGTGTTTAGCATCTTTTCTTATCCGTCTTACACATTTGTGTATCTTCTTCGGAGAAATGTCTATTCAAGTCCTTTGCCTATTTTTTAATTGGGATGTTAGAAATTCTGATGTTGAGTTGTGGGATATTAAGCTTTTATCAGATACGCACTTTGATTTTATCAGATACATATTTTCTCACATACTATGGGTTGTCTTTTCACTCCCTTGATAGTATCCTTTGATGCATAAAGGTTTTTTATTTTGATTAAATCTAATTTACGTGTATTTTCTTTTGTTATCTGTGCTTTTCTGTCATATTTCAAAATACACTTAAAACTCAAAGGTCATAAAGGTTTACCTTGTGTTTTCTTCTAAGAGTTACATACTTTAGTCCTTACATGTAAGTCTTTTATTAATTTAGAATTAATTTTCGTGTATACTGCAAGGTAGGGGTCTAACTTCTCTCTTGTGCACTGACATCCAGCTGTTGAAGAGACTGTTCTTTCCTCCCTTGACTAGACTTGGACAGCTTGTTGAACAGTCATTGACCATATATGTGAGCGCTAATTTGTAGGATCTTAAATCTGTTCTGTTGTATTGGTCTAAAAGTCTATTAGTCTTATGCCAGTACCACACTCTCTTGATTACTGTAGATTTGTAGTAGGCTGTGAAACTGAAAAATGTGAGTTTTCTAATATTCTTTTTCAAGACTGTTTTGTCTGTCAGATCCTTTGAATTTTTGTATGAATTGTAGAATGAGTTTCTTTCTTTCTGCAGAAATGCCTTTGGGATTTTGATGGTATTGCATTGAATCTGTAGATTACTTTAGATGGTATTGTCATCTTAACAGTATTGTCTTACAACCCGTGAACACAGAATGTCTTTCCAGTTATTTCCACTCTCTTTCGTTTTTTTCAGCAAAGTTTTGTGTATACCACCATGGTTAGATTTATGCCTGAATAACTTATTCTTTGATGCTATTATAAATGGAATTTTTAAAATGTTTTCATAGTTCTTTACAACTATATAGAAATATAGCTCATTTGCCTATGTTTGTTTTGCATCCTGCCTCTTTTATTAGTTATAATCGGTTTTGTGTTTTATTTGGAGCTTTATACACATAAGATCATGTGTAGATATAATTTTACTTCTGTTTTTTATTTCTAATGTAGATGCCTTTTATTTCTTTGTCTTGCCTAATTGCTCTGGCTAAAATTGCCAGTGGTACATTGAACACAAGTGGCAAATGCACCATGCTTGTCTTGTTCTAGATGTTAGGAAAACAGCTTTCAGTGTTTCATCATTGATCATGATATTAACTGTTGGGTTTTTGTACATCCTATTGTCACGTTGCAGAAAATCCCTTCTATGCCTAGTTTATTGAGTATTTTTATTATAGAAGGGTGTTGTATTTCATCAATGTTTTCTCTGCATCAATTGAAATAATCACGTGCTTATTCATTTTACTGTTAGAGTATATTACACTGATTGATTTTTTATATGTTGAGCCACCCTTGCATTTTGGGGATAAATCTCACAGGGTGATAGTTTACAATCCTTTGATTATACAGTATTGCTGCTAGTATTTTGCTGAGATTTTTGCTTATATATTCATAAGGGATATTGTGCTGTAGTTCTCTTTTTGTGCTCTCTTTGGCTTTGGTATAAGGATAATGCTGTTATCAAAAAATGAATTAGCAAGTATTCCTTCTTCATATATTATGTCAGAAGAGTTTGAGAAGAAATGGTATTAATTCTTCTTTAAATGTTAGGTTGACTCACCAGTTAATGCAGCTATTTGGTCATAAATGTTTCTTTGTTAATCACTTTCGATTACTAATTCAATCTGCTAGGTTATAGGTCTATTCAGATTTTCTCTTTCTTCTTGAGCCACTTTGGTAGTTTGTGTCTTTCTAGTGATTCGTCCATTTCATCCAGGACAGCTAATTTGTTGTTAGACAGTTGTTCACAGTATACTCCTGTAATCCTTTTGTATTTCTGTAAAGTTGGTAGTAATGGCTCTGCTTTCATTTATTATTTTAATAATTAGTCTTCCATCTTTTGCTCAGTCAATATAGTGAAAGGCTTGATCTTTCAAATAATCTATGTTTATTCATTCTACTGCTCTCCAAACTTCTATTTTATTGATTTATGCTCTAATTATGCTCTCTATTATTTCTTTCATACTGCTAGCTTTGGATTTAGTCTTATTTTGTCTTCTTCCACTGCCTTTAGGTATAGAGTGAGGATGTTGATTTCAGATTTTTCTTAAATGTAGTTATTTATATCCATAAATTTTCCTTTGAACTCTACTTTCACTGCATTCAATAAGTTTTGGTATGTTTTGTTTTTATTTTAATTTATCTCAAGATATTTTATAATTTTGCTTGTGATTTATTTTTTTCACTCACTGGTAGTTGAAGACTGTATTGTTTAATTTCCACATTTTCGTGAATTTTCCAGTTTTCACTTATTTATCTGTTGTTTCTTCCATTGTGGTTGTAAATTATATTTTGTATGATTTCAAACTTTTAAAAATGATTAGGACATATTTTGTGGATGAAGATATGGCCCATCCTAGAGAACTTCCATATACACTTGAAAGGAATGTATATTCTGCTGTTGTTGGATGGACTGTCCTGTATATGCGTATTAGCTCTCAGTGGCTTATACCGTTGTTTAACTCTTGTATTTCTCATGAAGCTTCGGTCTGGTTTTTCTATCCATTAATTAAAATGAGGTATTGAAGGGTCCAACTGTGACTATAGAACTGTGGGTTTATCCTTTCAATCCTGTTAATTATTTCAGCTTTACTGAGGTGTAATAGAGAAATAAAAATTGTACGTGATGCGTTTATATGCACATTCTGAAATGATTACCAAAACGAAGTCAATGAACATGTTAATTACCTCACAGAATAGTTACCTTTTTGTGTGCATGTGTGGGATAAGAAAACTTAACTCTATCCCCTGTGACTGCAGAGTGGCCATTCCAGCTGCTCCAGGCTCCAGCAGAGGAAGACTTGGGCAGGTGGCACCACCAGGGAGGCCCTCAGGCCTGGTGCGCACGCATTCCAGAGGCCACCCAGACCATGCTCCGCCGCCTGGGTGCACAAGCTGCAGTCGCCCTCTGTGTGCAGGCAGCAGCTGCCTGGCAACCCCTGAGCCTGCTTGCGCTCCCAGTCTCGCAGAACCAGGGCCAGGTGTCCCTGTGGCTGTGGCCAAGCCAGGCATTCTGCCCGGCGGTGGCGGCTGCACAGGGGCGAGAACTGAAAACCCGCCGCTCAACCCCACACGGGGTGACTGCCGAGTGCCCATGACAGCGGCCCCGATCTCTCTCAGGTGGAGGAGTGGGTGGGAGGCACGGCCTGGGGGCCCTCAGGCTGGGCGCGCTGGCGATCCCGAGGCCGACCAGGCCATGCCCCTCCAGCCAGCCTGGGCTCCCAAGCTGCAGCCGCCTTCTGTGTGCAGGCAGCAGCCTCCAGGCAACTCCTGAGCCTGCCCGCACTCCCCACATCTCGGAAGCAGGGCCAGATGTCCCTGTGGCTGCGGCCAAGCCAGGCGGTCTGCCCTGCAGCAGCTGCACGGGGGCGGGAAGCGGCCCTCAGCCCCATCCCCAGTGGCTCTAGAGGCCCCTTGGCTAGAGGTATCCAGCTCTGGCAGAGGAGGAGCCGGGCGGGGGCAGGGTCTGGCTTGACCATTTGGAATTACAATACACTTCATTCATCAACCACAGAACATACACTGGAGTATCATCTGCGTGCAGATGAGTATACTGCTCAAAGCGATTTACAGATTCAATGCTTTTCCTATCAAATTACTAATGTCATTTTGCACAAAATAGAAAACATCTAAAATTTATATGGAACCTAAAAGGAGTCTGAATAGCCAAGCCAAAGCAATACTAAGGCTAGAGACGTAGGCTAGCCAAGCCAAAGCAATACTAAGGCTAGAGACATAGGCTAGAGACATCATATTACATGACTTCAAACTATACTAGAAGACTATAGTAATCAAAACAACATGGTACTGGTAGAAAAACAGACACATAGACCAATGGAACAGACTAGAGTACTAGAAACTAAGGCCACATGCCTGCAACCATCACATCTTTAACAAAGTTGACAAAAGTAAGCAATGGGAAAAAGACTTTATTTAATAAATAATGCGGGGATAACTGGCTAGTCATATGCAGAAGAATAAAACTAGACCCCCATATTTCACCAAATACAAAAATTAGCTTAAGATGGATTAAAGAGTTAAATGAAAAAATCTCAAGCTATAAAACGCCTAGAAAAAAACCTAGGAAATACTTTTCTTGATAACGGCCTTGGCAAATAATTTATGGCTAAGTCCTCAAAAGCAATTGCAACTAAAACAAAAAATGACAAGTGGGATTTAATTAAACTGAAAAACTTTTGCACAACAAGAGAAACTATCAAGGTAGTAAAGAGATAACCCACAGAATGAAAGAAAATATTCACAAACTACGCATCTAACAGAGGTCTATTATGCAGAACCTATAAGGAACTTAAACAAATCAACAAGCAAGCAGCAAGTAACTCCATTAAAAAGTGGGCAACAGGACATGAACGGACACTTTTCAAAAGAAGACATACACACAAGCACCCAACAAACATATGTAAAAGTGCTCATCGTCATTATTTATTAGAGAAATGCAAATCAAAACTGAAATGAAATACCATTTCACACCGGTCAGAATGGCTTTTTTTGAAAAGTCAAAAGAAAAACACATATCGGTGAAGATTTAGAGAATAGAGAACACTTATACACTTTCTGAAGGAATGTAAATTAGTTCAGCCACTGTGGAAAGCAGGTTGGGGATTTCTTAAAGAACTGAGAGTTGATCTACCATTCAATCCAGTAACCCCATTACTGGGTATATACCCGAAAAAAAATAAATACCCTATCAAAAAGACACATGTAGCTATATTTTTATCACAGCAGTATTCACAATCACAAAGACATAGGCTTAATCCAGACATCCATCAGTGGTGGATTGGATAAAGACTCATGGAATACTATACAGCCAGAAAAAACTCAAAATTATGCCATTTGAAGCAACATGAATGCATTCTTTCCAGAAAACTAATGCAAAAGCAAAAAACAAAATACCGCATGTTCTCTTTCATAAGTGGGAGCTAAATGCTGGGTACACATGGTCATAATACAGAGGGGTGGGAGGGGCCGGGACTGGTGGCTCACGCCTATAATCCCAACACTTTGAGAGGCCAAGGTGAGCGGATCACCCGAGGTCAGGAGTTTGAGACCAGCCTGGCCAACGTGGTGAAACCCCGCCTCTAATGAAAACACAAAAATTAACTGGGCATGGTGGCTGGCGCCTGTAATCCCAGCTACTCGGGGGTCTGAGGCGGAGAGTCGCTTGAACCCGGGGGTCGGAGGTTGTAGTGAGCCAAGATCGCGCCACATCACTCCAGCCTGGGCGACGGAGCAAAACTCTGTCTCAAAAACAAACAAACAAACAAAAAACAAAGAGGGAGGGGGGAGGGAATACAGATTGATTAAAACTACCGATTGGTTAGTGTCCTCTCTACCTTGCTAATGAATTCATTCATTTAATTCATAATTCATTCATTCAATTCATAATTCAGTTCCCCCTGAGAAAAAAATATTCACTTGTCATTAAAATCTCTCTGTATCTTACTGATTTCAGATAGAAGTTAAATTTCACCTTAATAATAGACACAAAAGAACTAGTTAAACTGACAAAAACTAATAAACGTTTGCTCAAATTTACTGAGAGAGTCGTGGGTACTTCATATAATAGTGACATTCTACCAGTTTTAAGTAAAATAAATAAGGAAACAATCTTAACTCATCGCCTACCGGAAGGGACGTGCCCCCGCTCCCAGGTGAGTGGGACCCTGCTCTCCGGGCGGGTTGCGCCGCGGTCTCTGGCACCTCTTGTTGGCAGCGTCGCCGTTGCAGGCACAGGGCAGGTATTGGGGGGCGGGCAGCGGGCCAGGCCCAGGCGACTCCTTTGCCAGGGGCTGGGCATGTGTGGAGAGGGGCGGAGCGGTGCTGCCCTGGGCGTTGGAGCCTCCCGCTCTGGACGGTTCGCCGCCCCTGCCCCAGGAAGGCGCTGCAGGATCTGGGTGGGGAAGGGGAGGGACGAGGGAACACAGGCCAGGCCAGGTGGCCCCTTAGACCTGGGTGATGCAGGAGGGGCTGTGGGAGACCAGAGAGGACCCGAAGCAGAAACCGGGAACTGATACCTCTGGCTGAATATTTGTCCTCTTGCTGAAGTTTGAAAGTCAGTTATTTCATTAAAGTTTAATTTTATTATAAAAATAACAACTATTAAAAATTCCCTGTAGTCACTGGAATGACAAATTTTGGTGCAGTTTCAGCATAACACTCTAATTATTCAAATTGCGGCCATGTTTCAAAATATATGCCATATATTTTTATGGCATCCACCCCTGTGTCCCTGTGTCCCGCATCCACCTCTGTGTCCCTGCTGGCTCAGGAAATGAGCTTCTTCCTCCTTCCGCAGACTCGAATCAGGCCGTCCTCCCTCCTGCGCCTGAGGCTGTCATGGGGACAGCCTGCCCTCGAATAGCCGGAGAACGCCCGGCCTGTGCCCTGTGCTCGGCCTGGTGTCCTGGCTCGTGCCCCTCAGAGCCCCGCACAAAGCAGTGTGACAGGTGTGGAAGGACCCAGCACCAGGCAGCGGTGAGCGGATGGATGCTCCAGGGATGTGGGGCTGCTGGCAGTCAAGAACCCATTGCCAAATTCCATGGCATAATTTTGGATATTTTTCCCTTATATTTTTGTGTAAGACTTTCAGACTTACACATTTTGAGTTTTTAAAAAAATATAGTATAAACTACAATTCTGACTTCTATATTTTACATGTTGATAGCAAATCTTCATACCTTTTTTGTGTTAAAGGGGGCTATTATTCCCTCTCCATAGTTTGGCCTTTGCACCCTTGTTGAAGATCATTTTGACCATATATACAAGGTTTTGTGGAGAGAGGGGTCTCTATTATTTTCTATGTCTACACGTCTTGATTTAATACATTTCTTTTTAGATTTTCTCCTTTTTACTTTTTGAGACAGGTTCTCTGTCATCCAGGCTGGGGTGCACTGGTGCGACCATGGCTCACTGCAGACTTGCTCTCCCAGGCTTAAAAAATCCTCTCACTTCAGCCTCTGGAATAGCTGAGACTACAGGTTCATGTCACATTGCCAGGTTAATTTTAATTTTAATTGTTTTTTTAGCGATGGATGTTCTCACTAGGATGTCCAGTGTGGTTTGAACTCCTGGGTTCAAGCAATCCTCCTACCTCAGCCTCACAAAGTGCTGAGGTTACACGTGTAAGCCATAGAACCTGGCCTCAAAATACCACATTTGAAAAGAGTTCAACAGCACTGCAATTAGTTTTTTATTTAAAAATTGTGAGGGCTCCACAATTGACATTATTTTACAAGTTTAATTGGCCATTTTCAATCTTGAGATTTCATATGTTTTAGAATTTTGTATTTCTGCAAGTAAATATTGTTATGATTTATATAGCTATTGCATTTAATCTGTTGTTGATTTCATTAGTATAGACAAGAATATTGTTTTCTAATTTATGAATATGGGATATCTTTTCAATTGTCTAATCTACAAATATAGAATATCTTCCCCATTGTTTGTGACTTTTCTTCAGCAACATCTTGTAACTTCTAGTATACTAGTCTTACATCTCTTTGCTTGTTTATTCCAAAGTATATTCTTCTTAATGCTATTTTCAATGGAATTTTAAAAACTTGGATTGTACCGTGTAATGAAGAGAAATACACTTAATTTTGTATTCTGCAATTTTGCTCAATGCAACTATTAGTTCTAACAGGTATTGTTTTCAGCATATAGGATTTTTTTGTATATAACATCATATCATAAGTAACAGGTAATTTTACTTCTTCCTTTAGAATGTGGATCTTTTCTTTTTTTCATTGCCTAGTTGTTTTGCCAGGACTTTCACTGATATTTTTGAATAGATGTGACAACAGTGAATATCTTGCCTTATTATTAATCTTAGAGGATAAACTTTCCACACTTCAGAATTCAGTATAATATTAGTGATGATTGTTTTTGTTTTTTTGTTTTTGTTGTTGTTTTTGTTTTTCTGAGATAGGATCTTGCTCTGTCAACCAGGCTGGAGTGCAGTGGCATGATCTGGGCTCACTGCAACCTCCACCTCCCGAGTTCAAGCTATTCTCATGCCTCAGCCTCCCTGGTAGCTGGGACTACAGGCACATACCACAAAGTCAAGCTAATGTTAATATTTTTTGTAGAGACAGGGATTCGCCATGTTGGTCAGGCTGGTCTGGAACTCCTGACCTAAAATCATCCACCCACCTCAGCCACCCAAACTGCTGGGACTATAGGCATGAGCTGTTGAACCCAGTTGGTGATGAGTTATTTACATATCTTTTGCTATGTTAGTTTCCTTTTATTTCTACTTTATTGAGTTTTTTTTTATCTTGAAAAGATGGTTAATACTGTCAGTTGACTTTTCTGCATTATTTGAGGTGATTGTGTGGTTTACATCTTTTACTCTGTTAATGTGATATATTAAACTGATTGATTTAAACTCTCATTCCAATATAGCCAAATAGGAAGAGCTCTGGTCTGCAGCTCCCAGTGTGATCAATGCAAGATGGGTGATTTCTGCATTTCCAACTGAGCTACCTGATTCATCTCATTGGGACTGATTGGACAGTGAGTTCATCCCATGGAGGGTGAGCTGAAGCAGGGCAGGGCATCAACTCACCCAGGAAGTGCAAGGGGTTGGGGGATTTTCCTTTCCTAGCCAAGGGAAGGCATGACAGACTGTACCTGGAAAAACAGGACACTCTTGCCCAAATACTGCACTTTTTGCACAGTCTTAGCAACTGGCAGACCAGGAGATTCTCTCCTGTGCCTGATTCACTGGGTCCCACACCCATAGGGCCTTGCTTACTGCCAGTGCAGCAGTCTGAGATTAACCTTCATGCTGCAGCTGAGCAGGTGGAGGTGAATCCACAATTTTTGAGGTTTCAGTAGGTAAACAAAGTGGCCAGGAAGCTTGAACAGGGTAGAGCCACTCACAGCTCAGCAAGGCCTACTGCCTTTATAAACTCCACCTCTGCGGGCAGGGCATAGCTGAATAAAAGGCAGCAGAAACTTCTGCAGACTTAAAACTCCCATCTGACAGCTCTGAAGAGAGCAGTGGTTCTCCTGGCATTGTGTTTGTGCTCTGAGAATGGACATACTGCCTCCTCAAATGGGTCCCTGAACCCCGTGTAGCCTAACTGGGAGACATCTCATAGTAAGGGCCAACAGACACCTCATACAGATGGGAGACCCTCTTCAACGAAGCTTCCAGGGAAGGATCAAGCAGCAATATTTGCTGTTCTGCAGCCTTCTCTGTTGATACTCAGGCAAACAGGGTCTGGAGTGGACCTCCAGCAAACTCCAACAGACCTGCAGCTGAGGGACCTGACTGTTAGAAGGAAAACTAACAAACAGAAAGGAATAGCATCAACATAAACAAAAAGGACATCCACACCAAAACCCCATCTGTAGGTTACCAACATCAAATACCAAAGATAGATAAAACCACAAAGATGGGAAGAAACCAGAACAGAAAAGCTGAAAATCCTAAAAACCAGAGCACCTCTTTTCTTCCGAAGGATTGCAGCTCCTCACCAGCAATGGAACAAAGCTGGAGGGAGAGTGACTTTGATGAGTTGACAGAAGGAGGCTTCAGAAGGCTGGTAATAACAAACTTCTCCAAGCTAAAAGAGCATGTTCGAACACATCGCAAGGAAGCTAAAAACCTTGAAAAAAGGTCAGACAATGGCTAACTAGAATAAACAGTGTAGATAATACCTTAAATGACCTTATGGAGCTGATAACCATGGCACAAGAACTCTGTGACACATGCACAAGCTTCAATAGCTGATTCAATCCAGTGGAAGAAAGGATATCAGTGATCGAAGATCAAATTAATAAAATAAAGTGAGAAGACAAGTTTAGAGTAAAAAGAGTGAAAAGAAATGAACAAAGCCTCCAGGAAAAATGGGACTATGTGAAAAGACCAAATCTATGTTTGCTTGGTGTACCTAAATGTGACAGAGAGAATGGAACCAAGTTGGAAAACACTCCTTAGGATGTTATTCAGGAGAATTTTCCCAATGTAGCAAGGCAGGCCAGCATTCAAATTCAGGAAATACAGACAACACCACAAAGTTACTTCTGGATAAGAGCAACCCCAAGATACTAATTGTCAGATTCACCAGGGTTGAAATGAAGGAAAAAATGTTAAGGGCAGCCAGAGAGAAAGGTCGGGTTACCCACAAGGGGAAACCCATCAGACTAATAGCAGATCTCTCAGCAGAAAACCTAGAAGCCAGAAGAGAGTGGGGGTCAATATTCAACATTCTTAAAGATAAGAATTTTCAGCCCAGAATTTCATATCCAGCTAAACTAAGCTTCATAAGTGAGGGAGAAATAAAATCCTTTACAGACAAGCAAATGCTGAGAGATTTTGAGACCTCCTGGCCTGCCTTAAAAGAGCTCCTGAAGGAAGCACTAAGCGTGGAAAGGAACTACCAGTACCAGCCACTGCAAAAAATATGCCAAATTGTAAAGACCATCGATACTATGAAGAAGCTGCATCAATTAACAGGAAAAACAGTGAGCTAACATAACAATGACAGGATCAAATTCACACATAACAGTATTGACCTTAAATGTAAATGGGCTAAATGACTCAATAAAAAGACATAGACTGTCAAATTGGATAAAGAGTCAAGACCCATCAGTGTGCTGTATTCAGGAGACCCATCTCACATGCAGAGACACACATAGGCTCAAAATAAAGGGATGGAGGAAGATCTACCAAGCAAATGGAAAGCAAAAAAATTAAAAATTAAAAAAAAGCAGGGGTTGCAATCCTAGTCTCTGATAAAACAGAATTTAAACCAACAAAGATCAAAAGACACAAAGAAGGCCATTACATAATGGTAAAAGGATCAATTCAGCAAGAAGCGCTAACTACCCTAAATATATATGCACTCAATACAGGAGCAACCAGATTCGTAAAGTAAGTCCTTAGATACCTACAAACAGACTTAGACTCCCACACAATAATAATGGGAGACTTTAACACTCCACTGTCAATATTAGACAGATCAACAAGACAGAAGGTTAACAAGGATATCCAGGACTTGAACTCAGCTCTGCACCAAGTGGACCTAATAGAAATTTACAGAATTCTCCACCCCGTATCACCAGAATAAACATTCTTCTCAGCACCACATCGCAGTTATTCTAAAATTGATCACATAATTGGAAGTAAGCACTCCTCATCAAATGTAAAAGAACAGACATCACAACATACTGTCTCTCAGATCACAGTGCAATCAAATTAGAACTTAGAATTAAGAAACTCACTCAAAATGGCACAAACACATGGAAACAGAACAACCTGCTTCTGAATGGCTACTGGGCAAATAACGAAATGAAGGCAAAAATAAAGATGTTCTTTGAAACCAGTGAGAACAAAGACAAAAAACACCAGAATCTCTGGGACACATCTAAAGCAGTGTGCAGAGGGAAATTTATAGCACTAAATGCCCACAAGAGAAAGCAGGAAAGATCTAAAATTGACAGCCCCACATCACAATTAAAAGAACTAGAGAAACAGGAGCAAACAAATTCAAAAACAAGCAAAAGGCAAGAAAGATCAGAGCAGAACTAAGGGAGATAGAGACACAAAAAACCCTTAAAAAATCAATGAATTTAGGAGCTGATTTTTTGAAAGATCAACAAAATTGATAGACCACTAGCAAGACTAATAAAGAAGAAAAAAGACAAGAATCAAATAGACACAATAAAAAAAGATAAATGGTATATCATCACTGATCCCACAGAAATACAAACTACCATCAGAGAATACTATAAACTCCTCTACACAAATAAACTAGAAAATCTAGAAGAAATGGATAAATTCCTGGACACATACACCCTCCCAAGATTAAACCAGGAAGAAGTTGAATCTCTGAATAGACCAATAACAGGATCTGAAAATTGAGGCAATAATTAATAGCATACCAACAAAAAAATATCCAGGACCAGATGGATTCACAGCTGAATCCTGCCAGAGGTACAAAAAGGAGCTGGTACCATTCCTTCTGAAACTATTCCAATCAATAGAAAAAGAGGAAATCCTCCCTAATTCATTTTATGGGACCAGTATCATCCTGATACCAAACCCTGGCAGAGACAAAACAAAAAAAAGAGAATTTTAGACCAATATCCTTGATGAACATCGATGTGAAAATCCTCAATAAAATACTGGCAAATGGAATCCAGCAGCATATCAAAAAGCTTATCCACCACGATCAAGTAGTCTTCATCCCTGGAATGCAAGGATGGTACAACATACACAAATTAATAAATGTAATCCATCATATAAACAGAATCAATGACAAAAACCACATGACTGTCTCCATAGATATAGAAAAGGCCTTTGACAAAATTCAACAGTCTTTCCTGCTAAAAACTCTCAATAAACTACATATTGATGAAATGTATCTCAAAATAATAACAGCTATTTATGACAAACCCACAGCCAGGGCAATCAGGCAAGAGAAAGAAACAAAGGTATTCAATTAGGAAGTCAAATTATCTCTGTTTGCAGATGACATGATTGTATATTTAGAAAACCCCATCATCTCAGCCCAAAATCTCCTTAAGCTGATAAGCAACTTTAGCAAAGTCTCAGGATAAGAAATCAATATGCAAAAATCACAAGAATTTCTATACACCAATAACAGACAAACAGAGAGCCAAATCATGAGTGAGCTCCCATTGACAATTGCTACAAAGAGAATAAAATACCTTGGAATACATCTTACAAGGGATGTGAACGACCTCTTCAAGGAAAACTACAAATCACTGCTCAACGAAATAAAAGAGGACACAAACAAATGGAAGAACATTCCATGCTCATGGATAGGAATAACCAATATTGTGAAAATGGTCATACTGCCCTAGGTAATTTACAGATTCAATGCCATCCCCATCAAGCTACGAATGACTTTCTTTACAGAATTAGAAAATACTACTTTAAAGTTCATATGGAACCAAAAAAGAGCCCATATCGCCAAGACAATCTAAGCAAAAAGAACAAAGCTGGAGGCATCACACTATCTGACTTCAATCTATACTACAAGGCTACAGTAACCAAACAGCATGGTACCGATATCAAAACAGATCTATAGACCAATGGAACAGAACAGAGGCCTCAGAAATAACACCACACATCTACAACCATCTGATCTTTGAAAAACCTGACAAAAACAAGCAATGGAGAAAGGATTCCCTATTTAATAAATGGTGCTGGGAAAACTAGCTAGTCATAGGTAGAAAGCTGAAACTGGATCCCTTCCTTACACCTTATACACAAATTAATTCAACAGGGATTAAAGACTTAAATGTTAGGCCTAAAACCATAAAAACCCTAGAAGAAATCCTAGGCTACATCATTCAGGTCATAGGCATGGGCAAAGATTTCATGACTAAAATACCAAAAGCAATGGCAACAAAAGCCAGAATAGACAAATCAGATCTAATTAAACTAAAGCGCTTCTGCACAGTAAGAGAAACTACCAACAGCATGAATAGACAACCTACAGAATGGGAGAAAATTGTTGGCAATCTATCCATCTGACAAAGGGCTAGTATCCAGAATCTACAAAAAACTTAAACAAATTTACAAGAAAAAAACACCATCAAAAATTGGGCAAAGGATATGGACAGACACTTCTCAAAAGAAGACATCTATGCAGCCAACAGACACATGAGAAAATGCTCATCATCACTGGTCATCAGAGAAATGCAAATCAAAACCACAGTGAGATACAATCTCACGCCAGTTAGAATGGTGATTATTTGAAAGTCAGGAAACAACAGATGCTGGAAAGCATGTGGAAAAATAGGAAGGCTTTTACACTGTTGGAGGGATTGCAAATTAGTTCCACCACTGTGGAAGACAGTGTGGCCATTCCTCCAGGATCTAGAACTAGAAATACCATCTGACCCAGCAATCCCATTACTGGGCATACACCCAAAGGATTATAAATCATGCCACTATAAAGATACAAGCACATGTATGTTTATTGCAGCACTATTCACAATAGCAAAGACTTGGAACCAACCCAAATGTCCATCAATGATAGAACTGATTAAGAAAATGCAGCACGTATACACCATGGAATAGTACACAGCCATAAAAACAGATGAGTTTTTGTCCTTTGCGGGGACTTGGATGAAGCCAGAAACCATCATTTTCAGCAAACTATCACAAGGACAGATAACCAAACACCACATGTTCTCACTCATAGGTGGGAATTTACCAGTGAGAACACTTGGACACAAGGCAGGTAACATCACACAATGGGGCCTGTCAGGGGCTGGAGGGCTAGAGGAGAGATAGCAGTAGGAGAAATATCTAATGTAAATGATGAGTTGATGGGTGCAGCAAAACAACATGGCACATGTAAACCTATGTAACAAACCTGCATGTTGTCCACATGTACCCTAGAACTTAAAGTATAATAAAAAAATAAAAAACAAATAGATTGATTTACACGTGTTGAACAATACTTTCATTGGAGAGATAACTCCTTCTTCATCATGGTGTATAATCCTTGCAATGTGTTATTGAATTTGGTGTTCTAATGTTCCGAGGAGAATTTTTACATCAATAGTCAACAGGAAAATTGATTTGTAGTTGTATTTTTTTTTCTCCTTAGTGTCTTTGTGGGGTTTGGTGTTGTGTTAATGCTGGGCTCATAAAATAAGTTGGAAATTGTTTTATCTTTTTCATTTTTCTGAAGTAGTTTAAGAAGGGTTGGTGTTAACCCTGCTTTAACATTTTGAAAAAAATATGTATTTAATGAAGTGATCCGGGCCTGGGCTTTTTGAGGGGAGGTTGTTGTTACTACTTATATGCCTATTCAGATTTTTTTATGGTTTATTTTTAGTATAATCTGTATTTCTAGACATTTGTCTATTTCTCTTAGCTTATCACATTTTTTGGCATATACTTGGAATTAAACTTTTATAATCTCTTCTTTTCCTACTTTTGTGGCATCAGTAGTAATAGCTCCTCTTTTATTTATGAATTTAATTATTTGAGGTATCTTCTTTTTTCTTTTAATCTGTTTGTCAGTTTTCTTAATCTTTTCAATAAAACCAAACTTTAATTGATTTTTCTATGGCTTTTAATTGTTATTTATTTATAACTGCTGAAATTCTTATTCTTTACTGATGTTTGATTACATTTACTAGTTGATTTAGATAGATTTGTTAAATGTACACATTTACTACTACAATTGAATACAAGCTTTAGATGCATTCAATAATTTTGTTATGCTTTGTCTCCAGTTATGTTGAAATTTTCACTGTGATTTCTTCTTTAACCCATAATGTTGTTTAGGAGCATGTTACTTGATTTTTATGTATTTGCAAATTTTTAAATTTTTCTTCTGGTATTCACTTCTAGTTCCATTCCATTTTAGTTGTAAATGATACTTCGTATGATTTTAATTTTCTTGAATTGATTTCTTTGTGGTCCGATTTGTGATATAGTCTCAAGAATGTTCCATGTGCACACCAGAATCATGCGCATTCTCTTGTTGAGAAGACCGTTTCTAAAAGTCTGTTGGATTTGGTTGAATCACTCCTTGCTCAATCCTCTGTCTTCATTTGGTCTCCCAGGTTGTCCTCTCCATTATTAAAGTCTCCTATCATTTTGGTGGTGGTCTCTATTCCTCCCTTTATTTTTATTTATAATTTTGTTTCTTACACAGACGAAGTGTTGCTATCTTGCCCAGGTTAGTCTCTACTCCTGGGCTCAAGCCATCCTCCTGCCTCTGCCCCCGCCAAGATGCAGGGATTACAAGCAGGCGTGAGCCACTGTACTCAGCCTATTTCTCCTTTTAATTCTGTCATTATTTGTGTTATGTGTTTGGAATAGTTGCTGATTCATGTGCATATTTTAATTATGATATCTTCTTGGAGATTTATTTTTATTATATAATGTCCTTGTTTGTCTTTATGACAGTTTTTTGCTTAAAGTCTAATCATCTAATGTAAATGTGACCCACTTTGTTCTATTTTGGTTGCTATTTAGGATGATTTGGTTACCATATAGAATATAATTTTCCATCCCTGCACTTTCATTCCATGTTTATCCTTAAATAAACATAATTTATTTGATTTTATATTTTTATTTTTATAAACAATTTATAAACAGAATTCATTCGATTTTATATTTTTATTTCTTCAGTGACCTTCTGTCTGTTATTGGAGAATTTAACATTGTTACATATAAGGTTATTATTTGCAGTTAAGGAGTTACTACTGCCATTTTGTTAATTGTTTTGTGTTTCTTTTGTAGTTCTTTTGTTTATTTATTTTATTTCTTGCTGTATTCCTTTTTGTCTAATTAATTTTTGTGCTAATATGTTTTTATTTCTTTTTCTTTTGTATACATTCTACATGTATTATCTTTGTGATTACTATACAGGTGACATGAAACATCTCAAAGTTATAACAATCTAGTTTAATCTGATGTTATCTCAGTAGCATATAAAAACTCCAGTCTTTTACATGACTGTCTTTCCCAACACTCATGTTGTTCTTGATGTCACAAATTAGGCCTTTTTACATGATGTATTCTTTAACATACATATAAAATATTTTTGTATATTGGTGTCAAATACTATAAGGGGATTGAAATTACTTACCAACATCACAATAATACAGGATGCTATATTTCTCTATATATTTGCTTTACAACAGAGCTTTATAGTATTCTATGGCTTTTTTGGTACTCTCATTTTTTAATCTCAAAGGACTTTCTAGCATTTCTTGAAGAACAAACCTAGCGGTCATAAACTCCTTCATAGTGGTCATAATAAAGGGTATTCAGTTAGGGAAAGAGGAAGTCAAATTGTCCCTATTTGCAGATGACATGATTGTATATCTAGAAAACCCCATCGTCTCAGCCCAAAATCTCCTTAAGCTGATAAGCAACTTCAGCAATGTCTCAGGATACAAAATCAATATACAAAAATCACAAGCATTCTTGTACACCAACAACAGGCACACAGAGAGCCAAATCATGAGTGAATTCCCATTCACAATTGCTTCAGAGAGAATAAAATACCTAGGAATCCAACTTACAAGGGATGTGAAGGAGCTCTTCAAGGAGAACTACAAATCACTGCTCAATGAAATAAAAGAGGATACAAACAAATGGAAGAACATTCCATGCTCATGGGTAGGAAGAATCAATATCATGAAAATGGCCATACTGCCCAAGGTAATTGATAGATTCAATGTCATCCCCATCAAGCTACCAATGACTTTCTTCACAGAATTGGAAAAAAACTACTTTAAAGTTCATATGGAACAAAAAAGGGCCCACATCGCCAAGTCAATCCTAAGCCAAAAGAACAAAGCTGGAGGCATCACGCTACCAGACTTCAAACTATACTACAAGGCTACAGTAACCAAAACATCATGTTACTTGTACCAAAACAGAGATATAGACCAATGGAACAGAACAGAGCCCTCAGAAATAATGCTGCATATCTACAACTATCTGATCTTTGACAAACCTGAGAAAAACAAGCAATGGGGAAAAGATTCCCTACATAATAAATGATGCTGGGAAAACTGGCTAGCCATATGTAGAAAGCTGAAACTGGATCACTTCCTTACACCTTATACACAAATTAATTCAAGATGGATTAAAGACTTAAACGTTAGATCTAAAACCATAAAAACCCTAGAAGAAAACCTAGGCAATACCATTCAGGACATAGGCATCAGCAAGGACTTCGTGTCTAAAACACCAAAAGCAATGGCAACAAAAGCCAAAATTGACAAATGGAATCTAATTAAACTAAAGAGCTTCTGCACAGCAAAAGAAACTACCATCAGAGTGAATAGGCAACCTACAGAATGGGGGAAAAATTTTCCAATCTACTCATCTGACAAAGGGCTAATATCCAGAATCTACAATGAACCCAAACAAATTTGCAAGAAAAACCCAAACAACCCCATCAAAAAGTGGGTGAAGGATATGAACAGACACTTCTCAAAAGAAGACATTTATGCAGCCAAGACACATGAAAAAATGTTCATCATCACTGGCCATCAGAGAAATGCAAATCAAAGCCACAATGAGATACCATCTCATACCAGTTAGAATGACGATCACTAAAAAGTCAGGAAACAACAGGTGCTGGAGAGGATGTGGAGAAATAGGAACACTTTTACACTGTTGGTAGGACTGTAAACTAGTTCAACCATTGTGGAAGTCAGTGTGGCGATTCCTCAGGGATCTAGAACTAGAAATACCGTTTGATCCAGCCATCCCATTACTGGGTATATACCCAAAGGACTATAAATCATGCTGCTATAAAGACACATGCACACGTATGTTTCGTATGTTTATTGCAGCACTATTCACAATAGCAAAGACTGGGAACCAACACAAATGTCCGACAATGATAGACTGGATTAAGAAAATGTGGCACATATACACCATGGAATACTATGCTGCCATAAAAAATGATGAGTTCATGTCCTTTGCAGGGACATGGAGGAAGCTGGAAACCATCATTCTCAGCAAACTATCACAAAGATAAAAAACCAAACACCCGCATGTTCTCACTTATAGGTGGGAATTGAACAATGAGAACACGTGGACACAGGAAGGGGAACATCACACACCAGGGACGGTTGAGGGGTAGGGGGATGGGGGAGGGATAGCATTAGGAGATATACCTGATGCTAAATGACGAGTTAATGGGTGCAGCACACCAACATGTCACGTGTATACATATGTAACAAACCTGCACGTTGTGCACATGTACTCTATAACTTAAAGTATAATTAAAAAAAGAAACAAGCAAAACAACTAATAAAAACTCTATACTGCCATTCTTTTCAACTTTTTGTTGTTTCTCTTCATTCCCTATTTTACAGTCTATGTATTGGAAATAAATACGTTGTAGGTATTATTTTTATTGGTTTATTGGTTACTCTTTCTATTTGAGATTTTTGCACCCCATAATTACCATATTATAATATTCAGTGTTTTTCCATGTGCTATTGCTAGTGAGTTGTGTACCTTCAGATGATTTCTTATTGCTCACTAACTTGTTTTCTTTTAGGTTAAGATATCCCTTTAGCATTTCTTGTAGGACAGGTCTGGTGTTAATGAAATCCCTCAGTTTTTGTTTGTTGGAAAAAGTTCTTATTTTTCCGTCAAGTTTAAAGGACGTTTTTGCCAGATACATTATTCTAAAGTAAAAGTCTTTTTTTCCTTCAGTTTTTTAATATGTCATGTCAATCTCCAGCCTGTAAATTTTCCCTTGAAAAGTCTGCTGTCAGATGTATTGGAGTTACGCTGAATGTTATTTGTTTCTCTTCTCTCGATGCTTTTAGAATCATTTCTTTATCCTTAACCTTTGGGAGTTCAGTTTAGTGCCTTGAGGTGGTCTTCTTTGGGTTAAATCTGCTTTATGTTCTGTAACTTTCTGTTACTCGAATGTTGATATCAAATGTTGAGGAATTGTTTAATATGATTTAATATTATTTATTTAAATAAATATTCAACTCATCTCTTTTTCTACCTCCTCTTTAAGGCCAGTAACTCTTAGATTTGCTATTTTGAGGCTATTTTTTAAAATTCTATAGGCATGCTTTATTTTTTATTCCTTTTTGTCTCCTCTGACTTTGTATTTTTAAATAGTCTGGCTTCAAGTTCACTAAATCTATCTTCTCCTTGGTCAATTCTTTTAAGTAATTCTGATCCATTTTTCAGTATGACAATAGCATTTTAACCTCAGAATTTCTACTTTATTCTTTTTATTTCAATCTCATTGTTAAATTTATCTGATAGAATTTTGAATTCCTTCTCTGTGTTATATTGTACATTTCTTTGAATTACCTCAACCAGTTATTTTGGATTTCCTGTATGAAAGGTCACATATCTTTGTTTTTCCAGGATTTGTCCCTGGTACTTTATTTAGCTTGTTTGGTGAGGTCATGTTTTCCTGGATGGCCTTGATACTTGTAGATATTCATCTGTATCTGGGCATTGAAGAATTCAGTCTTTATTGTAGTCTTCACAGTCTGGGCTTGTTAGTGCCCATTATCTTCGGGAACACTTTCCAGGTATTCAAAGAAACTTGGGTCCCAAACCCAATAGCACAGTAGTTTATGCAAACACGTAGAGGTACTGCCTTGGTGGCCTTGGATTAACATCAAGAAAAATTCTCTTGATTTATCAAGTAGAGAAACTTGTTCTCTTCCCTTACTTTCTCTCAAATCAGCAGTCTCTCTTTCTGTGCTGAGACATGTGGAGCTGGGGTTGGGGTAACAGAAGATCTCCTGTGGCAGCCACCACTGAGACTGTGCTGGTTCACACCTGAAGTAGGCACAGAACTTGGTCTCACACAAGGCCCACTGCAACCACTACTTGGCTACCATATAAGTTTATTCAAAGCCCTAGGACTCTGTGATTAATAGTTGGCAATGCCAGCCAGGTTTGTGTCTCTGCCTATAGGGTTGCAAGTTCCCCTAGCCATGAGTGGGTCCACAGATGCTACCTGGGAGCCAGAGACTAAAGCATAGAATCTTCAAAATTTAGCTGCTCTTCTATTTTATTGTAGCTAACCTGGCACTTAGGGAATAAGACAAAGTATTTTCTACTCTTCTTTCCCCTCTCTGCAGGCAGAAGAGCTTCTTCTATGACTGCCAACACTACTGGCCCATGGGGGGTTTCCACCAAATCATCATCACTTTCTCACTTAAAGCCCAAGGACTCTTTAGTTAGCTTGTGATAAATTCTGCAATGCCTGGGACTCGACCTTTGGCCCAGGGCAAGTGCAGAAATGCTGACCAAGAAGACCCTAGGCCTGGACTCAGGGACTCTAAGAATCTGCTTGGTGATCTACCCCACTGTGGTTGAGCTGGTATACCAGGTGCAATGTAGAGTTCCCTTTACTTTCCCCCATGCCTTTCTCAAGCAGAAGTCTTTCACCATAGCTACCACAGCTAGAAATGTACTGGGTCACACCTGAACTTAGCACTTCTCAGAGCCCAATGCCCATGGCATATTACCTGGTTGTCACTGTTTTTTATTCTGGGTACAGGGGTTCTTTAGTCAGCAGGTGATGAATTCTGCCAGGTCTTTACTGACATGGCAGCACTGAGTTTGATGTAAAGTCCTCCAGTCACTGTGCTCTCCCTCTCCCAAATTCACAGGTTTCTGTGTGTTGTGTGGCTGCTGCTAGGTGGGGGGTGGGGGAGTGGTGTTGTGAGCACTCCCTTAGCTGCTCTGGCTGCTGTCTCAGTAGACCCCATACTCCCCACCCTCCACATTCCACTGGCTCTGAGCCCAGCTCGGAATACGACTTGCCTAATAATTGAAGTCCTTGTGGCCTAGACTGCCCCTTAAGTTCTCTTAGAGTCCAATAGCACGTCAACTCATGATGGCAAGACTTGTAAAAACTCAAGCTCCCAACACTAGGATAGGAGGTTTTCCTCTTTCTAGGGCCAATACACATGCTCCTTCCATTGGCAGATGTCAGCTGAGTACAGTCTGGTTCTGCTTTTCACTGTGACAGGGTAGTACTGAGTTTATTGCAAAGCTTCACAAACTATGCGCTCCCTCTCCCAAACATACTATCTCTGCACGATGTAGCCACTAGTGGTGGTTGAAAAAGAGGTGGCATCCGTGCTTCTAGACTGTCTTTTATTTTTTTGTCTTCTCCAATGTCTGTTTCAGTGATATGAAGTTAATACCAGGTACTCTGATTGCTCACCCAATTTTTGGTCCCTTTGACAGTGCTTCTTGAAAGTAGTTAGTTGTGAAAATGTGGTGTTTTTGTGTGGTGGATGAGAATGTAGGCTTCTATTCTGCCCTCTTACTCTATCTCTGCCTTAATTTTTTTAGATTCAGGGAGTATATCTGCAGGTTTATTACATGGATATATTGTGTGATGCTGAGCAATGTGGGATATTATTGATCCCATCACCAAGGTAGTGAGCATATGTTGTGGGGTATAATTGATCCCATCACCTATGCAGTAAGCATAGCACCTATGGTTTTTCACCTCCTGCCCTCCTCCTTCCCTCATTCATCTGGTAGTTCTCAGTGTCTATTGTTGTCATCTTTATATTCATGAGTACCCCATGTTTAGATCCTACTTATAGGCAAGAACATATGGTATTTGGTTTTCTGTTCCTGTATTAATTTCCTTATGATAATGGCCTCCAGACATATGCATGTTACTGCACAGGACATAATTGTATTCTTTTTAACGTGTGCATAGTGTTTTATGGTGTATATGTGGCACATATTTCTATCCAATTTATTGATTCACACATAAGTTAATTCCATGCCTTCCCTATTGTGAATAGCAATATGACACATATACAAGTGCATGTCGGGTTTCTTTTTGTAGAATTCTTAATTTTCTTTTGGATATATACTCAGTAATGGAATTGCTGGTTGAATGGCACTTCTGTTTTAAATTCTTTGAAAAATCTCCAAAGTGCTTTTCACAGTGGCTGAACTAATTTACATTCTCACCAACAGTGTATAAGCATTTCATTTTCTCTGAAGTCTAACCAGAATTTGTCATGTTTTTACTTTTTAATAGTAGCCATTCTGACTAATATGAGATGGTATCTCACATTGACTTGCATTTCTCTGATGATTAGTGATGTTGGACATTAGGAAAACAACCCCATTAAAACATTGACAAGGGACATAAGCAGACACTTCTCAAAAGAAGACGAGCCAGGTACAGTGGCTCATGCCTGTAATCCCAGCACTTTGGGAGGCCAGGATGGGGGGATCACAGGGTCAGGAGATCGAGACCATCCTGGCTAACACGGTGAAACCCTGTCTCTACAAAAAATACAAAAAATTAGCCGGGCGTGGTGGTGGGCGCCTGTAGTCCCAGCTACTAGGGAGGCTGAGGCAGGAGAATGGCGTCAACCCGGGAGGCAGAGCTTGCAGTGAGCCAAGATCGCACCACTGCACTCCAGCCTGGGCGACAGAGCGAGACTCCGTCTCAAAAAAAAAAAAAAAAAAGATACAGAAGTGGGATTCTTATTCTATCACATTAAGCTGCCTTTCCTTTGCAAATACAAAATCAAACCATTGGAAAAATCACTTTAATTGTAGAGATTGACAGTATCTTTCCCCTTCCCTATCTCCTTTCCTCTTTTGTGATTTTTTTTTCTGATCACTATGAATCCACTCCACAGAGTAACCTCCTTTCTTAATCTGTGTGAATTGTGGTGATGAGCTAGTCAGCTCTCTTAAAACCACTAACAAAAAAGTTTTAAATTTCCTAGTTAGTAATACATTTTTAGCACGCCACAAGATACTCTTAGAACAAGGACTTCTGGTCCAGGCATTATGGATTATGATGATTAGTTCTCTGGATTTCTATAAGCTTTGAAATTATGAGGTAAAAATCTAAAATAAGTGGGACTTGATGCTATTTATACATTTATTGGGTTTGTTAATTATTCCATAGGAAAACAGATGAAAGACTTTTGTAGAATTCAATTCTGCTTCACTATACTTAGGGTTACAAGAAGGCAATTATATTGATGTAATTGACAGACTGAATTAACCTCAGTCATCACATGTGATTTTTCTAGAGTTTTTTTTAATGGTGCTGACATTCTCTTCAATATGTCCATGCTTAGCTTGGGTTTCTGGGGGACAGATGAGTAGCTAGTACTACCCATCTAAAACATAATGTTCATTAGTTGGAATAATGTTGTGATATGATAGTCTTCAAGATGATGCCCTCAATTTCTTTCCTCCCTGCATGCACATGCTGCTGTTTACATTGACAGGTAGAGTCGAATCTCCCATTTCTTGAATCTGTGTTGGTCACAATGACTTGCTTTTCCAATAGGATGGAGCAGAAGTTGTATTCTAGGACCTCCAAGGCTAGGTCCTAAGAAGCTTTGTAGTATTTGCCTGTGTGTCTTGGGACAAACTACCACGTTGTGAGCACTCCAGGTAACATGGAGAGGTCAGATAGGCATCACACTCAGCAGCCAATATGCACTGCCAGCCATGTAAGTGACCCGTCTAGACTCTTTAGCCTAATTGAGCTTTCAGGTGACTTCAGCAGCAGCCAACCAACTGCAACTGCAAGAAAGACTCCAAAAGACAACTTATGTAGTGCCCATCAACCCACAAAACCATGAGAAATAACGTTATTAAAATTACTAAACAAATAATAACAATAAACAATATTAAACAATAAATAATTCCTTAAGTTTTGGAATGGCTTACTATTCAGCAAGAGATGGCTAGAACAAGTACTAAATATTGCACAATACTGAATAAGTATAAGTTTATTTGTATAATATACTTCTATATTTCAAAGCCATTGACATTTCTGGAAAGAGTGCGAAAGTGAGCACTGATTAAATGGTTCCCAAGAGAAGTTGTCTGTTGTGTCTCAATAGCATCATTTACCAATGGGAGCTGTATTTTGTTTTTGGAAAATATACATTTTAATGTTCATTTTAAAAAATATACTAACCATTGTTTAGAAAGGCATATGCTATTTTGAAAAAAATTTGAGCGAACCAGAGAAGTGTAAACTTTAAGGCTCTAATCATATTTATATGCTATTTAACCCATAAGTCCAAAGTCTGATGACAAATATGTTTATGTAATACTGATATTTGGATAAATAAGTTAAACTAACTGCTTTCTTTTTAAATGATAGGCTTATAATTGGCATGATGTTGAGATGGCTGCAGTGGATGGGCTCATCACCAGAATAAAATTTTCTCTTTAATACTTTTTTAGAACATTAAGTGAGAACCAGAGAGTCTAAAACTGGGTTACACAGCAGCAATAAAATCAGAGTGACACTTACTTTGCAGCAGCAGGACTGGAATTCTTGCTGTTGGGGTTGGTGGCAGCAAACTCAATTATGGGTGTCTCCAGCTTCATGCTTAGATGATGTGTTGGAACATTTCCTGTTTAGAACTCTCTAACACTTCCTGACTAGAGCTGTTTAAAATAGAAACAAACTCCTATGATTTTGAATTTAGCCTATTTATTGTTACGATTTGTTCATATGTTTCTACTTTTTAGACTGTGGCTTTCTTGTAGACAGAAATTATATCTTATACCTCTTTTTCTTCAGCAGCAGTGTGCCTGGCACCTAGTTGAATTGTCAGGTTCGTTGAATGAGTAAAGCAAAATTATACTAGATTTAAATTATTAACTTTATCAATTTTACTCAGAAAATATATAGCTAAGTATGACATATGAATCAATTTACTCACTTATTCAACAAACTTTTTTAAGTGACTACAATATGTTATGAGCTAGGAATATGACAGTAAACAAATCTCGCCTTGTCTCAAACTTCAGTGGATCCAGGAGTCTCTAGAAGTTTAATTCTTGCTCAATCAGCAATTCCGTTTCACTGAAGACTTGACAAGAAGGTTTGAGAAGGCAAGAGTGTGTGAACTCAACAGATGTTTGTGATGCACCTACCTACTGTGTGCCAGAAGCTGTAGTGTCACAGGCTCTGCCTGTGTCTCCTAGGAAAGGTGTAAACTAAGGACAATATTTTACACAACAAATAATGGCAAGTATGTCATGTGATGGAGAGGGAAAGTGCTGGCTCCCAAGAGTATAACAGGCACTGAGCCTAGCGTGGGGTCCAGGCGTCTCTGGCATGGTGCCCTCCTAGGTCCTGATTGTCCCTCCTTGTTGCTTCTGCTGTCTTCTTCAGTTACATCTGCTTCTCTGCATTTCCTCATTTTACAGTATGTGGGATGCAGTCATCTCTGAACAGCAGTAGGCAACTGTGCACCTGTTACACCATGCTTGATGCTCTGCATTGACGTACACTGGGCCCAGGTTTCCCTGGTGGACTGCTTGGGCCGTTCTTGTCATCTGGCTCTGAAGTCTTTGCTCACAGAGGTGCACTTGCCAGATGGGTAAGCCAGAGATCTGGGGTCCTCTGATGAGGCCACTCTCACCCTGCTTATATTCCCTGACATACATAACAGATGAAGCTCAGGTGGGCGATGCACCTCAGGCCACAGTGTGGACTGTTGTAACCAAGCGAGTTATAGAGGAACGCCACACTTTGAGACAAATTAAGGAGTCCTTTATTAGCCGGCAACCGAGAGGCATGTAATGCTCAAAATTCTCTTAGCCCCGAGGAAGGGGTTGGTTTTGTTTTTATACCGTGGTCTAAATAGGGGAAGGGGGAGTTTAGCTGAAACAAGTTTTACAGAAGCAGAGCTGGCAAATAGTTAAAAAATTAATTGGTTACAATAGCAGTTACAAAACAAATAAACAGTTCCAGGTGCAGGGGCTTAAACTATCACAAAGAGAGAAATGCAGGGGTTTTGCATGACATTCACCGATTGCGTACCCAGGAGCAGCTGGTGCAGCTTGCCTCAATATCTTATCAGTAAGTGCATTCCTGGACCTGCTTTGAGTCAGTTTACACTAGTTATGCAATTAAGGGTGGGAGGTAAAGGGGGCTGCACGTGAAGAAACTAAAATGGAGTCTGTCCGGCTCTCTCTCCGCTAGGAGAGAGTCACTCAGGTTAAAACAAGGTAGGGTATCACAGGACCATGTACAATTCTTCAAACTCCAGCTTCAACTCTCTTTCTTATTGCTCTCTTAGGACAGTATATTTAGATCAGAGTAAATGAAAGTAATGTTATTAGGAGATAAGATTAAAATTGATCCCATTTGTAAAAAGGGAAGTAGATTATTTGTGAACTGTAATACTTTTTTTTTAGTGAAGAATCACCTTAAAACTTGGAACCTGGATACAAGATAATTCCTTCATTCTGTAAAAGTTTAGTAGCAAACTATATGCCAGGACTGTGCTAGGTACTAGGGATAGATGGTTGAATATATAGTATAAGATGCCTTGGAGTGTCAGATAGTTTCATATAAATGGCTCATGCAGTATATAGACAGTGTGGTAAAAAGAGACTACTGAGATGCACAGAGGACAGACAATAAAGCGTCTTCGAATAGTAGATAAATGTGTTTGGACTTTTCACTCAGGGCTGTTGAAGTTTTTGAAGGTCAGTGGTCTCAGAGTTTTGGTGATTTCAAGCCCTGCTAAGCACTTTCTTTCTAGCTGATGATTGGCCACCATTACTGATCATCTATTGGCTCTGTCTGATTCAGCAATCCCACCACTGAGTATTTATGCAAAGGAAAAGAAATCAATGTATCAGAAAGATAACTGTACTTGTGTATTTGTTGCAACACTATTCACAGTAGCACAGACATAAAATGAAACTAAATACCCATCAACAAATGATTGGAGAAAGAAAATGTAGAAAATATACACAATGAAATACTATTCAGGCATAAGAAACAATAGAATCATAACTTTTGCAGACACATGGATGGAACTGGAGGCCATGGTTGTAAGTGAAGCAAGCCAGACACAGAGTAAACATCGTATTTTATCACTCATAAGCGGGTGCTAAAAGATGTGTAGATATTGATGTAGAGAGTGGAATGATAATGGAGACTCAGCAGGGTGAGGGGATGGAAGGGGTGAACAGTGAGAAATTACTTAATGGGTACAGTGTGCATTATTCTGGTGATGGATACCTAAAAGCCCTGACTTCACCACTATGCCATCCATGCTTACAGCAAAATTACACTTGGAACCCATAAATTTATACACAAAAAGTCTTAGACCTCTCTCTCTTCTCTCATAAGACTCAGAGCTCAGTGATCCCCTTGGATCCCCTCAGGCTGCTGAGTTTCGATTTCCCTACCTAAGGTGATTTTGGGCAGAGACAAGGGAGTGTTTCTGGAAGATGTTCTCAGGCACACGCTTCTAAAGAAACATTGGAGACTCTTCTAGTGGCCTTTATCTAGTCACTGCTTTAAGCAAGGAATAAAACATCTGTGGCTAAAATTTGTAAAACTGTGTTTCCCACCCACCCTTCAGACCTGACAGAAGATATTTTAGGATTTTAAGGGAACAGCTTTTTCCTGACTTAAAAGGGCACAGTAGTGCAAAGGCCAATGTCACGTAAGTACCTTTTCCCCATCTGTAAAATAACTTTCAGATGCTATTCCCACAGCTGGAATCAGTAGTGTTTTGACTGAGGTATTGGAAAAGCCTATGAGCTCATTATCATTTGAACATATGAGTAATGTAAAATTTAGGCAGAATTTTATTTGAAAGGATTATTTATGCAATTTTTTATTAACTGATTTATATTGCGGTTATTTCAAACAATAAAAATCAGGTCGTTGTGTTGTAAGCTAGAAATATTTACAATAACACATGGTCTTGATTATCTCACATGATGCAGACTAAAGCAAAATAATTTATCTTAGGGAGTTCTGTGACAGTTTCTCTTTCACTTTGCTTTAATAATGACTTCAAACTGTTGTACATATATAGAGAACTCCTGACTAAAGAGAATATTTTGTCTATTGTGCTATGTTTCTGTAACTTTTTAAGATCTAGAGGAACATATATTTAGTCTCAGTTGGCCAACTAAATGTTATGGAGTCAGCTTCTGTGTTATGTGCTGAGCATTGAAGGAATGATGGAGACAAGTCTGCTGCCCTCACAGAGTCTGCGGAGAAAACCTGATGGAGTGTGGCAGGGAACATGCTGGGAGCATCCCAGGATGCCAAAAACGCACACAGATGGAACACCTGCCTTAGAACAGGGGTGGGTCAGACAAGGGGAGGTGTCAGGAAAAACAAGGAAAGTTTAAAATGCAGGAATAGAAAAGCACTTGAGAAATCCATGGGGAATGAAAAGAGAATGGCTGAGCAGCAGCAGATTGTCAAAAAGGAAATCAAGAAGGATCAGCCAAAGAGGTTGATGGAGAACCAGGAGAAAGAAGGTTGACACTGAAGCCAAGGGAAGGAAAGTGTTTCAGCATTTCTGGGAAAAAATGACATGCTCTGTCTTAACCTTGCTGTTTTATGAGTCATATAGCCACATTCCAGGTTCTGAGAAGTCCAGCACTAAAGATGTTTCTTTTAGTTTGCTTAACCCAGCATTTGCCAGAATAATCTGGGCTTAGTGTGAGTGTGTGTGCGTGTGTGTGCCTGTGTGTTCTACTAATACCTCACTGAGGCTAGTGCTGTATACAACATAATTTTTAAAACACTGGTTTTATCCATCTTTTTGTTCAGCTGCAGCAACACTTACAAAGGGCAACTTTGATCATGTGTCTTCGTTACTAAAAGAAACAAAACAAACTAATGAATAAAGCCCACCTGGCAGTGACTCCTCACTACCTGTATGATGGAGCCCACCTGGCTTGGCCTGGGTGCCCTGTGCTGACGAGGCCGTGCTGTCTTCTGCCTGCTGCTTTGCCTCCCCTTTCCTCCTGGAGAAGGTAGAGATGTTCTGAGCTTTGGCTCGTCTGGAACATGTGTCCTTCCCCTCATTTGGCCCATGTTTTCCTGAGTCCACTTTAATCTCGTTTAAGGGTATAGAACTTTCCTTAAAGCTTTTGGTCAGGTCTCACTCTCTATGCTGTCTTCCTGCCACTTCTACAATGTACATACTTTACTGATACATTAATTATGCTATACTAGCCCAGGTTTTTACTTCTATATCATTTTATATCATCATCTTTTTTTCTTAGAGCTTAGTTCACTTATTTATTCAGTCTTTCCACAATATAATTGTATGTCATATAATTTCATATTGATTTTCATTGGTGTTTATATATCTTTTCTGCAAAAATGGAGGCTTTCTAAATAGATCTTCATTAACGTTGAAAGAACAAGGTTTTAAGTCTTGGTCTCAGCCAAAAGGAGTTCCCCGCATTACCAGGAGGGAAAGAAACACTTGAATTGTTGCATTAGATATTCTTACAGAGAAAGAGAACCACGTGTAATGGAAAATTGCTAACTTGGCCTCAGGGAGTCCAGGTTGATTCACTGAGAAAGTTTGAATTGGTTTAGAAAGCATAGTTCTGAGTTTTCTAGAAGAACAAAATTTAGAGTCGGGCATAAGAAGTAATGCCCATATCAAAAAATTAGAAATATCTCAAATTAACAACCTAACATCACAACTGAAAGAATTAGAGAAGCAAGGAGAACTCAACCACAAAGCTTGTAGAAGACAAGAAATAACTAAAATCAGAGCTGAATTGAAAGAAATTGAGACATGAAAAACTGTTCAAAAGATCACTTAATCAAGGTTTTTTGAAAAAATTACTAAGATAGGGCACTAGCTAGATTAATAAAGAAGATGAGAGAAGATTCAAATAAAGAAAATTAGAAATGATGAAGGGAATGTTACCACTGACCCCAGAGAAATAAAAATAACAACCAGTAACTACTACGAGCACCTCTATACACACAAACTAGAAACCCTAGAAGAGATTAATAAATTCCTGGACACATATACTCTCTCAAGACTGAACCAGGAAGAAATTCAGTCTCTGAGCAGACCAATTATGAGCTCCAAAAATTGAATCCGTAATAAATAGCCTACCAACCCCCCAAAAAGCCAGGACCTGATAGATTAACAAATTTTAACAGATGTACAAAGAAGAGCCAGTACCAGTCCTACTGAAACTATTTCAAGAAATAGAGGAGGAGGGACTCTTCCCCAACTTGTTCTATGAGGCCAGAATCATCCTGATACCAAAGCCTGGCAGTGACAAAACAAAAAAAGAAAACTTCAGGCCAGTATCCTTGATGAACATCCATTCAATAATCCACAACAAAATACTTGCATACTGAATCTAGCAACACATCAAAAGGCTAATTCACCATAGTGAAATAAGCTTCTTCCCTGGAATGGAAGGGTGGTCCATCATGGGCAAATCAATAAAATGTGATTCATAACATAAATAAAACTAAAGATAAGAACCACGTGATTGTCTCAACAGATGCAGAAAAGACTTTCAGTAAAATTCAACAAAGCTTCATTTAAAAATTCTCAATAAACGAGGTATCAAAGGAACATACCTCAAAATAATAAAGGCCACCTATGACAAACTCACAGCCAACATTATACTAAATGGGCAAAATCTGGAAGCATCCTCCTTGAAACCCGCACAAGACAAGGATGCCCTCTCTCACCACTCCTATTCAACATAGTATTAGAAGTCCTTTCTGGAGCAATCAGACAAGAGAAAGAAATAAAGCATATTTAAATAGAAAGAGAAGTCCAACTACCTCTGTTTAAAGACAACATAATTCTGTATCTAAACCCTATAGTTGTGACCCAAAATTCCTTAAGCTGATAAACAACTTCCACAAAGTTTCAGGACACAAAATCAATGTACGAAATTTGCTAGCATTCCTATACACCAAGAAGAGCCAAACTAAAAGCCAAATCAGAGAGGCAATTTTATTCACAATTTCCACGAAAAGAATAAAGTACATAAGAATACAGCTAACCAGGGAGGTGAAAAATCTCTACAATGAAAATTACAAAACACTGCCCAAAGAAGTCAGAGAAGACACAAATAAATGAAAAATCATTCCATGTTAATGGAGAGAAAGAATTAATATCATTTAAATGGTTGTACTGTCCAAAGCTATTCCTATTAAACTACCAATGACATGCTTCACAGAAGTAGAAAAAAGCTGTTTAAAAATTCATATAGAACCAAGAAAGAACCTAAGTAGCCAAGGCAATCCTAAGCAAAAAGAACAAAGCTTGAGGCATCACATTACCCAACTTCAAACTAACCTGCAGCACCACAGTAACCAAAACAGCATGGTACTAGTACAAAAACAGACACATACACCAGTGGAACAGAATAGAGAGGTTAGAAGTAAGACCACATACCTACAACTATGTAAACTTTGACAAAGCTGGCAAAAACAATCAATGGGGAAAAGATTCCCTATTCAATAAATGGTGCTGGGATAACTGGCTAGCCATATGCAGAAGATTGAAGTTGGACTTCTTCCTTATACCATATACAAAAATCAACTCAAGATGGATTAAATACTTAAATGTAAAACCCAAAACTATAAAAGCTCTGGAAGACAACCTAGACAATACCATCCTGGACATAGAAAGAGGCAAAGATTTCATGATAAAGACACCAAAAACAATAAACACAACTATTGACAAGTGGGATCTAATTAAACTTAAAAGCTTCTGCTCAGCAAAAGAAATTATCAAGAGAGTGAACAGACAACATATAGAATGAGGAAAAAATATTTACAAACTATGTATCTGACAAAGATCTAATATTCAATATAAGGAACTTAAATTTATAAGAGAAAAACAAAAAACCCTATTAAAAAGTGGCCAAAGCCCTGACTTCTGAATAGCACTTCTGGACCCAGCCAGGGACTGAGGGATCTCACTGCCCTAAAGGAAAGAACACAGGCCTGTCTGGCTTTGCCACCTGCTAATTGTAGAGACCAAAGGCCTTGAGTGAACATAGGGAGTCGTCAGAAAGTGCATGCAGCAGGACTTGAGCAAGACCTGTGCTGTGATAGCTTCAGGTCTGATCCAGGGCAGTCATAGTAGTGGTGGCCAGAGGTGCTTGTGTCTTTCTTCTCCCAGGTTTAGGTGGCTTAGAACAGAGAGAAAGACTCTGTATCTTTGAGGGAAAATAAGGGTAGGGAAAGAGTCTGTGGCTAGTAATCCAGAAAATTCTCCTGGATATTGTTGAAGGCTGTCAAGGTGGTACTTCTCTGAGTCTGGAAGAATTACAGCATTATTGGGTATAAGGTGCTCCATAAAGCAGATATGGCTTAGATCACAACACCCAACTCTTTTCATATATGTGAAAAGCCTTCCCAAGAAAGACAGCTACAAATAATCCCAGACAGTGAAGACTACAATAAATACTCACCTTTTCTCTCTTTAAATTTTATTTTTTAAACTTCTCATATGGTGTTGCATGCCCAAGATTTTAATGTCCAGACACTGAAGAACATCTACTAGCGTCAACACAATCCAGGAAAACATGACCTCACCAAGTGAACTAAATAAGGCACTGGGGACAAATCCTGGAGAAAAAGAGATATGTGATGTTTCAGACAGAGAATTCAAAATGGCTGTATTAAAAAAAAAACTGAAAGAAATTTAAGATAACAAAGTAAGGAGATTCCAAATTTTATCAGCTAAACTCAACAAAGAGATTGAAATAGTTACAGTAAATTAAGCAGAAATTCTGAGCTGAAAAATGCAATTGGCATGCTGAAGAATGCATTACAGCCATGTAATAGCAGAATGGATCAAGCAGAAGAAATAGTGAGCTTGAAGACAGGCTCTTTGAAAATACATAGAAGAGACAAAAGAAAAAGAATAAAAACAACAAATCATGCGGACAGGATCTAGAAAATAGCCTCACAAAGACAGATCTAAGAGTTATTTGTTTTAAAGATGATGTAGAGAAAGAGGCAGGGGAGGATCTAGAAAATAGCCTCACAAAGACAGATCTAAGAGTTATTGGTTTTAAAGAAGATGTAGAGAAAGAGGCAGTGGTAGAAAAATTTATTCAAAGGGATAATAACAGAGAACTTTCCAAACCTAGAGAAAGACATCCATATCCAACTACAAAAATGTTATAGAACATTAAGCAGATTTAACCCAAAAAAGACTACTTCAAAGCATTCAATAGTCTTCCAAAGGTCAAAGATAAAAGTTCTTAAGGAAGAAAGAGAAAAGAAACAAATAACCTACTGGGGAGCTCCAACACGTCTGGCAGCAGACTTTACAGTGGAAACTCTACTGGCCAGGAGAGAGAAGCAATAAATATTTAAAGTACTAAAGAAAAGAAACTTTTACCTTAGAATAGAATATACAGTGAAAATGTTCTTCAAAAAAAAAGAATACTGACTTTTTCAGACAAACAAAAGCTGAAGTATTTTATGAATACCATACCTGTCCTAAAGGAATGCTAAAGGGAGTACTTCAATCAGGAAGAAAAGGACATTAATGAGTAATAAATGATCACCTAAAGGTAAAAAAAATCCTCACTGCTAATAGGATACAAAACAAAACAGAATATTATAACACTATAGCTGTGTGGTGTGCAAACTACTCTTATTTAAAGTAGGAATACTAAATAATATCTAATCAAAAGTAATAGCTACAACAACATTTCAAGACATAGCACAATAAAATATAAATAGAAACAACAAAA